>NC_000021.9:36434387-36744341 GCF_000001405.40 Homo sapiens | reverse complement strand
TTTTCCTTCTTTCTTTTTTTTTTTTTTTTTGTCATAATGTGGAGGCCGTGACGTTCAACTGGTCTATCTGCTAATGACCACATTACCAAAGTTCACTTGGCACAGAACAAGTGATGGAGTCTTGCTCTGTCACCCAGGCTGGAGTGCAGTGGCACTGTCTCAGCTCACTGCAACCTCCACCTCCCGGGTTCAAGCGATTTCCCTGTCTCAGCCTCCTGAGTAGCTGGGACTACAGGCGCGAAGTTTTGTATTTTTAATAGAGATGGAGTATCACCATGTTGGCCAGGCTGGACTCAAACTCCTGACCTCAGGTGATCCACCTGCCTCGGCCTCCCAAAGTGCTGGTATTACAGGCATGGGCCACCACGCCCAACCGACAATTGCTATTTCTGAGAGCTCACAAACTACTTTTTTAAAAAGAGGGAGGGCTTTCATTTTTAAAATGCTGCAGAAATACAATGGACTGGTATTCTAACCCACCAGTCTAGAATCTAACCCGTGGATTCCAACCCGTCAAGCCCATTAGAATCTAACCCATGGATTCTAGTGGGCTGAAGTGCCTTTCCAATTTAGTCTTCTGTTTCCTAAACTTGACTAGCCCACCGGGATGTCGGCCTTCCCCGGGCTGTCACTACTGTGTAGGCAAGACATCCCAGAGGGACCTTGCTCCACGGCAGGGAGATCCCTGCTGTGCAATGAGAGGCTCCCCATTCCTTAATGTGTCCAGGTGTCCCGAACCCCTAGGATAGATGTCAGCACCCCAAAACTGCAGGACATGCGTGTTACCTGTGGGGGGTAAGGGTTTGTTCTCAGCTTTGTCTTCATCTTGGTATTTTTGGGTTTCACTAATTTCCTAGTTTCTTGTGAGGTAGACAAGGCGGTCCTCCAGGAGTCCTGGGACTTGGCAGTGGACACCTGCTCCAGGGACAGCTGAAGTTCCTTGTATTCAATCTCCCTGGAAGGCGAGAGTGGGCCGAGTCATGTCCAGCAGGCGCTGGAGGCCGAGCAGCTTCCCTGGCCCCAGCCCTTGGGCAGGGCGTTCTCAGTGCTCCAGTGTGTCTTTTCACTGGGATTGGATGTGGATGGGATTTGAGACAAGGCCAGCTCACCCTCATTATAAAAGCCATCTGCAGCCCCAGGCTGGGCCACCCCAGGAAATGCTGAGCCAGGTCAGAGCTCTCTCCAGTCCAATAAAACCCCAAACACATTGCTCGGGGAGGTCGTGGGCCATGAGGAAAGCCACCAAGGGAAAAAGAGACAGGCAGAAATACCATTGATCAGGTCCACCTGCATCCAACATGCACACCTGTGGCCCAGCTGCCTCTCCAGTTAGCACCCCAGGAGGCAAGAGTCCGGGACTCTTCACAGGTCTGGGAGCCTGACCACCAGCTTTGTGCATTCTCACATCGGGGGCCCATCTCTGCCCTAAAGAACCAACTCAGCAGGGTCATGTTCACACAAGGAGAGGTCGACCTGGAGAACCAGCCCACACATTTGCTCAGGAAGAATAACTAAAGGGCTAAACTGTTTTCTCCCTGACAGTTTTGTCAGAATCACTTGACTTCTAAGACACAGTCATTCTATGAACAAACCTAGAGCCTAAATCCTCACCCCATGTAAAGTGCAAACGAGAACTCTTTTCATCATGGGGCTGGCGGCATGGCAAGGGTCACAGCCTGGAGCAAGGTGATTGAACGTACAATAGCTATGGTGGGTGGAAAGTAATATATGGCCCCAGATAGACATCTGTCCTATTGCTTCTAATGGCCTTAAAAGTATTTGCAGGCTGGGCACCGTGGCTCATGCCTGTAATTCCAGCACTTTGGGAGGCCGAGGTGGGAGGATCACTTGAAGCCAGGAGTTCGAGACCAGCTCCTGGGCAACATAGCAAAACCCCGTCTCTACAAAAACATATTTTTTTTTAATTTACAAAAAAAAAAAGGCATTTGCGACTGAACTTGACCTTCTGGAGTGTTTAAAGGACCAAATATTCACCATGATTAATTTGTAACAGGCTCTATAAGAAGACAGGTAAAAAATGGGATATTTCCTGTCTCAAACAGCAGGAGCATCTAAGATGACCTAAAGGCTTATAGGCATGGATAGCACAAGTTTATATTCTTGATGGGGGGTGTGCACCCTCTTTGCACCCTATTCAGGATGGGGGGCATCACCATCCGCCCCCATGCTCCTCACTAGGTTCTGTGATGGGATCCGAAGCTATGCCCAGGGCAGGCCCCCTCCTCCTGGCTCCCCCTGCAGCCTAGCACTTGGCTTTCACCGCTGAGCATAGAAATAGTTTGCACCTTCCAAAATGACCAGATTCCTAAAAAAAAAAAATTAAAAAAAAGAAAAAAAACAGAAGACAAATGAACAGTTTGAGAAAGAGAGAAAGAGAGATGGTGCTTATTGGAGCCATCCGATGTGGGACAGGGAAGAGAAAAGAGCAAGGAGAGAAACAAATACGTGTGACTTACGTGAGTACATAATTGACACTCACGATGCAGTGGGGCCGGGACGAGCGGCTGTTGTGCACCACGGTGGCGTAGCTCTGCACCCACACCCAGCCGCCCCGCTTGGACAGCAGCCGGTAGTACTTGGTGGTGACCTGGCCCTTCACCAACACTGCAAGCACAAGGTGACAGGAGTCCTCAGACGCTTCGCAGGCCCCACCTCTGGGATGCTGCCCCCAACGGTGACCTCTGTCCCAAGGACACCTCTGAGAACTTGACAAAGGGGGCGGGCTTTCTCCGCTGGAGGGTGCATGTCTGTGTGCGTCTCGTGCGTGCACACACACACACGCGTGCATATACATGTGCACACAGGAATTTTGCCTTCAGCTTCAAGGAGTTCCCACCCATTAAGAACTCTTATTTAACAGTCATTGCTTTCATTGAGGGAAACATTAGCCACCAAAGTTTGTATCTGGCAGAATGAAAAAATTCAATCTGCTTTTTAGTTTTCAAAATGCCACAATTATGTTTTAATCCCCAAATCCTTAATGGGGAGGGGGGGTGAGTGATGTAGTTATTTACACAAAGTAGTCAGTTAAGTGCATTCAACCAAGTGTCAAGCTGTTGCTGATGTTTGCTGTTCAGGAACATGAGGGTATTCACAGTGAAACTGTTTGTTGCCATTTATATTTTCTTCCCATTAATCCCAGTTTTCCTTGGGCCCATTAATTTGCTATGTTGTTTATGTAGGAAAGACCTCTACTTGGCTGCAGAGTTCCTGAAAATTGGGCCTATGGGCCTGTCTTCTATGCTTGGGTGCAAACTCCAGGCCGCTAAGCAGCTCAGCCAAAGGCTCGGTGCACCCATAAACCACAATTCCACCTCACCGCCTTCCAGGAGGCAGGTGGGGGAGGAAAGTGCCAGAACCCGCAGGTGGGCAGTGGAGAGGTGAAGCTTCTCCAGGGAAGAGGAGGATAGCACAAGTCTAGAAAGACACCCTTGGATGTCTGGGTCCTCAGCTCCAGAACATTCCTGCTTCTCAAGGCAGGACTGGCCCCTGGACCTAACTAGCAGCTGCCTGAGCAGAGATCTGGGGAGGTGGCCAAAGGGGCTGAGTCTGTGACTGTACCAGCTGGGGCTGAAGGAAACTCCCCAAGGTGCATTTCCAACAAAAATTCAGCCTTTGAGGCTCATATGCAACAAAAATTCAGCCTTCCTGTCATACCGCTGGGCAAAGCCCCCAGTCTCTGCCCAAACACTCCTGGGCTGTCTGTGGCCCTTTACGGTTCCTTTTCACCTTGCAGATGGCTCTTTCTCATCCACATCAAAATATTTTGGTGCAAAAGAAAATGCTGCACGGAGTTATTCACCTTAATATATAGGGGGTTCGTACAGATTGATAAAAACACAAAGACCCTAAAAGCAATATAGGCAAAGATCAAAGAATAAATATAATGGGCAAAATGATGAACAAATGCCCAACTCCCTTGTTTAACTCAAAGGCAGATCCATCCATCAGATCAACAGACATTAAAATAGAAACAAACATTGTATGATTCCCTTTACATGAAACTTCCAGAATAGGCACATCCACAGAGTCCAAAAACAAATGAGTGGGTGCCAGGGGCTGAAGCACGAGGGGGACTGGGGTGACAGGCTCCTTTTGGGATGATGAAAACGTTCTGGAATTAAAGGTGATAGTTGTTCAACACTGTGAATATAACTAAAAAACACTGAAAATGGTGAGAAAGGTGAATTTTATCTAAAAAAAAAAAAAAATGAAAGGCCAACAGGTGACACCGGCTAATCTATGGTGAGTGGCATTTTCTCTTTCTTTCTTTCTTTCTTTCTTTCTTTCTTTCTTTCTTTCTTTCTTTCTCTCTTTCTTTCTTTCTTCTCTTCTTTCTCTTTTTTTTTTTTTGAGACAGAGTCTCTCTGTGTTGCTCAGGCTGGAGTGCAGTGGCATGATCTCACTGAAACCTGCCTCCTGGGTTCAAGCAATTCTCCTGCCTCAGCCTCCCCAGTTTTGCCAGGTTGGCCAGGCTGGTCTCAAACTCCTGACCTCAAGTGGTCCGCCTACCTTGCCCTCCCATAGTTTGCCATTATGGCAAACTATGCAGCCATTGCAGGTGTGAGCCACGGCGCCTGGCCCAGTGAGAGGCATTTTCATGTGTGATGGAAGGATGAGTTGGTGGAAAGCAGTCTGATAGCTCACACCCTCTGACACACTGATCTCACTTCTAGGAATTGATCCTATGGAAATTGTGAGCAGGTCTGTGTGTGCAAACACAGACTTACCTACAAAGGGTTTCATTGCAATATTGCTGAAAATTCAGGGAAAAGGGGTGGGGAGAGACTTAACTCTTCAACGGTAGGGAAAAGAGTAAATACATTATGGCAAACTATGCAGCCATTAAAATGATGATTAATAAGAAATTGTTATATTATGGGAAATGTGTGATACAATGTTAACAGAAGAAAAGACAAGATTCAGAAATGTGTAAAGTATAACCCTAATTATGAAAAAGTGGGCACGTGCATACACTACCCCCTCCAACAAACTGTGTGATCCTAGACTAGCTACCAACCCCCCTGTGACTCAATTTCCTCATTTATAAAAAAAGGATAATCAGTCCTTACTTCATATGGTTGTTGAAAGATTAGATGATCTATTTGAGGATTTAGAACACTGGCAGACACAGCTGAAGGGCTCAATACATATTAACTTTTATCTGACTGAAAATGACAGATAATTTTCACTTTCTTCTTTTCAGCTTTCCTTGACTTTCTAAATTTCCAACGAGGAGGAGGTTTAACCAGAATGAAATGGTTTTGTTTTTTACATGGGAGAGAAGATTGTGGGGGTTGGGAGGCAGGAATCCAGTCTCCATCAAGCCCCACCACCCCGTCAGGATGAACCTGGGGACATGAGGCAGTGTTGCGTAACGAGCATGCCACCGGCTGGAGAGGGGTCTCTCCCGGACCATGCAGAGAGCAGCGCTTTTCTGCCCAGGCTTAACATCTGCATCTCAGCCGACTCAGATCACTGCTCAAGGGTATAGGCAAAGGCCATGGCAAAGAGAGAAGCCTGACAATGCTTCTCCTTTGGGGGTTTGCTTCTCTAATGAAAAGATACATGGTGTCTACTTCCAGCTCATTTCACAGGATTGCCTCATTCTACCCCCACTACAACAGTGGGAGGTGGGAGGTGGGCAGCACCAGGAAACCGGGGCCAACAGAGCTTGAGGGCACAGCTGGAGTCCAGCCCAGGTGTCCTCAAAGTGGCAGCTGTGGGAGGAGGGAGCAGCGGCCTCTGGAAAGTTCTCTATAGCTATTAGGTTGGTATAGAAGTACTTGCGATTTTTGCCATTACTTTTTTTTTGGAGACGGAGTCTTGGCTTTGCCACCCAGGCTGGAGTGCAGTGGCATGAGCTCAGCTCACTGCAACCTCCGCCTCCCAGGTTCAAGTGATTCTCCTGCCTCAGCCTCCCGAGTAGCTGGGATTACAGGCACCCACGACCACACCCGGCTAATTTTTTGTAGTTTAGTAGAGACGGGGTTTCACTATGTTGGCCAGGCTGGTCTCTAACTCCTGACCTCATGATCTGCCTGCCTTGGCCTCCCAAAGTTCTGGGATTACAGGCGTGAGCCACCGCATCTGGCTGCTATTACTTTCAAAGTAATACATTGAATAATACGTATGGGGGTGAGGTGGGCTCACCTTTTAAGGGAGACTTGGCCAATTTGTTTATGGTCCAAAATAACCAAGAGATGCAGCAGGCTCAGACTGAGGATCCATCCACGGATTTCAAGAGGACTAGTGCTCGCTAAGCTCTTCAACCTCAAAATCTATTCAAGCCCTTAGGAATATGGCCCCATGCTTTTTTCTTTTTGCTTTTTTTTTGCTTTTTTTTTTTTTTTTTTTTTGAGACAGGGTCTTGCTCTTTTGCCCAGGCTGGAGTGCAGTGGTACAATCTCGGCTCACTGCAACCTCCGTCTCCTGGGTTCAAGAGATTCTCCCTGCCTCAGACTCCTGAATAGCTGGGATTACAGGCGAATGCCACCACGCCCGGCTAAGTTTTGTATTGTTTAGTAGAGACGGGGTTTCACCATGTTGGCCAGGCTGGTCTCAAACTCCTGACCCCAAGTGACCCGCCCGCCTTGGCCTCCCAAAGTGGACATTGAAATGTTTTAATAGCTGCACATGGCCTGTGTTCTCTTTGTGGTCTGGGCTTGGCCCATTCTGGGCAGGAGCCTACCTAGAGAGCCGGGTGAAATTCTCAACAACCTTGGAAGAATAGCCATGTGGACATCACGGTTCTTCCAAACCATGGACAGCCCAGTGTCCCATGACACAAACTGTCAGGTTTACTGACACTGATCCCTTCTCCACCTATGGACCAGGCTGTGCTCAGCCCCCCCTGAGGGTCTGGGTCAACAGATCACAAGCCTTTGCCAGCTCCCCCTACATACAAGAAAAAGTCTCCCAAACATGAAACAAAGAAAGCGGGGAGGCAGAGCTCGGCTTTCCTGAGGCCAGGCTGGAGCATGGTGCCTTTAATCAGCCACCTCAGGTGGTGGGTGAGGCGTGGGGTGGGAGGGTCACAGTGGTTCCATTTATGATGATCCCGTGTTCACTTTTCTTTACAGAATGTTCTGGGGCCGGGTATGGTGGCTCATGCCTGTAATCCCAACACTTTGGGAGGTCAAGATGGGAGGATCACTTGAACACAGGAGCTTAAGCCCAGCCTGGGCAACATAGCAAGACCCCATCTTTACCAAAAACATTTAAAAATTCGCTGGGTATGGTGGTACATGCCTGTAGTCCCAGCTACTCAGGAGGCTGAGGCAGGAGGATCACTTCAGGCCAGAAGTTCAAGGTTAGAGTGAGCTCCGACCACGCTACTGTATTCCAGACTGGGTGACAGAGTGAGACCCTGTCTCTAAAAAATAAAAATGAAGAAAGAGAGAGAAAGAACGAAAGAAAAAGAAAGAAAAAGAAAAGGAAGGAAGAAAGAAAGAAAGAAAAAGAAAGAAAGAAAAGAAAGAGAAAGAAAGAAGAAAGGGAGGGAGGGAGGAAAGACAGAAAGAAAAAGAAAGAAGGAAAAGAAAGAAAGAAGAAAGGGAGGGAGGGAGGAAAGGAAAGGGAAGGGAAGGAGGGAAGGAAGGGAAGGAAGTTAGTTCTGGGGAATATTGTGGCACAGCTCTGACTTCACAGACTCACCTGGTGACACCCAGACCACACCGACATGACGCCCGCATGCCCCCTTCTCTGGTCCGAGGTGCCCCCTCGCCTGACCTCTGCAAACCTGTGCTCCCCAAAGCCTGTGCTGCTGGCCCTGCTCTTCCTCACAAAGCTCAAGTTTCTGGAGGCTGGGAGTTCTTTCTCTTTAGGGGCTGCGATTTCTTCAGCCCCTGTGGACTCTTGCTCCCAGTGAAGATAATATTCTGAAGAACGTGTGCAAACCATCGGGCTGTCTGGCCCTCCCGGACCACCACCTCTTACCTCCAATCAGGCCTCTGCAGAGCCCTTGGCACTGACCCCAGAGGTTCCTGGCTTTTGGCTACCGGTGTGGGGAAAGCGAGGCCCCAGAAGAGGGGACAGTGACCTCACTCGGGTCCTGGCTGTTGGCAGCTGTCTGCTTTGTTCCTGCTCTCGGTGACCTCACCCACTGCCCACGACAGATGCGTCTGGGCATCTCACTGTGAGGAGTCCTGAGGGGCCCGGGCGGGGGTTGCTGTCACTGCTGGCTACCTCCAGCTACACTCGGTTGTGGCAGATGGAAGGGAAGCTGGCAGGCTGCCTGTGTCCCCGCATCCCTCGGGCAGCCACGGGGCCAGCTCTAGCTGATGGAGTTGAAAGACTTGAGTCTCAGGTCTGCAGTGGCCACAGTGGGGACCCTGGTGGAACCTGGGAGGGCAGGAGGCTGAATAGGAAGTCTGGCCTCACTGCCCTTCCCTCAAGCCAGGCCCTGAGCCGGGCTGTCAGCCACCAAAGCACTGTGTGACAGGACTAACAAGTCCCATTTCAAAATGGGGCCTCCCACCTTCTCAGCTTCTCCCCTGTCCTCCCCAAGTCGGCCTCTGCAGCTATAATATGGGAAGGGCCTCTCCCCACAACTTGAGTGAGGATACGGACATATTAAGGAATGACCTAGTTGAGGGCTGAATTGTGCCTGGGACACTAAGACAGTCCCCAAGTCCCCATCAGGACCCAAACACCACAAGACAAAAGCATCGTCCAGACCTGAGGTCCCTTGGTTGGGACTCTGTGGGGCCAAGCAGCAGTGGGGCACATGTCCCCAAGAGGAGAGCAGCAGCTATTGGTACAAAGCCAGGAGTGGAGACAGAGCTGGAGAGTGTGGGGGATGGGCTTCCCTCAGCCCTCACACAGCAGTGGTGTGGGTGTAAGGACGCTCCTGTCAGCCAACAGGGACCCCCAGAGAGAGGCGTGGCCTCTGTGGACAAGGGAAAGATGACAGACAGGGCTCGGAAGGGAGAAACTTGTGGAAGGTTAGAACAGAGAACATCTTAACACAGCCTGGATGAAGGCCCAGCAGGGAGGAAGCTGACGACAGGCTGTGAAGACATCAGCCTTGCTCTGGCCCAGCCACATCCACTGGCCTGACCTGTTCTCCCCCACTGAGGCCTTTCTTTGGCAGGGCCCACCCTGACCATGTTGGGGGTAAGCCAGGCAATCAAGGCCCCCTGAGAGCTGCCCTCCAGCTACTGACTGACAGGCACAGGGGTATCAATACCTCAGCTCACTCTCCCCTCTGCTTGATGACACTGGCTCTGGGGTATCCCCGGCGTTGAGCGCCAGCCTCCCTCGGCTGTAGCCAGTGGACAACACCCTTTGTGGCTCCTTCTCTTCTCTGGCTCACTCCTCCCCTGGCCATGTCTAGTCACTGTCCAAATCAACCATTGCACTTCAACTCCAGGCTCTGGGGCAGCTTCTGGAGTTTCAGGAAATCAAACAGGTGCCACCCAGCCCTGGGGATGGAGAGGCAGGAACAGGAGGCCTGGGGTTGGCCCCTCTGGCCCAGGTTCTGTACCTGGGAAGGAGAGTGAGGCCTCCACAATCACAAAGCTCCATACCATGAAGACCCCGACTCTGAAGACCCTGCTTGGGAGTTGACTGTCTTCCCAGAGAGTTCTAGCTTTGGAGAGGCGTGTGACATTCCAGTTGAGTGCTCTGAGGGGAGGCTGCTGCTCAGCCCTGCAGGTGGTTCCCACGCTGGAACCAAAGAACTCCCCATCATCTGAGACTATCCTTGCTTCCCCTCCCTCTCAAAGCTGCCAGGGGAAACTGAGGCAGGCACACTCATGGTGAACTCCAAGACCACACCAACCCACCGGCCTGGCTGGGGTGCAGTCTTTTCTGGTTGTTTCTCTAGCACAGCTAAGGTCAGAGTCACAGGACAGTAGCAATCACTGTCAATCTTGCTATTTTCTGTTTTCTTTGAATTACCAATTCTGGCTCATTTGGAAAAGAAAGCCATGCCCCGTCTAATTTCTAAACACGCCTACCTTTTTGAGCCTGTGCCTGCTTGCCCTTTCAGAGTCCCCTTGGACAACTTCAATATCTGGAAACTTCCTGTGAGATAAAGTGGCTTCATCATATAAACCACAGAAGACCCCTCAAATAAAATCACCTTGTGGGTCTGGTGAGCCAGGCAAGCTCAGGAGGGCTGGGATCCTACAGAACAGCCACCAGCCCACATCTCCAAGGTTAAGCCCCGTGGTGTGGTGTGGTGTGGTGGTGACGGCTGACAGCACGACAGCCAATGGGCTGGACTTTGGTCCTGCCCCAGCTCCACTGCTGCCCTTGGACAAGTGTCCCCTGAGTCTCACCCTGATCACCTGGGAAAAGGGCACGAGAGGGACACAGCTCCCCAAACTGCCCGCAGGTCAGAGTCTATAAGTGAAAGCATCTACCCATGATGGACACAGAGGAGGCACTGACTGAGCACCACTGTGGGCTTCATGACTGTTCCAAAGCAAATGGGGAAAAAAATCCCTGCTTCGGGCCGGGCATGGTGGCTCACGCCTGTAATCCCAGCACTATGGGAGGCCGAGGCGGGCGGATCACGAGGTCAGGAGATTGAGACCATCCTGGCTAACACGGTGAAACCCCGTCTCTACTAAAAATACAAAAAAAATTAGCCAGGCTTGCTGGCGGGCGCCTGTAGTCCCAGCTACTTGGGAGGCTGAGGCAGGGCAATGGCATGAACCCGGGAAGAGGAGCTTGCAGTGAGCCGAGATCGCACCACTGCACTCCAGCTTGGGTGACAGAGCAAGACTCTGTCTGAAAAAAAAAAAAAAAAATCCCTGCTTCCTGGGTTAGCCAGGCAGTGTGAGATAAAAGACATGGTATTTAAAAAGAAGACTTTTGTCTAGGTGCAGTGGCTCACACCCGTAGTCCCACTTGAGGTCAGGAGTTCAAGACCAGCCTGCTCAACATGGCAAAACCCTGTCTGTATTAAAACTAAAAAAATTAGCCAGGCGTGGTGGTGGGCACCTGTAATCCCAGCTACTTGGGAGGCTGAGACACGAGAATTGCTTGAACCCAGGAGGCAGAGGCTGCAGTGAGCTGAGATCATGCCACTGCACTCCAGCCTGGGCAACAGAGCGAGACTCCATCTCATTAAAAAAAAAGAGATTTTTGATTCCCTCAGTTTTGTCTCTGTGCTTAGAGGCCTAATTTCCTGCCTTTCAGCCCGCTGTGAAGAGCAAGTCTTCTCTTGCTGTAATTCGGGGGTATGCTTTAAACTCCCCAGCATTCTCCTGCCTCCATGGAAGGGGGCTCCAGACCCCCCAGGGCTGGGGCTTTCCCTTAGAACAGCTGGTCAGCCCCTCCGCCCCAACAGTGGCAGGGGGAGCGTGTGGAGGTATGAGCCCTCACCTTCACTCTCCAAGTCCCAGACTGTTCTAGGGCACAGCACAGCTCTATGCCCTCGAGGCAAATGCCTCTCCCGTCTCCCAACTGCTCTTGCTACTGCAGAGCCCCTCCACTCTGCTCTTCACACCCGCCTGATCAAGTCTCCTGGATATCTGATTCTAGAATTGACACACCATACCCAGTTTGCTCAAGAAAACTTTCTAGCTCCCATATTAGTGACACCGACGGAGAAGTTCCATCCGAACACTAAGCAGCTGCTTCTCTACCAAGCTTGGTCTCCAGAATGACAGAGATGGTTATGAGATCATGATTTGGTCTTTAACAAAAGACACAAAAGGGTTGTTCACACCTCCAAGTCTCCACATGAGTCAAGGAGCAAGGAAGAAGCCGTCTGTGCCTGCTCAGCCATAAGTCCTGGTTGTCACGGGTTTCTGTCCATAGAGATTTGGGGAGGGAAGAGCAACAGCGACACCCTGGGAGTATCGAGTTCCCGGGTCCCAGTCCACACGGAGCCCAGCACACCACGCATCTGTGGACCTAGCGGCCTGCGGGCCTGCCGTCCCCCTCCCACTCGACACTGGCAACCTGTCCTCTAACGTCCCTGAGCCAACAGAAGGCAGAGCAAGAACAGAGGACATGCCATCTGGGCCACACTGCAGAAGACCCAGCTCCTCTAACTGTCTGCACCCCATTATAAAGCACCCCCGACTGGCCATGGGCGTGGCAGGGCTGGACAGCAGGAGGATGAGGCATTCCACTCCATCCAAATTAGTCTTTGCCTCCATTTGGATTCTGAAAGTGTGTGGCTGGGTGCGGTGGCTCATGCCTGTAATCCCAGCACTTTGGGAGGCGGAGACAAATGGATCACCTGAGGTCAGGAGTTCGAGATCAGCCTGGCCAACATGGTGAAACCCCGTCTCTACTAAAAATACAAAGATTAGCCAGGCGTGGTGGCATGCACCTATAATCCCAGCTACTTGGGAGGCTGAAGCAGGAGAATTGCTTGAACCCAGGAGGCGGAGGTTGCAGTGAGCCAAGTTCATGCCACTGCACTCCAGCCTGGGCAACAGAACAAGACTCTGTCTCAAAAAGATTTTTTTTTTTAGATTTTAAAAAAGTAAAAGAAAAGTGTCACTTCTTTAAACATTTCAGTGACTAGAGCATCCGCCTCTATATCCTGATGTTCCCAAACCGCCTCCGTTGGCAAATCAAATTGGTGTTTGTTCACCCCGTCCCAAGATGACCTCTCCCATCGTGGAATGGTGGCCTCCCTGGGCTTCCCCTAGCTGGCTGGGGTATAGCAGTCGGAGGCAGGGCTCTGCGTGGGTTCAGCTTCCAACTCCGCTACCATCCAGCTGTATGAAGGTGGGCAAGCGGCTTAACCTATCTGGACCTCAGCATCCTCACTGGTAAAATGAGGATCATGACAGTGAGACCCTCCCTCACTGGGCTGGTAATGTATTTAGTCACTTAAACTTAGTGCCCGACAGCAGTAAGAGCTCCATAACTAGCAGTCTTCCACTGTTGCTGTTATTCGCAAATGGTGTCCAGATCACAGAGTTTAGGTTCCACATCCACAATCTAGAATCCAGGCAACTTCCTGATCCTACACCTGCTAGAGTCTCCCTGAAAGGGTGCGCGTGGCTGCTTGAGAACCGACAACAGGCAGCCGTACTTAATCACGGGGTGGAGGAAGCCACACTTGGGGCTTGAGATTCAAGTGTGTATCATGGATGATTATTGCACCAACAAAAGGGACACGTCCCCCGGCTCTGTCCTCAGCGCCTCCTCCCTGACCAGCTACCTCCCGTGGCTGGGGTGGGCGTGCTACTCACGGAGGTGGTGTGCGTAGCGGAGGTGGAACACGTCGCAGCCGTGCACGTGATGGTATAGGGTCTTCTCGATCAGGTCCTGCGGCTCGTACCCCGTCACCTCGGTCACCCTGTGGGGGCATGGCAGCTCAGTGAGTTACGCCACTCTGCAGACTGCCTTTCATTTAAACTAATATTGGTTTTGCCAACTAATCAAGTGCTAAAAGGCTCAGGCGGGAAATGTTGATTTTGGAAACTGAGAATGATCTTTTTTACAAGAAGCAAGTCTTTGAACTCGAGCCCGGTGCAGGATGTAGCACTATTCATGAATGGGAATGTTCTTCTGAAACCACCGGCTAAGAGAATGTTTGGAATGGCTTAAAATTGTAGCCTTTTTCCAAGTTCAGCTTATCGGGGAATGCTTACAAGTGGACTTTGATACTGATATTGCGAGAAAGCTGCTACGGTGAGAAAGAACCCACTCTTGGAGGGCTTCGGGGGGACGGTCCTGTGTGAATGTTTTTTATAAATTGTGGTAAAATATACATATACAATTCACCATGGTTACCAGCGCTAGTGTACAATTCAGTGGTATTTGGTGCACTCACAGTGTTGTGTAACAGGCATCACTGCCCCTGTCCAGAGCTTTCCATGATCCCAAACACTCTGTCCCCATTAAACACCAGCTCCCCACTGTCCCCTGCCCAGCCCCCAGTAGCCTCCCTTGTACTTTCTGTCTCTAGGAATTTTTCTCTTCGAGAAAGTTCATATCCGTGCAATGGCACACCATGTGGCCTTTGGTGTGTGGCTTCTTTCACTCAGCATGATGTTTCCAAGGCTATCCATGCTGAGGCATGTGTCTGAACTTCATTCCTTCTTAGGACTGAATACGTTTCTGTTTTATGTAGACACCACATTTGGTTCCTCCATCCCTCTGTCTGTGGACAGTTGTTTGCACATCTTGGCTACTGCGGGTGCGAGTGTTTAAACCTCTGTTGCACGCTAGACACTGTTGATTGGCACAGATGGTCTCAGGATGCTGCCGCTGGGTGATTCCCACTATTGGGAATTACGGAATAACTGGGGACCTTTAGGCTCCTATGAGGGGAGGATTGGTTCAGACCCCCCAGAAGACAGGATAACGCCCTAAGATATTGTGACTAAAAGGAAAGCCTTAAGCTCTCTAGAGAAATGGAAGCATTTTCCTGGGGCTTATGTGACACAACCCCTTTGTGTTCTCATCGAGCCCTGGGCATATTAATTTCCCACTTCGGCTCTTTGAAGAAAAGTGGCTCTCAGTACCCAAGACCACATCATCACCCGCATCAGGATCGCTCTGGCCGTAGGTGGAAGCTGCACGTGGCAACGATGGTTTCCCAGGCTTTGGGCAATGGGGCCGGGCACCATGTCCTCGAAGGAGGTGGTCCTCACCATCTTGGTGATAGATTTTCAAGAACAGATGAAAGAGAGAGGGATGAAGGGATTCCAAGGCAGGCGAGGCTATGGTGCAGTCAGTCCTGGGGGCCGGGTGAGGTCGGGGAAAGAGGGAGGGCTGGGGCTGGGGGCCCTCCTTGCTAGGATAGGAGACGTTAGCTGTAAATTAAACTGAAAAACTTGACCTCACTTTCATTCTTTAACCCGCTTCCCTTTCTGTTAAGATCTGCTCAAGCTTTGGGTCGTAAATCTCGGAGAGCCTCATGTTTCCCTGGAATTGTTCCCTGTTTGGTGTACTCATTTCCATGGTGTCCTTCTAGGGTAGGAAGGAGACAGGGCTTGCAGTGGTGGGGGAGAGGGATGCGGGGAGGGGGCCTTGTAGAGCCCAGAGCCATTCGGGGCTCAGGGAACTTGCCTAAGGGCCACCTAGAACTTCAAGCCCCATCAGAATCTAACTCTGTGTGGCAGGAAAATTGAGCCGTCTGTTTTCCCCCAAAAAGAAAACCAGGCATCTCTACCGTGTGGGGATGAAAGAGGCTTCCCAGACCCTTTGGATGCAAAGTTACAGAACAACGGCCCCAAACGTGTAAATGAATCAGAAACACATGTATTAAGTTTCTCATCAAAGTACACACTGGCTTTAAAAATTAAAGGGAAATGGAGGGGTTTGGCAAGGTGCCCTCCCGGTTTTTTCCAAGCCTCTAGTGTCTGAAGACCTGTCAGAGGAATCTGCCAAACCCCAAACATCGCTGTGTTCACCCATCCTTAGCAAAAGCATCAGCTCCAGTTTCAAAGAGAAATACCACAAAACCCTGACAAACCCAATTTCAGGTTACGGCGAGTTCAGTTGTGTCTGGGATTGTGCGGGGTGTGGCGCCAGACAGGCCCACGACCACCCTCGCTCCTGTGACTTGGGGCCGCTGGACTTCGGGCAAAGCCCTCGTCTGGCTTCTGGGGTTTGGACTCAGAAGGGACATCTCCCACCCTGCTTGGCCACTCTGCTGTCCTCCCAGGGCTGGGCCAGCCCAGGCCCCATCCCCTTGGTCACAGACTGACTGTGGTGACTGGGAAGGCCTCTGCAGCATTCTTCTGACCCCTTTCAGCCCCTCCCATGTGACTGCAGCTCAGAAAAGGCCTCAAGGCTTTGCTAGAAGTTTCCTGATATGGCAGGAACAACCAGAGATCTGGGAGAGGCAGGATGTCTCCTTCAAGACCACCAGCCTTCTTTTCTGTTCACTCCAGGGGTGCAGCCCCTACACCCTGAGACGCGGGAGCCCCCTCTGGCGCTGCAAAGCCCCATCCAGGCCCTGTCCAGGCCTCCTTTAGGCACAACCTCCTCTACCCTTGGCTGCCTTTCCAGGCAATGTGGATTGAACGGCTTGAAAAGCCCTCAGGTCTCTCCTCTGGGGAGACCACTTCTTTCCTGTTCTCCAGAATTCATCAGTCTCAGGGGTTTCCTAGAAGGCCCAGAGGAAAACTAGGAGACGAAACAAGGGGGAAACCAGTTGGATCCTCCTAGATGTCTCTGATAATGACTTTGGGCAGCTGATGTCCTTCCAGCCACCTCTCAGAAGTGGCTCCCAAGTCAGAAAAGAGGGAGCAGAGGGGTCCACCCTGGCTGGGGCAGCTTGGCTGCCTTCTCTCCCTGCAGCGCCTCCCTCTGCATGGCAGGAAAATGGCATTTGTCGCTCTTGGCCGTCCCCAGAGGTGCTGGCAGCTTTCCCCAAAGAGCGCTGTTTCCTGTCTGCTTGGAGTTTCTGGGAAGATGCTGGTGACCCTGACACACTCACCCTGCTTCTGAGTGGTCCTGAAGGGTGTCGACAAGGAGCCAAACTGACTCCTGTCTTTATCTCTTGCCCCTAACCAGGAAGATCTGTTTTTTCTCTATAGAACATCAATAAATGGTTAAAATGATCAATTTTATGTGATGTGTATTTTACCACAACTTTAAAAAGTGAAAAAGAAAAGAAAACAGTAAATCCTGGCTTCTGGACATACAGAAAGCAAAATGTATCTCTCCTCCCCCCGCCAAAGACTCATCGCACACACACACCCCACGCCAGGAGCGGGGTCTCTGATGGCTTATTCCCGACTGCACAGCTGAGGAACCTACCTGCCAAGAGCTAAAGTGGCCTTGCAGGTAAGAGAGGCTTCACTGTTTCCAATGCTTCCGTCTATTATCTAATCTCATCTTTCCTAGCAGTGAGTGGGCAGGCTGCGCTGCTGTTTTACAAATAAGAACATGGAAGAGGCCTGACTAGCACGTGGCCTCAAGACTTGGGAGGGGTTTGATGGTTCCACAGAGTGGACATGTGTCAAAGCATCACAATGTACCCCACAAACACCACAAAACCCTGAAAACCAAACGCAGTTAGCGTTTGTCACTTAAAAATTCAATTCAGTTTTAGGCTGGGCACAGTGGTTCACTCCTGGAATCCCAGCACTTTGGGAGGCTGAGGCGGGCGGATCACCTGAGGTCAGGAGTTCAAGACCAGCCTGGCCAACATAGTGAAACCGCATCTCTACTAAAAATACAAAAATTAACTGGGCATGGTGGTGGGTGCCTGGAATCCCAGCTACTTGGGAGGCTGAGGCAGAATCGCTTGAACCTGTGAGGCAGAGGTTGCAGTGAGCTGAGATCGCACCATTGCATTCCAGCCTGGGCAAAAGAGCGGAACTCTGTCTCAAAAAAATTAATTAATTAAAATTAAAATTCACTTCAATTTTAAAAAACTCAGACTTTAACTGCAGACTCAGTTAAAAAACTGGGACTGCAGCCGGTTCTAGGGGAGAGTGAAGGCCACTCCAGCACGGGTCTGGAGAGAGGTACTCCCCAAGGCCAGGAGAAATGACCTCATCCAATCCCCTCCTCCCAGCCCAGATGTAGACAGGGCACCCATGAGCTGTGGGAAGAGCATCCCCCAGGGTAGATAGCGTCTCTGCTCCCAGCCTCAGCCCTGTGGTGGCTTCACACCAGCCTGAGTGCCAAGGCCCCCCACACACCGCACACAGGGTGGAAATTTTCTGTTTGTTCTAAAGTCCTCCTTGGACGCAGGAGGCAGAGCTCTGACATCATGGCCTTCAAAAAAGCCCAACCTGTGCTCACAGCCCATGTTTTCATTTCAAACTCTAGTGATTCAAATAAGTAAATAAAATAAAACAAGTAATCAATAAGTAAATAAAATAAGTAATCAATAAGTAAATAAAATAAGTAAATCAATAAGTAAATAAAGTAAAACAAGCCCTTGAGTCCTAAGGCTGACATATGTTCTTTCAGTTCATAAATTGGTTTTGCTTAATCCACATTCCTATTATGACTTATTCCTTGTTATGATTTGGCCAAGATGGCAGCTTTCAGGGACCCATTTCCACCACCGGTGTCTTCCAGAAGGCCACAGCCACTGTGGCAGGTGCCGAACTCACCTGGAATCCAGGAATATCAGCTTCAGGTCAAGGCTGGCCCTGAACATGAACATGTTACTGTACAGCTTGATCTCGGTGATGGCACTGGGTGGCAGCGACTGGCCCACGGCCACCAGCCCCACAATCTGGTAGCAGGAGTCGTACAGGGACATGTCCAGCATATACTGCCTGATCTTCAAGTAGCCACTGCAGTGGATGACCTGGGAGTGGAGAGGGCAGGGTCAGCCACTGGCCACTGGGGTTGGGCTGGAGCCCACTCCTCCTGGCTCATTTTCTCAAACATGCTAGAATATCTCCCAGCCCAGCCTCTACTCCACTGTGCGGCCCAATGTGCTGACAGGCACCGGTTCATTGCTTAGGAGAAGTGGAGAGCTGTGCTTCTTAGGAAACAACATAACAGCTGGAAGCAGTGGCTCAGTCTTGCCATCTCAGCACTTTGGGAGGCCGAGGTCGGGGGATTGCTTGAGTCCAGGAGTTCGAGACCAGCCTTGGTGACATGGCGAAACCCCTTCTCTACAAAAAATACAAAAATTATCCGGGCATGGTGGTGCATGCCTATAGTCTCCAGCTACTTGGGAGGCTGAGGTGGGAGGATCACTTGAGCCCTGGAGGCGGGGGTTGCAGTGAGCCGAGATTGTGCCACTGCACTCCAGCCAGGGTAACAAAACAAACTCACAAGACAACAAAAAATATCATAATAAAATATAAGGGTTGTCTTATCCAATTGACTGTACTGTAAGTAACTACAAATTAGGGCCCTGTCATATATGATGGAGATATACATATGAGCTCACTGCCAAGCTGTGAGTAGGTAACACAATAAAGGCATCTGGGGGAGGCCAACCATTTGTTCCACAGTGCTTGCATCACTGACGATGCTGCTTACCACCTTCCAATGGGATTGAACTTGGCATCTGTATCACTCGACACGCTGTACCAGTAAATAAACAATTCTTTCCGTAGATTTTTTTTTAGACAAGGTCTCACTGTCATTCAGGCTGGAGTGCAGTAGTGCAATCAGGCTCACTGCAGCCTTGACCTCCCAGGCTCAAGTGATCCTCCCACCTTAGCCTCCTGAGTAGCTGGGACCACAGGCATGTGCCACCGTGCCTGGCTAATTTTTTAAAAAATTTTTTGTAGAGACAAGGTCTCATTATGTTGCCCAGACTGGTCTCGAACCCCTGGGCTCAAGCAATCCTCCCACATTAGCCTTCCAAAGTACTGGAATTACAGGCATGAATCACTGTGCCCTGCCCCAGTACAATTTTTTGAAGTCTTCATTTTTAATGTATTTTTATTTCCTTTATTTATAATTCAAGATTTTATTTCCTCATAATAATAAGCCAGAGTGGCCCTACAGAAGCCCTTCCAATTGCTATAGCCAAAAGCCATACAGACAAGAATGCAGTGTTTCGGTGTCAAACAGAAACATCTGTACAGCCTCGAGCGTCACTACTGGAAGCATTTATTCAAGCTGCAGTCTGTGAAATCTTGACAGGGTCAATATCATCATGACAACAGTGAAGAATCTTAGCCTTAAGTTCTCTGTTCCAAAACTCTTTCTCCAGGATTTCTGAATGCATTCATCATCTTTAGGGCTAAAACAAATCTTAAAATCCTTCCAGTCTATTCTCCCATTTTACTAATGAGGAAACCAAGAACAAGATGGTGTTGTGTATTGCTTAAGATTGGACAGCGGACAGTTAATAAGTGGCAAAAAAAAGTCAAGACCCAAGTCCCATCCAGGCGCGGTGGCTCCTGTCTGTAATCCTGACACTTTGGGAGGCCAAGGCAGGAGGATTGACTGAGGCTAGGGACTCAAGACCAGCCTGGAAACACAGCAAGACCCCATCTCCACAAAAAATTTTAAAAATTAGCTGGGTGTGGTGGCGTGCGCCTGTGGCCCCAGCTACACAGATGGCTGAGGTGGGAGGATCATTTGAGCCCAGGAGTTTGAGGCTCCAGTGAGCTGTGATTGCACCACTGGACTCCAGCCTGGGTGACAGAGCAAGACCCTGTCCCTTAACAAAAAGACCCAAGTGCCCTGAAGAATGTCTGTTGGCTCCTGGGGCCCCACCGTGGCCCAAAGAGGCTTAGTATCTGGGACAAAAAGGAAGAAACATGTCCCCCGAACTGTAACAGCACAGTGAGATATAGGTCAAAGGAGGAGCTCAGAGTGGGGTCAAAGAGGGGAGCTGGGGCGGGGCCTTCCAGAAAGAGAGGACAAAGGCACAAAAGTGCCCTTTCCTCTCACCCCATCCTCCTCCCTTCTTTTCTAAGAGACAAATCCTCCTGGAAGAAAGTTTCTGGCAGCTTTCAGCCTCATATTGATGGGTTATGATGTCTGTCCTCTGAGGTTGGAGAGATGGCAGTGAAGATGCCTGGGAGGAGGGTAAGGAGCCCAGAGAGGGGACAAAAGTGTTGGCGGGGGGCACTCAGCACAGACTTCCCCCGACCCACTTTTCCCTGGGGGGCGGCTGACTCTCGTGCCCTGAGACATGACCTACTCCTCCATTCTGGAATTAACAAGAACAAGCGGTGGTGTCTGGCAGAGACGTGGAGCCAGGGAGGAGCATGGGCTGGGCTCAGAGTCCCAGCTCCGCCACCAAGCCCCTTCTGCCGTCCCTCCTCTGGTCCTTGACTAGAAAACTGGGCCAGTGCTGCTCATTCCAATGGGCAGCTGAGATGCTTGAGGGAGTGGCCCAGGTGTGGTGCCGCAGATGAAAGCTCTGCCTTGGACCTTGGAAAGGGCGCTAGCATTATTGTGGTGCACACCGTCATCGGCGGCAGGGAACTTGGTGGAGCATCCCAAGGGGAAGGGCAGTGTCCGTGCTCTGGATACCACTGCCAGCTGCACTGTGCCCAGGAGGATGGGCCTCTATAAACTCCAGAGGCGGTGGCTCCACTGGGACTGGTCCACATGGAAAGTGCCAAGGTATTAATAAAATCTGCCCTAAGCCACACTGATTCCGGGTCTTATGCGATGAATTCCAGCCAGCTGGAACATCCTCCTAAAACACCAGCTCTCACATGAGCCTCCAAGAGACTGTGCACCACGTTGCTGGAGAGCTCTACATTAGTGGGGATGACGAGTTTGTGCTCCCGTGCCTTCCTTTCTGCAGACGCTCTTGAAAACACACATTGAAGACCCTTAGCCAGCTCCTCCCCGCACCCATGACTCCCCGTACCTTGTATCCGCTGCAGGTCAGGCCCGCGTTCCTTTTCGCCAAGACACATTTCATTCGAAGAAAGAACGACCTCTCTATCTCATACTCTGCAAGCAGGAGCAAGATGAGGTTGGCAGCTGTCCCTCCGTGCTTCCCCCATCCTTATTCCAACCGCACCAATGTGTTCCCAGGGCCAGATGCAGCACCCAGAGGCCTTCTCAGTGTGCCCAGACCCTGCTCAGAGATCTTCGGCCTTGGCTGAGATCTGGGTGGGGCAGTGGAGACACCAGCCCAGTCCTGGTGTGGCTTCCTTGGCTCTAAAGGAAGGCAGCCAAACGAGGCCACCCCTGAGGCCCCTGATGGGCCCTGCAGAGCTCCACCTGCCGTCGCCCGCTCCTGGGGGCCGTGGGCTCCAGGAAGGCCCAGAAGCCTCTGACCTCCCTCAGGGTAGCAGGACTTGAGTGTGTGTGACCCAAGGCTTGGCAGATCCATGCTTTCACCCTCATTTCTAGCCCCAGAAGGACCACCCCGTCTCTGTCTCTCCAGGGCTCTGCCCTTCCCACTCACTCACTTTGCTTTTGCAGGCCTCCCACGCAAATCTCTGACCTCACTATTGTCAATGCAAATGTGTCCCCTAAGGAAACACCCTCTGTTTCAGGAAGGGACACCAGCACTCTAAGACACAAATAGAGAAGGACCTCTAAGGGAGGGCGAGGTCACTCCACTCTAAATAAACAGCCCTTTGGTGGAGGTTAATACATGAATTTTTAAAGGAAGGTTACCACTAGGAATGGAAGCAAAGTCTTCCACCCTCCCTGAGGTCACTGCCCTGTGGAAGCTCAGGAATCACCTCAGAGGGCACCCCCTGCCCCAGTTGGAGAGGCTGCCATATTTTACCCACAATTCCCCCTGCAGATGGTGTCTTTGGGCAAAAAGCTTCCCTCTAACATGGCTGCCTGCCCCAGCCATTTCCAGACAAGCACGGTGGGTGGAAGCTCAGGTCTAAAAATACATCAACTGGTCATCA
Source organism: Homo sapiens (assembly GCF_000001405.40). Taxonomy (NCBI): domain Eukaryota; kingdom Metazoa; phylum Chordata; class Mammalia; order Primates; family Hominidae; genus Homo; species Homo sapiens. Next base: position 36,722,124 of record NC_000021.9, on the reverse strand, counting down.
ATTACCAAGTTCTGGGGAGAGCCCATTTCTCACAGGTTTATCATAAAACAACGGGGGTCATTTCAGACACGGAAAGTCAGCAAGGGAGCAGCTGGGGAGAAAATGGAGCAGCTGGGGAGAAAATCGAGCACTTGGGAATCTCAACCCCTGCACCCCTCGGCCGGCTGTGGAAATGAGTCAGGTGCGGCCTCAATGCTTCCAGCCCTTGTTGCTTCAGACTCAAAGGCTACAGAAACAGGGCATGAAAGGGTCTCATGATATTCCCAAGACTCATTTGCTCTCATTTATAATCCCTCTTTGGGAGGTTATGACCCAGGCAGGGTAAAATGAAACCGGGGGTAGGGGGAGAAAGCCCAGTCCCATACAGTTAACATACTGTGCAATTTTCAGGCCAGGCACGGTGGCTCACGCCTGTAATCCCAGCACTTTGGGAGGCTGAGGTGGGCAGATCGCCTGAGGTTCGAGACCAGTCTGACCAGCATGGCAAAACCCTGTCTCTAATAAAAATACAAAAAAATTAGCCAGGCGTGGTGGCAGGCACCTGTAATCCCAGCTACTTGGGAGGGCTGAGGCAGGAGAATCGCTTGAACCCAGGTGGTGGAGGTTGCAGTGAGCCGAGATCACACCACTGCACTCCTTGCCTGGGTAACAAGAATGAAACTCCAACTCCAAAAAACAAAACAAAACAAAAAACCGTACTGTGCAATTTTCAAAAACAGTAACAGCACTATGTTCTGCAATTCTCTGACACCTGTTGTCTTTGTCCAGCTTTAAACAACCCCACAGTGAAAGAATTCGATTCAGGTGCGATGTTCTAGCCTAGCCCTCATTTTTTAGAAATTACCTCTTCAGAGCCATGATTCATGTTGATGTCTGCAGACATATCATATCCAAGAATCAGACCTTAGCTACAACTAGGTGCCCCATCTCATTTCAGAAACCAACATGCCAGGCTCTCTCCTTGGTAAGGAATAATTAGACTCCAGTGACTATTTCTGGAGCTGGAACTTGCGGGCCACAGAACTGTCTGCAAGGGATTTTACAACTGTGTGTGCTATTTTGTATTCTCTCTTCCCAGCCCGAGAATGACCTCTCCCCACCAACCCCCAGAAGACAGCAATAAGAATGCAACTCATGTTTTTCCTGCAGCCAGCTACCCCATTCTCATCACCCTTAAAGCCTCTTCTTTTGCATTTTGTTCCACTGGGGTATTCTGGCCAAGCTGGGTGCCATAGTCCAAAGCACACATAAGACCCATTTGTCAAGAGGCCTGTTGGCCTCACTGGATGGTTGGAGGGAGTTAAAAGGCCAGGGCCCCTGGAATAAGTCCTTCTGTATCTTCCTAGCACTCATCACAATTGAAATTTAAGGAGTCATTTGTGTAATGACCAGGGCTTCTTAATGATTTGTGCCACAGCACAAAACCTACAGATCCCTACTTGGAGTAACATTTTTAAATACATAAAATAAAATATATAAGATTACCAAAAAAGCAACTGTATTGGAAAATAATTATCAAAATATTTCAACACAGTGATACGGATATAAATGTGCTGCTTTATTAATACATAAATAAGAAGATTCAGTAGCAGGTCTTAGAACTCCTGAAATTTTGAAGTAGGCATGTGGGCATAAGCGATATGTTTAAACCTGCAAAACTTTCCTATGATATGGAAAACATCTGTGATTTCTATTGTTGGCAAAGCCACAGGTACTAGGGACCCCAAGATGGTTTATCATCTATCATCAGAAGCAAAGGAAATGCCAAATTTCAACTGGAGGAAACACATATGTAATTTTCCCCATGAAATGTCATGGACCACCCCCGACCCCCGAGTTTTAGGCACGGCATCTTGGTTAAGGAGAAGCTTGGTCTAGACCCGTGATGCTGTAATCCCTGGAATTCTGACCCAAGAGCACGAGGGGAGCAGGCTTGCACCACTTTTGTCCTCTACCTAGCACTCAACACGGGTTCTGGCCAACAATAGGAGCTTGATGAATATTGGCTTAAAAGACACAGGTATCAATGCAAATCCCCACGTGGTGGGTGCTGTGTGTGTATTGGAGAGACCTGGGCTGGGCAGTCCTAGTCATGCCCAGCCACTTGGCAGATGTGGGAAGCAAAGCCCTGAGTTCCATTTAAGAATGTCGCCTTGCTTTTAGTCTGTTTTTTTTTTTCCCTCTGGATGGAATACCTTGGAGCAGGTGGTGGTGCAGCGGCTGGTGGGCCGTGAGGACAGCGGTCATCTCATCGTGGTCAGAAGGATGGATGTATTCATAAATACTGTTGCCCGTGAGCTCCACCTGCCGTGGAAGGGAAGGGTCAGAAATGCCACCGCCTCTCTGGGATTGGCGCAGGGGGAGGGGCAAGGTGTGTCACAGGTGCTCACCCTGCCAGGAACAGAACTTTGATCTCTGCTGACAACCCACACCTTTGCCAAACGCAGAAACAGTTTTCTTTTCTCAACAGAGCTCAGAGCTCTGAACTGTCTCCCACACTGTCTAAAAAGGCCATGGCACTGAGGCTTGAGCTTGCAGCCAAGAGAACCCTTAGCAGGAAGGACCAGAAAGCAAAGGGTGGAAAAGGTGGGCACCAGAGGTGGGCGGCGCTGCTGGCCTGGGCAGCATCCTTCATACAGAAGAGGGCTTGAAACAGACCCAGGCCAGGGTCTCTGTCCTTCCCTTGCTGGCGATCTGAGGGGACTGGGTGGCCAGAAGGCCAGCTGTCCTGTCCACATAGTGCTCCCTGTGGAAGTGTTGTCCACTCCGAGGCCGACCAGCCGTCCACGGCAGGGGCGCCACTGCGCCCGAGGAGGACATGAACTCAGACAAAGGCCCTTTCTTCGTCGACTCTGAGCTGTGCCCCTCAGGCGCTGCCAGGCCTCTCTCACATTACCAGCAATGAGTCTCTGGCCCTCCCAGTCCGAGATGACTGTGCTAATTCTGTGGCTCCCGCCCAGGGGTGTGGCTGGGGCTGTGCGTGCCCTGCGGGAGGGTCTGGGCCTGCTCCAGAGAGCCACGTTATATGGGGATTATGTCCTGGGGTTGCTGCCTCAACAGTCCGACGCTACCTATTTCCAGACACAGCCCACAGAGGACAGCACATCCATGTCACTTTGCAGGAATGGATGGCCCCAGGAAAATACCCATCATAGTTACAATTTTTACACAGAGGTCCCTGGAGGCCCAAATTCCCGAACTTGAGAATCTTTCGAATGTTCTCTCAAACATAAGCACCAGGAGAGGATATGATAGAGTCTCAACACCTGGGCCCCCACCCACCTTAAGATGGACAGTGGCACAGAATGTTCTAGAAATGACTAGCAGAGCAGCCTTCTGAGCAGTGGTGGGTGGATCCTATTTTTAGAGCTATAATCAATAGTGCTGAGGGTGGCAGACAAGGACAGTGAGTCGGTGAACCCCAGCATTGTTCAGGGGAGGCCCAGGGGCAGTGGTAGGACTTCCTCCACCACCAAGGGGAGTCCCAGTGCCCAGCCTGAGAAGAAACTCAAAGCATGTGGGAAACCGTCCTTGGGTGGCGAAGGATCTTGGGTAGGTCTGGAGAATTCCTTCTTGACCCTGCCGGAAGGAGAGAGGGTAACTCAAGATAACAAAAGGAGGCTCATGGTGTGTCTTGTCCCGAGCCACCCCCTTGTTATTTTTAGGTGTGTCTTGCTGCAGGTGTCGCTGGGAGCCTGTGGCTCTCCATCAGAGGAGAGACAACATGATTATCTGCAAAGTGGCCATCCTGACGGTGCCACCTCACGCAACAGGACAACCCAGCCAGCTGCTTAATGGAGAAGTTCTGGGAGTTGCAGTTCCAGATTAGCATCTAGGCCATCAGCTTTTACTTGGGACCAAGGGGTCGTGGAGGGGTGAAGTGATTTATCGCACTCCTCTGAGCCAGTTCTTCCAATTTGTTAAGAAGAGCGAGTTGCTTTCTTATTCAGAATAAGTTACACTTCTGGCCTGCTAAGTCATCTTGTCCCTAAAACGGCTCTCACAGTTCTATGTTTTACATTATTCATGGAATGTTTCCTTCCAATATTATGCAAACAGAGCAACAGAGAGAATCCTATTAGAGGAATCCTCCCTACCCTCTACTTAACACCCACTTCCCAAGCCTGGCACTTTCTCAACAGATCTCCCAGACGGACATTCGCCTCCCTGAAAAGTTTATTACAGGATTTCATTTAAGAAAAATAATAAAACTAAATATTCTTCTTTCGAGTCATTCCTGTTAATCCTTAAAAAGTTTAAATAAACTGGCAACAGGTAAGCCAGCCATTTGGGACAGGACCATTTCCTTTTTTCCTCAGGGTGGCAATGACTATGCCCTGGGAAGGCCTGTCCAGGTGCGGAGTGGCAGAAGCTAAAAACTAAGAGAGTTGGCTTAAGAAAATATATATTGACACTTTGGTAGGCCGAGGCAGGCGGATCACCTGAGGTCAGGAGTTCAAGACCAGCCTGGCCAACGTGGTGAAATCATGTCATACTAAAAATACAAAAATTAGCCGGGCGTGGTGGCATGCGGCTGTGATCCCAGCTACAAGGGAAGCCGAGGCAGGAGAATCGTCTGAACCCGGGAGGCGCAGTTTGCAGTAAGCCGACATCGCACCACTGCACTCCAGCCTGGGCGACAGAGCAAGACTCTGTCTCAAAAAAAAAAAAAAAGAAAAGAAAGAAAGAAAAGAAAATATATAGTGACTCACAATTTCAACAGTTTATTTTAAAAATGAAAAAATAACAAAATAGAGAAATGTTATATTGGCCTATCGTTTCTCCCTTCCCCATGTTTTCAGGGAAAAAGAATAATTCTGGTTTGCTCGAAGTTCTTTTCTGGAAAAAAGTAACTGATGTGTTTTCGGGAAACAACTTTACCTCCTTGCAGAAAGACCTTCCATCTGTGCTTATTAAGGGTTAGATTTGCGTTTTAATCCCAGAGTAGGTTCTTATGTTTTCAGAGTTCCCGTTCTCAACACATGCTTTTGAAGAATGAGAAGGGTGAGGTTGCACAGATGAAAGGCTTGGTTTTCTGAAGGCTCGAGTCTGTGACAAAACGAACGGGAAAACTCCAGAGCTGTCTAGGAAGTGAAACAGCCTTCAAATAACGGAAATGTCTTTACAGAACAAATTTTGGAATGATAAAACAGTCCTGACCTTAAGTCAAAATTATGGTTGACATGGTGTTTCCTGTATTTACGTATCTATCCACGCTTTTGAACACTGAGAGAAATGTGACTACCTCACAAAAAAAAAAAAAATTATGGTTGTCGCTATAAAACTCCCTGGGTCTCATGCATCAGCCTTATTAAAACAGACCTTCCATGTGATATTTTAGTATTTGCAAAACCCTGCTAACTACAAAATGGATAGCTTTCCTACTAAGAGCTTTTTTATGTTTTGCTGAATAGCTTTTCTTCTTGCCAAGAAACCTACACATGATAAATACAGCACTAAATGCATATATTCTGTGTGGAAGGGGAGAGTTGTTTGGCACTCTGAAAATGCACGTTACTCTGGGGTGTTTTGCTGAGTATGGTAAATTAAGGATTTTAAAACAAGATGGTTTGGGTTTCAGGGTTCAAGTTATGTCAACAAACATAATTATGTTGTCTTTTGTCTTTATTTCAAAAGTGAAAGGATTAGGTCTTGTACCTCCAAACAACATCATCGATATGTTTATGGTTGTTTCTGGCCACAATCTCAAATAAGACATTCTTTTATGTGTCTCATAAATAGCTATTTCTTACATACGTATATTTATTTGAACATGTATACTAGTTACCTAGATGCTATATAACTGTGTGAAATGTTGGTGAGGAAACTTAACCCAAGGATACTTAAAAATGTATACAGCAGCTACATTTTTACACGGGGATTTTTCTTCCTCCTCCCTAAATAAAAGTAAAATAATTGCATTAACCAAAACAGCACATGGAACTAAATCATTTAGTAAACACGCATGGAAAAACATTGCTGCCCCAACTCTACCTCATCCACGTAGATAGAAACTTGTCTAGATGCTTTGTGTGTGGACACGTGTGCGAGTGTGCCCACCAACGGGAGTTTTCAGGCTGAAAGCCTGCCTCTCTACTGCCTAACACTTGGACCCTGGGCTGAGGAGACAACTGGCATTTTATGGTTGTCTCTGTCATTGTTTTAGTACCAAAGTTTGGCAGCAACAATCACTTGTTTACTAGTGTAAACAAAAAAAAAACTAAAATTTTAGCTCTGCCATACGAAGCAGATTTATTTCAACACTTGTTCAAATAAGGCTTAATAAAAGACTTGGAATGGGGATGGGCTTATAACCCATAAAGAATCATTTCCATACCCTCAAATAAAGAATTTGGATAGTCATTTAGTAGAGGTTAGACCAAAAACAAAACAAAACAAAAAATCACTTTGTAGTGAATTTCCACACAATTATAGCAGATCTAGGGGCTTACATTCTCTATGATCTTTTAACATAAAGTTTAACACTGAATCAACATGAAAGACATCTTTACTTAATAAGATAATGTCATTGAAGGTAATTGAAAGTTTTTGGAACACAAAAGAGCAGCATGTATCAGCTATTACTACTATCGTTATTCATCAGAAATTCTTTTTAAAAGGTTACTCTGACTACTGGGTAAAATTTTATTAACACTTTTATCTCTCATGACTTAAAAAAAATGTTTAAGCCCATTTTAATAAAGGTCTCATGCTTGATACATTTGCCTGACTTTTAAAAAATAATCTAAAAGGTGCAAAAATGTTTAAAAGACCAGTTGGGTATTTGACATCCTATTCAATACTTTATTTTACTATTTAAGTAAAGAAGACAGAAAAAAATACACATTGTGATTCTGCCTAGATTTCCTTCTATGGAGTTAATCATGAACAGGGGGAAGATTTGAGAGAAAAGTTGTTGCTTATTTAAACAGTTCACCGTGGAACGCTCCCTAGACACCGACAAAGAGGGCACTTGGCACTAAAGTGTTTTTGTAGCTGTGAACTGATGCTAACACAGCCCCGCAGAGAAATCAGAAAAAATCAGTTGCTCTATGCAAATGATCAGTTTGACTTATCTTTTTAGAAACTATCACTTCTACTGGAGAGAAAGAGACAATGTATGTATCTCTACAACTTTCTTAGAAAATGGTAGTGCCTAACCCCTCTCCTCTCTCAAAATTATGATGCAAAGTTTTCCTGCTGCATTATGATCATGAGGAAATAGAGTACTTCAACTTGTGAGGCTGCCTGGATTTCCTTCCGTGGAGCCGATCACGAACCGGAGGCAGATTTGTCACCTATCCAATATTTTGGTCCTTCTTAATTATTGTGTTTATAATCAATCAATTCTATTTTCCACATAAAAAGAGAAAAATAACACAGAGAGGCTAACTTGGACGGCCTGACTGAATGCACCGGATCTCTTGGGATGTGCACAGTACCTCCTGATGGGCCAGGACATTCCAAATGACCAAGCAGCCCTAATAGGAGCCCCCAAAGGACTCTACTGAAAGCAAGTTTGCTCAAATGAAACTGTGGGTATGCCTGGATTTTGTGTTGCCCCCTGTAGTTTGTAAATCACATGAAATAGGCATTTTGATCCCTTTCTCACCACGATCCTTAAAGACAGATAGAGCAGGCATGATTTTACTATTTAAGTTACATGGTTCAAGTAGGTTAAAGAACCTGCCCTATCAGACAATAAAAACTCTATAACTGAATACATTTCCCTTTTTGCTTTGACTGCTAGGGAGCTCAGATCTAAATTTAATATTTGATAACAGTGACTTTACCTATTTTAAAAGATTTTTGATCAGTCATCTTTAAAAGTGTGTGAAATGTTTTGTTGTGTTTGTGACATTACTGTAAGACTATGAAAGGTTTTCTAAATGACTAAAAAAGGTAAGTAATTGGGCCAAGTCAGAAGTAGAAACTAGTCTGGGTACAACTTAAGGGCCCTGCATGATTCTAAATAGGGCAAGATAAAAATTCAGAGAATAATAATAGTAGGTTGGTGCAAAGGTAATTGCGGTCATTGCCATTAAAAGTAATGGAAAGACCGCATTTACTTTTGCATCAACCTAATAATTATGGAAAATAGTAAATTTCCTGTTCCCAACAGTAGTTCCCATTCTACAAGTACACTAATCCCACGAGTCACATAGGCACAAGTGCCAAGCCTTAGTAAACTGTATTTGGGAGACTTGGTTTGATAAAAGCAGAGAAGAGGAAGAGAAAAACTTCCATATCATTTTAATATGTAATTCATTTTAAAGGGTTTTGCCTGAGAAACACAGAGTTACATAAACCCATGTGGATCTGGATAAGGATATCCATACATCAGAAGAGAAGGATGTAAATAAATAGCAAGCTTATAAAAAAAAGTATTGGCAGAAAAATAAAAGGAATACACCAGATGCAGTTTGCCAAATGTGGTCATTTTGTTTTTCAATGAGCAAACTGAAGCCACATTAATCGGCATGTTTTATTTTGGCTTAACTACATTAGGAGGCAGGTGTAATTCAAATTCAATATGGGCCTCTCTGGAACCCATCCTCTGTATCTATCATTAATTCTAGTGTGTCTTCAGTCACGGTGAAAAATCACTCTGATAGTACACAATGTGAAGAAATATTTAGTCCCTATATGTAGTTTAAAATGTGACTTTTAAAATCATGATCCACATTTGTTAAGTCAGGCATGTGAATGAGAATGATCAGTTACACTATCCCCTTTCAGACATTCAATGGGCCCAGGGAGCCCCCAAATCCCCCATCAAACCCTTGGCTTGCCAGGGAGAGACAAAGCTGAGTCCCCCTCTTTCCTCTAAGGAAACGGTGGACTTTTTTAAGAAGATGATTCCATCTTTCCAGAAAAATTGGTAATATTCAGATGTTCTAAAGAAACCTTGCTGTTCAAAACAGTAGTAAACTGAGTTTTATGAGTTTCTATCACAAGCATATAAAATGCTTTGCTGAAACGACCACTGAACTGGAAAAAGTCAGGAAAAATGACCCCGAATTCCATGCGAACACTCATAAATCTACCCCTCCCCATTCTCTCTCCCCAAAGAACATTCTGCATAAAATCCATGTTCCACATCAGCTTACCTCTTGCTTTATAGCAACTCATAATACCGTAACGTGCAGACCAGCAAGTGTGGACTGAAACATGTCCCTTTGTGGAGCTCTTTTCAGGGCATCTAGCATTACTACATAAGCAGATAGTCCGGGTTTTGGCAGAATCTCGGAACAAGGCTGACGGGGTGAAGACACACTGGTCATGAAACCCCAAGGGAAAAAGAAAGTAAAAAAGTAAAACGTAATATGGAGAAGAAAACCCCTGCAGGATGTCCTGAGAAGAGGATTTTGCAATTTAGGGTTATGTTCTTACACAAAAGCAAACACTTAAACAGACTCATTTTCAAGTTGGGTGAGGCTGTCAAAATCTGCTGTCACTTCGTTTAATATTTTGGTTGCACATAAAATTAGGCAATACCCACCTGGGATAAGCCTAAATGGACAGAAGCGGTCTCGGATATATACATGATTTTGCCATCAGATGCTACCACAAAAACAAATCCATCCAAAGTCTGTAAAAGATAAAGTGTCAGAATAAGAGATGATCATTCTACATTAGAGTTAAATCTAACAATGGTACAGTCACTGGGATGGAGGGATGCATCAAATATGACCATCAACACATACTTGCTAAATGCAAAAATGAAGCCCAGGGTCTTAAAAAGGACTGTAGGAAACAGCACCCAGGGTTTAGTTCCCAGGCCAGGCTCTGAAATGCTTTTAAAGCACTTTAGAAACAATCATACATCCACATCACAAAAATCATGCAAAACATTTGAGAATTCCTATCAAGCTCAGGTTAAACGTAGTAGCTTTATTGTTTGGGGTTATTTTAGCACTTAGTACAAATCCGGAGTTCTATGGTACTTAGGGGAAAATCTACCACTATATAGACCATTTTATGTCATAATTGGCAGTCATTTATACCACTAGGACATATGCTTTATTTGCCACAATTTTCTAGTTACCTCTAAGTACCGTTGGAATAATAAATTCCGAACACTACCACTGCCCAGAAAATAAAACAAAATACCTGGTTATTTTACCAGACTATGTCTACAGAATTAATTATTTAGAATTTGCAAGAGATCAAATAACCTTTGCAAAATTCAAGGAGGAAAAGTATCAACTTCTGAAAAATGAAAACTACCCAAATGAAATTCTGATTTTTCCTAAGTTGGCTAACCCTCAAAAATAAAGTAAAACTATAAGAGGTAATTAAGACAAATAAAAAGGTAATGATTATATTTATGTGTCAAGGATAAAAAGACTAAATTATTTTTGAAAAAGGAAACTGTATTTTATTTACTCATTCATATTTTAGATCCAGAACCAAAGAAAAGCAATAAAGTTGGTGAAAGACTCATACAACCCACAATGTTGCCCCCATAAAAAATATTCCAAATTAATTTCTGGCCACAAATTCTATTTTTACAGCATGTAATTGAAACCAGATTACCTTTGGTTTTTCTAAGCCACCCCCTCCACCCCTAGAGAGGGGGCTAAAAAGAATGTAGTATAAGTGAATCTTGAAAGATATCCTTGGATTCTGCTGTCTCAAATACAGTTTGCTGCAAAAAGTCTTTGCCAACTAAACTATCATTACCTTCCCCGATGCTAAGGTTGAAAATCAGCATCTTGATTATAAGCCTAACTTTCAAGTTTCTAACTCAGCTGCAAAATATTTTCCCAACTAAACCTGTGGTGTTCCAAAAATATATACTATACAGCAATTTCTAAAGTTATAAATGTCTTGGCGCATTTGGCATGCTTGCTTAATTCCAAAATCATTAAAGAGACACATTTAGTGAAAAAGTATCTCACAACCAGCCATATCTGGGATAATGAGGAAAAGAGGAAAATTATCATAATTAAATTCTAAAAGTTGCCAGCAGTAGCTAAAAAAATAATATTCTTAATGGAAAATGTTGGGTATGACTTCGTAGCTTCAAATGGCCTAATTCACTTACGTGTATAATAACTGCAAAGACGCCCGTCCACACACCACTCCGGAATTAATTAAAGAAATGTAGCACAGAGAAGTCTGGGGGTGTTGACTTTACCAGCCAGGTTTTCATTGAAGTTCCCCAGCACTTAGTTGTCCCTGATATTAGTGTCACTTATAATATGTAGGAGTATGAAACTTGCAACACACCCAGCTCGGAGCTGGAAGTGGAGGAGGGCGAGCAGAGGCCGCCTGGGCAGGGCTCCCAGAGCGCCATTACTCGCCGCGGCCACACCATGCGCTTTATGTTGTAAAAGCTCGGGGTTTCGAATATTCCCCGGGTCTTCTCTTCCGCAGGCATGCATTTTAAAAAATAAACCACACCAGGGCACTTGGGGCAAGAGAGTTGTGAAAAGATCTGCTTTTTGGAAATGCAGAGCTAGCGGCTGACTCGCTGACCTAAGTCATGGCGTCCTGCAGCCAACATTTTTTTTATTATTATTTTAAAGTAAAACACAAAATAGAGGGCGGAAATGCAGAGCAGCTCTCGGTAGGCATTTTTCGATGGCAGAGACAAATGACAGGAGGGGGGAATGAATCGGGTCGTTGATGAGGCTCTGTAAAGGGCATTTGAAAGATCGGGATGTGTCCCCAGCCAGCGCCAACAGCCCACCTGGAAGTGGCGAGCTGTGCTCAGGGCTACCCGGCCGACCCGCAAAGCCCCTCTGCTGCCAGGGAAAAGCCGAGGTCAGGGGCGCGTGCAGCTCCTGCAGGGTGAATGGCCCCGGGCTCGGGGCGCTAAGCACCTGGCTCCAAACCAAGCAAGAGCCCGGAGGCCTCACCAAGTTCTGGTTATCCGGGTGGGCTCTAGAGCTAGGCCAGTGGGCTAACTCCGCTCCACCCCTTGCTGTGTGACCTTAGACATGTTATTTAACCTCTCTGTGCCTCAATTTCCTCCTCTAAAAAATGGAGTTAAAAACAGAATCAAGGCAGGACGCGTTGGCTCACGCCTGTAATCCCAACACTTTGGAAGGCTGAGGTGGGCGGATCATCGGAGGTCAGGAGATCGAGACCAGCCTGGGTGAAACCCTGTCTCTACAAAAATTAGCCAGGCATGATGGCGGGTGCCTGCAATCCTGGCTACTCGGGAGGCTGAAGCGGGAGAATCGCTTGAACCCGGGAGGCGGAGGTTGGAGTGAGCCGAGATCGCGCCATTGCACTCTAGCCTGGGCCACAGAGTGAGACTCCGTCTCAAAAACAAACAAACAAACAAAAAACAAAACAAAACAAATTGAAAAACCAGAATCCACTCTAGATGGGAGGGGGAAGTCAATAAGGTCCGGAACTGAATGTGGCTTGCAGTAAGCTCTGGACAAGTGCTCCTGTTAATATTGTATTATTGATGCTGTCTCTCCGTCCTTGCGCCCCTTGCACACACACAGCGGCCGAATGCTTCAGAGCTCAGAGCAGCCCAATCATTTCTGCTGCTCCAGCCCTGGCGCCTGGCACAGAGCAAGCGCTGGGTGGAACCTGCTGAGGGAAGTGAGATTGGAAAGCACTTGACCACGCTCGGGAGGCGCCCCTGGCGTAGGTCTCAGGTGGCCTGGGGAGTCCTGGGGCCTTCGGCGGGGTGTGGGGGCAGACGTAGGGTTAGGGTAGGGTTGGCCGCAGGCCGCATCCGACATGCTAAGCGTCCATCCCTCCGCAGTGGGGACCACCCCATCCCCAGCCCCCGGCAGCCTCTGGATCTGCCTGGCGCTCCTGGGGAAGGGACGCCTGGAGGCTGGGGTGGCGGGGTGGGAAGGGAGCCTGCGGCGGCTGCGCTCCTCCCCCGGCGAGGCCGCTCTACCTGCAGCAAGTGCGATCCCAGCTCCTTGGCGACGCCGTCCAGGGGCCCGGCGCGGCTCGGCTGTCCCCACGCGTCTCCTAAACCTGGACGAGGGACGAAAGCAAATCGGTAAACTGCAGCGCCCAGCCCGATGCCTGGGAGCCGGGCAGGTCACGCGGAACCCCTGCACCCTGCCAGCCCTCCCCACGAGTCCCGCGCGTCTCCCCGCCGCCTCCCCGGCTCCGCAGCCGCCATCTGTGCTCTCGCCGTCGCCCCTTTGCCCTCTGTTAAAAAGAAAAGGCTGGGGGAGAAATCCCCGCAGCGGCCGGCAGCCCGGGCGCCTGTGCGAGCCTGCCAGGCCCACAGCTCCCGCGGGTCGCCCACGTGCTCATGGCCCTGAAATTGCCGTTTTATTTGAAATGCCACAAAGTAATCTAATCTGCTTTGAAATCGCCATTCTCGTGGCCAAACGGGGATATCGATTTGACCCGCAAATATTCCCCCAAGGACCCTCCTTCCCTCCCTCCTTTCTTTCCCTGCTTCTCCGGCAACTCCTTGTTTTCCCAAAGGCAGACAGGCTGAGACAGAAAGTCCCCGCCGCCCAGGAGGCAGCTCCTCCCGCATAAAAAACCCCCTACACGCTACCCCTTGGGCTTCCCAGCTCTCACAGGCGCCCCACGAGCGCGGTCCTCCTTCCAATCCGAAACCTTCTCCCTGTGAGGGGTTTACCTGGGGGCTCCCCGAGAGCAGACTCCAATCTGCCGGCGGTGAGAGAGGGATGGGCCACAGGCCGAACTGGAAAGGGTCTCCTGTCACATAATTAGGGATCCCCGGACTCCTCCGCTCAACAGGCCTCCTGCCCTTCTTCACCACCTCCGCAAAAGCTACCAACCAGTGTTGCGCACCAGGGGAAAGAGGGACCTGCCCGTCAGGACTCCCCTCCTGCTGCACCCTCGACCTGACTGCTGCGCCCCGCGAGACCCCAGGCTTCCCCTGCACAGTCCGAGGAAGCAGGAAAGCCGGGCGAGGCTGCGGCGCTTAGCGCGGGCTGGGACAACCCCCGAGCCCTCCCCGGAATCTTTCCGCCGGGAGCCTGGCCGCAGACCCTCCACTAAGCGCCGTGGCTGGTGGCTGCAGCGCCAGATGGCGAGGGTCGGTGCACCGCCTGCACCCCAACCTCCCCGGAGGACAACGCGCCCGGCGTCTCCCGGCCCACGAGCCTAGCTCCCGACCCCTGGCTGCGACCCCTGCGGAGCGAGCTGCGGGCGCTGCTGGCGCGTCCCCCGCCCCAACCCACGCTGGGCCAGGCCCAGCCCCAGCCCCAGCCCCCCACTGCCGTCCTGAGTGCGGTGGTGCCGCGAGCACTGAACCAAAGGCAGGAGCCCCCGGGCAGCGCGGGATACGAGGGACGGGGAACCTGACCAGCCGTGGAGATCCTGGAGATCGTTCCCGGGGCCGCAAAGCCCTTCCAAGCGGGCAGCCACGAGTGGGTTCCCGAGGAGTCGCCGTGCAGTCACCCAGAGCACCCTGGGTCTCTCAGCCTCCCCGGGAACGCCCTGGGCATCGCGGTCTCTGGAGGCCTCGACCTCTGGAAGCGTAAAATGCACCTCGGCCCAGGGCAGCGGCTTCGCAAACCCTTCCCTATTCGGCAACTAAAAACCTAAAAAAAAAAAAGTTAAAAAAAACCACTATTCCTCAATTTAAAAAGGGATGACCTTTAATTTCTCCTCCTGGGCTCAAGGAATTAGGGGCTTATCCTGGCTGAGGAGGTGGCTAATTTCCACATACACGATCCCGGGAATACAATCACAGCTCATTATTCGGGGGCCCCCAGCCTCCACCACGGGGGCAGCGGTGGCTTTTTAATCCCGGGAAATCGCGCTCACCCCGCATCACCACCGTGATCACAGCAGCACTCCCTGTGCTCTCACCAGCGGGTCCTTCCTCCCAGGCCTCGTGGCGGCAGCATTTACAACTGTTAGCAATGGCAAGAACCAAAATGTGAAGGTCCTGGGATTTGGTGAAGTAAGACTTAACTAAGGACCCAGGAATTCTGATTTCCAAAAAGCGACAAAGGCACCCTGGCAGCTGTCCTTTTCTCTGCTGCTGGGTCGTTCCTGGGGTTGGGCAGTTGTCCTGGAGCCACCTTTGCCCTGTGCAGTGTTAACGGTGAGCGTGGCCTCTGGGCCCTGGCTTCTTGCAAAGCCCATGGCGGGAAGACTTGGGGAGAAATCTGCACCTACGGAAATGAAACTCCAGACCAGACTCCGCTGCCCGGGATCTCCTGAAAGCTTCCTCGAAGGCCCTGGCTCTACATGCAAAAGTGCATTGGGCACACAGGACAATTTTCTGTATGATTCAAATACCCGCACAGTTCAAGATAACTTGTTCTCTTTTAGATCATTATAGTTTTTCTGTAATTCCCCAAAGCCTCTGCTTTGCCGGCGGAGATTTGGTGCAAACGTCCCTTTCCCACCTGGTGGAGGTGGTCGGGTGCTAGATGTTCCTCCCAAGCACCCCTGCCTCTAGGCCACCCCACCCGGGGCCGTGGCGCTGCCAGCTGTTCCATCAGAAACCAATGCGGGCGAGGTTTTTTCACTCAGCCCATAAAAATCTACTTTGGTCTAAACGCAGAGACTAAATAAAGATTTGTAACGAAAGAAAATTGTCTTGATACTGTAAAGTGATATACACTCCCACGAAAGTGAGGCACTGAGCACGTGGTCCTCATCTGGACCTAAGGAAGGGCTTTATTTCAGAAATAAGGGGTGAGAAGAGTCTGTGCTAGGCGCCTCGGGGTTAGCGGCTCCCAGCACTCACTGCTCTCTTGGAGCACCAGGGGTCCCCAACCCAGCCTGTGGTTTCCTGCCGGAGGGGTGGGGGTGAGGAAGGTGAGGTTGCGGCTGGGGGGAGGGGAGCTCCCTGCACCCCTGCAGAGCACTGCAGGACCTGTGGGGACGCTGTGCTGTTGGAAGTCAGGGATGGCCAGGTTGCTGGGACCCCCAGGGAGAAATGGAGGGAAAGGGAGCCAGCGCCTCATTCCTCCCTGGCCCCAGCACCTGCGAGTGTGTGCATGTTGGTCCCACACCCTGCCTGCCGTTCCTCACACTGCACGGCCTCCAAGCGATCCCTCCTCTTCCGAAGCTGGTCCTGGGGGTAACTCCAGATGCAGGTCACAGACCATAGACAGCACCACACCAAGAAGACTATTTGGGAGCAAACGGGGAGATAGTTCCTGCACTGTGAGGTGGCCGTCCCCCTTCATGAGGGCACCTAAGGGAGACCCGTAAAGGAGGCAGCCAGCTTCGCGCCTTCCTCTGGGTGGTGGCAGGGGCTGTGGGTCCAGCCCAGGACACAGGGCCTGGACTGTGGTAGGAACACCAGGTTAGACGATTCTCTCACTGCCCCTCCGGCAACCTCAGGCATCTAAAAACGGTGACAAAGTCTCCTCACAGGGTTCTTGTGAATATCAAATGCGGTTAACAACAAGAAGGTGCCAGTCCCTAACCCCAGCCCTCCATGGAAAATCGGACCTGGGAGTGTGGTAAATCCAGAACGGTTTGGGAGCCCCACCTGGGTGCAGGGGTCTCACCTCCTCCCGACTCCCCCTCCTTGCTTTAAGACGCCAGCTGGGCCCGTCTCCTCGGTCTGATCTCCAGAAGGGCCCGACCTCTAACCTCTATTTCTCACCTCCAAAATGGGATTTTTGTGGGATTAAACGAGCGCGGCCCAGCCCGAAGCCCCAGTGTTTGCCGGGCTGCCATCACTTTGTGCCTCCCTCTCTGGCTTTCCCACCCCTTCCCTGCCTGCGGCCTCTCCTCCCCCAATTACCACCCGCCCCAGGGGGAGCTGGGGTAGGGGAGGGGAGAGGGGTGTTTCTGGGGAGCGTGACCTCGGCGCGTTGCCGGCCATCTGAGGACTCAAGGTCTCACTTTCGGATTGCAAACCACTTCGAAGTCAAGAAGGATATGTGCGTGGCGGGAGAGGAGGGTGAGGACCGGCTGCCTCTTCCGCTCCCTGCTCCACGCAAGCACATATTGGGATCCTGGAGCTTTCTGCGCGGGCAGCCTCTACAGCTCCGCCACCCCCGACCTCGGCGTTTATGACCCAGAAGCCGCAGCACGACCCCCTGCAAGGGCGGTAGGCTCAGGGGGCTCCCTTGGGAACACCAGTCGCCGGGAACCTGTGCCAGGGCGTAAGGAGGGAGTTTGGGGCCAGGTTCTCGCCTAGTTGCTCTAGGACAGCCTATAGCTTGAGCCTCTAAGCCTCCTTTCCCCACAAAAGGATCCCAGTAAATTGTCGCAATTTGGGGCGCCTCTGCACGCTTCAATCCTTCTCCCGCGTCGGAGCCCTCGTGTTCTCCCCGGGGTCCCTGAAAAGCCCGCTTCTTGCGCCTTTTTCCAAACTGGGGACCGGGTGAGAAGGGGGTGGTCGTGGGGACGCCCCAAGAAAGCCTCCCGCGGCCGATGGGGAGGGGCAGGGAAGGAGGCTCCTAGCCTGGCCCGGCTTGTCGCCCGCGGGTATCCTACGTATTCTGAGGACAGACAGAAGGCCCGGTGCCCCCATTGCCGTGCGCAGACCTGGGGAGTTCGGACGCCGCCCCAGCAGCTGCTGGCTCCGAGGAGCGCGGCACCCACAGCCGCCCGGAGGCTCCCTTTCCGCCCCGGGGTTCAGGGATCCAGGTCCCCTCCTCTAGCCCCGCGCTGAATCTGCAGCGCGCGCTCCACTTCCTCGCCTGCAACGAAAGCACAGGCCCTGTGCCCGGGTGTCCCCTTTACCACTTCCCGGATTGTCCCCTCTGCGCCTGCGGGCTTTCCCTCCTGGATCCCCAGCTGCAGCCTGGCAGGCTTCAAAGCAGAGACGGGGAAAGCGTTGTAAAAAATCTACGTTGTTCTGCTAAACAGTCGACCTTTAATAAATCTGCATTTTTTCCAGCGGAGGTAGAGAATTGCCTCACATCTCTGACGCCCTGAGGGGTATAGGGGTGAGTTTCTCCTCACCCAACTCTCCAAATCAAGTCGCTTTGATTCCGGGAAACAGTTTCTAAGATAACCTGGCTTCTCGTGGTGTGCTCAGGTGGAAGTGGTGATGGGGGCACCTGCAGCTGAATTTAAACCCAAAGGCACCCAGGCACTGGAAGAGTTCAGACCTTGAACCCCACCTCGTTTCGTGTGGGCAAATGACAGTTTCTGGAGTAGCAATTCTTTCTCCCTCTTTCACCCACACCCATCTTGGGTCTTTCGGGTTGGGGAAAGGGAGATGGGGAGACTCAACCTTGGTTTCCAACTTCACTGCTGAGCTGAGTCCTGGGACCAGCCTGTTGTGCCAGGTTTGCAGTGGCACTGCTGAGTCTGGTGCTGGAGGCCCTGCCTCTGACCTCCGATGGGCAGAGGCCGACCTGCGTCCTGCTGCCTGTAGTCAGAGCAGCTATGGCCAGGGAGCAACCAGAGCTGGCCTGCCAGGACGCTTTTGCAGTTTCCAAAGCCCCTATCTCCAGAACGGAGGGCCACACTTTGGGGAGGGCTGGCTGACCATCAGACCTCAGCGCTGCCCCAGCCCCGAGCTTATCTTAACCACCCTCCAAGACTCATCAAGTTATCAATTTCGAGCCCATGTCCAAAGTCAGCCGTGGTCTCCTGTCCTCTTCCCAGCACTATCTACCTCCAATGTATTAGTTCACTGTCAAAGGGAAGAAAAGGTGGTCACCCAGAAAGCAGGGGTCTTCAAAGTCCAGGCAGTGAGTCCTCCATCCCTGCCATTCAAGACTCCTTTGAGCCAGGGAATATGGGGAGCTCACAGGAAGGGGTGAATGGCATAGGAACAATGCTTAGGATTCCCCCCTCACTGCACAGCTTTTGCTTGTGGGACCTCACCCTTCATCACAGCAACCCTGTGCATTGCTAATGGGCCCATTTTACAGATAAGGAGACCAAGGCCGAGTAGCGCTGCATGACAATGGGGCCTCAAACCTCGCTGTAAATGTTGAAAACATCCCCAAGTCCTTGAACTGGCTACCAAGTGGGGTGCTTACCCTGGTTCTGGTGGTCTCCCTCTGCCTTGCACACAGGGACCCCTCTGAGTTCCTCTTTCTGTCTTAACAACTGAGGAGATCTATGTTAAAAGGAACAGAGGCTGGCAGCCTCCTGGGTGCAGTGGAGTGAGAACATGCCCCACAGGACCGCAGTGGCAGCAACTGGCCTGCTATTGCCCTTGCTACAGAGCCTTGGGAAAGGCCTGTGTCATGTCTGGCCTTAATTTCCCCAGGTATGAAGGGTTAATCTGGTGATCCTTGCAGTTCCTTAGGACTATGCTATTCTTTTTTTTTTTTTCTTCCTCCCAGAGTCCTAAGCTGGTCTCTAGATTCTTTACCCCAGCAATCCACTTGCTTTGAGACAAGACCGCCCTTGGCAGATCAATTCCTCATGGTATTTTTCACCTTGCAGCTGAGAGCCCGAGGCGATCTGAGAGCCCCTGCCACAGCCCGGGACCACCCTGGCCCTAAAACCTCCCTAGGGCCACCACCCTGACCCTGGCAGCTCAGACAGATCCTATTCCAACCCCGCAGCCATATCCTCCCTCGCAGACCCAGGTCCCCTGAGAAGAGGTTAAATCAATCAAGATGCCACTCCACTGCCACTCTTTGGAGCTACTGGAAGGGTGACCAGTTTGCATAAATGGACTCCAGTTTGCATAATGGAGGTCTTTCTAAACGCATCTTCTTCCTCTGCCCCAAGTTCCCAGCTTCCCTACTCCTCAGCCCCAGACTGACTGAGGGCCAAGGCCCCGGAGCAGCTGTCCTGACGAATTCCAAGGATATGAGTCCACCGGCTCCAGGTCTACCCCTACCCCAGGCATTGCACGAATGGAGGAGGGAGGGACTAAGCCACTGCTCCCTTCCCTTTCCGAGGGGGACCGAACAGGTTCAGGGCCCTTTCCAAAACTCTAGGGCCAAACAGCTCCCTTCCAGAGTGCCAACTTCCAGGGTCACCCCCTCCAAAAGACACACAGGAAGCCCCTCAACTGCTCCCAAACCTGCCACCAGTGCAAGCTGCTCAAGGCCTGACCCCCAGAAGGACCACCCCCGCCCAAACTCGGGGCCCAGCAATTCTGAGCCCAAATGCCTGGAGACTTGCTTTCCAGAGCCAGAACGCACAGAGCCGGTTTAAAGGTGGCTGAGCGGTACACCCACCACTTCGCATCTTTTAACAGGCTCTCCGGGAAATCCCTCAAACAGCGAACAGCTTCTGAGCAGCCGTGTCTTCTCGGCCCTCCCTTACTAATTTCTGGTTTAATTGAAATCATTGACCGCAAATCATTTGATCTTTGGATTGCTGCTTCGAAGGCTTTTTCTATTTCCAAAGGGGGCAGAAGGCAGTGAGTGCCCTCTCGTCCGGATTCCACACCTGCTTTGTTGCATGCGGTTAAGGAACGGCTCTTCCCAGCAAACCAGTTACCACCACGCCTCCCCGGAAGGAGACTCAGAAAACCGAATGTTCTTTTAATTTCCCCTAAAACATCAACCGGAGTGGAATCATCCCTAGTTCTCTGCCAAGGGGTCACCATTGAGCGGACAAGTAGCGACGACCTTGGGCAACAGCTCTCAGCTGGAGGGGCTGGGACTGGGGTATCTTTGCCACGTTCCGAGTAGGAAAGGGAGGAACCTGCCCTGGGCTGAAGGACCGCTGCGCCCGAGAGGAGAGCGCCCCGCGGCCGCGCGGTAGGGCCGGGTGGCACAGGAGAGGCCTAGGGTCCGCTTCCAGCCCCCTCCGCTGCCGGGTGCTCCCGGGTCAGCCCGCGCCTGGCTCCTGGGCCGGGGAGCCGCGGGGCTGGAGGCCGCGCTTGCAGACCAGCCCTCTGCGCTCCACCGGGGAGGGGCCGAGAAGCGCAGCTCCAGACCCAGCGGCCAGCACAAATAACAGGCTTGGCAGAGGCGAACGCAAAAGGTCGAGCTTTCCGATTTCGAGTAGAGTGCCTGGTGGGGATGGCGCTATGGAAGCGCCCTGCGGCCTAGGGACACCTGTCGCCTGCTCTGCCCCGACCGTCCGGCGCCCTGCGGCGGAAGTTGTCTCCCTACCTCGGCACTGGCTCCCGGGGCTCCAGAGGCCGGCGCAGCCCTCCCAGCTCCTGGGCCCAGAGGACCCACCAGAACCCTGAGCAGCGCGCCTCCCAGCAAAGAGTCAAATCCTTCGGGCCAGGCCGCAGCGACCCCGCTGGGAGCAGAGGCTCTGGAAGACGCGGCCCGGAACGCTTGGGACGCCAAAAACGCTCAGACCTGCTGCTCGGAGGTGCCTGGCCGGGCAGCCACTGTCACCAGCGGCAACCGGCGTGGGCGGCGGGGCAGCCCACCCAGCGCGCCACTATTTCTTCCTGTTCCGAGTCTTCCGCACCGCGGGTCCCAGCGCCCCTGGCCCACTGGCACATTTTCAATCCTGAAAAGAACGGCAGCGCTCAGCTCTGTCTGCCATTTTCGAATTAATCGGACCCCTCTCTTTCAGCCGGGTCTCAGCTCAGCAACGGCGGGGGCGGGTCTCTCCTGCCCGGACTTCCCGCACCCCAGCCTCACGAGAGGGCCCGGCTCAGCACAAGTGTTCGCTCTGTGGCCTCAGCCTGCAGTGCTTGGGCCTCACCGTGATCCCCGCTGACTCGCAGCGCCTGAAGCTGACCCTCCTTCACCTCCTCCAGAAGAGACAAAAAGAGGGAGGAATGAAGGAAAAATAAAGGGAATCGTAGAAAGAAAAGGAGGAAGGGAAGGAGGGATAAAGAAAGGAAGGGATGGGGAAAGAAAGAAAGCAAAACCAGAGTGAACTTCCAAAGAAAGGAAGGAAAGCAGAAAAGGAAAGAAAACAAACCAATGCATTGGCAAAGGAAGGAAGGAAGGAGGGAGGGAGAGAGGGGGCCAAGGAAGGAAGGAAGGGGAGAATGAAAGAAAGAGGAAGAAAGAAAGAAAAAGAAAGAGAAAGAAAGAAAGAAAGGAAAGAAAGAGAGAAAAAAATCCAAACCAAACCAGAATGCACTGGCGAAGGAAGGAAGGAGGAAAGGGAGAAAGAACAAAACCAGAAAGAACTCGCTGGCCGTGCGGGCTGGGGGACTGCCTGCCCCTGGAACAATTCGTAATTCGCCCTCACCCAGCCCTGGACCAGGAGAGGGTTTGGTCGCCTGGGCCGCCAAGGCCCTGGCCCCTCGCCCCAAGCCAGCGCCGAAGCCGAAGACCCTCACGCAACCTCCCTCAGACGCCCCAGCTCTGGACGCCAGGCCGCGGCAACCCCTCTGGGCGGGCTGGCTTGCGCTTCCCGCCTGGGCCGGGGCCGCCGGGCTCCCCAGCGTCCCCGGCCGCCCACCTGAGGCCTCACCTTCGGGGAAGACGGCGCGCATCTTCAGGTAGCTCGTGGTGAGGCGGATGATGGACGCTTTGTCCAGCTGCGAAGTGATGGCCGACGGCAGCGGGAGCAGCTTGGCAAGCTCGTAAAACTCGCCATTTTCCTTCTCCCTCCTGGTCTTGGCCGCATTCTTGGACTTCTCCTTCATCGCGCCTCGGCTCCGGGCATATTAGACCCGGCCGTGCTCCAGGCCCGCGGAGCCCCGCTCGGGCTGCGGCGGCGGGGATGGGGAAGGGGGAGCCGGGAGCCAGGTGAGTCCGCGGAGTGGGCCGCGGGCAGGTGCGGGGGGCCTCCCGGGGTTCCGAGACGCCTCCCCGCAGCCGCCGGGCCTGAGCTCCGAGCAACCCGGCGGCGCCGCCCGCCGCTGCCCGGAGCGCAGCCTCCTCCGGGCTGGACCGTCCTGCAGCAACCGGAGCCCCGTTCCTGCTCGCTCCTGTTTCCTCCCTCCTGCCTCTCCTGCCTCGGCCTTCCTGGGGGGTGGGGGCGGCCGGCGCGGAGGCGGAGGCGCTGCTTACTCCTTCGTCGAGTGCTCGAACCGGCTGCGGCAAGGCCCCTCCGGACCGGAGGGCGACAGGGGCGGCGGTGGCCGCGGAGCCATGGAGCGGGAGCCCAGCGGAGGGGAGCGAGTCGCAGGCGGCTGGGGCCGGGCCCTGGCCCGGGCGCGCTCTCCTGCCCTTCCTGGCGGCTCCCTGTGCCTGGAGACGCAGCGCCGGAGCCCGCGATGTGTGGCTAGGCGCAGCACCTCCGCTGTCCACGTGCGGCCGAGCCGCGTTTGTTTATGGCAGACCCGCCTTCGGGCGGAGCACTGGCCGCCTGGGTCCCGGAGGGGGGAGCGGGAGGGGGGAGGGACCGCGGCGGGGGCGGGGGCGGCGAATCTTGCCTCCGACCCCGCCGCGGCCCTGGAGTCACAGGCGCGCCTCCGCGTCGCTGCCTCCAGGGACTCTCCCGGGAGAGACCCGCGCGCTCCCGGGTTCGGGGAAGTCGCGGTGAGTGCACACGGCGCGCCGCGGGGACCCGCTCCTGAGCGCCGGTCGCCGGACCCCGGAGCTAGGATGGGCGGCAGGGAGGGCGAGGGAAGGAGGGGTGCCGAGGCCGCCCCTGTGGCTCTCGGGAAGGTCACCAGCAGGCGCGGCCGAGAGGAGGCGGCGCGACTCGTTGGCCAGGCGCCCTGCCGGGGAGGATCGAGCCTTCCGAGGGTGCGCTGGTCCCGCGTCCTCGCCCTCCCGGTGTTGCAGGTCCAAGAGCTGAAAAGGGGAAAGCCGGGAGCCCCCCTCCCCCCATTACACACACACGTGAAAACGGCGCGAGTGGCTCCGAAGTGACCCTTCTGCCCTTTCTGTCCTCGAAACACTAAGGTGCAAAGAGATTGTCGCCTTCTCAGGAGGAGCGGGAGGCCGCAGGGGCGCTCAGGCCAGGGGAAGGGAGGGGCCAGGGAGCCCAGCCGAGTGGTGAGGCCTCTCCCAGGGCGCCGGCGGAAACAGGGCCCAACTGCCGGGGCGGCGGCAAAAGCAGCCCGATTCAGCGCAGCCGGAATTTTGAGGAATCGGCGTTGGGCGATTAAGGGCCAAGGTCGCTGAGCCAGGGTCACAGGGTGGGCGCAGGTGGCGCAGGTGGGGCCCATGGTGATGGGGCAGAAGGCAATTGGAGAAAGAAGACTCCGTTGCAGACGCGGCCACTGGGCATTCTGGACTCTCCTTCAGGGTCATTTTGGACCTAAAGAGTCCTTTTGTCCCCCCTCTGCCCTCCCCTGTCCGGCTCCCGCAGCCTGGAAATGGGTGTGCGGCCCAGGAGTCCTCCGCGCACCCCTGCAGCGGCGGTCACATAACCCCACCTCTTCCAGGAGTGCAGCTTTCCCGGCCCCCCAGGCCAGAGACAGGCTCAGAGGACGCAGGGCAATTCCTTACCTTGGCGTCGAGATCATGTGGGGACTCTCGGCCGTGTGCCACAGGCTGCAGAGCCGTGGAGCAGTGGGGTGCGTGACCTGGAGGTCAGCAGGGGCCGGGAGGACACCGGGCCGCGGATGGGGGCGCGGAGATTTGGGTTCTCGGTGTCACTGCTCTCGCCACTGGCCCGGGATCATGAGCCTGCTGCTCCGAAAACTCGCCGTCGGACAGCGACTGAGTATCCGCTTCCCTCCCCTGGCCCTCCCCTGCGCCAGGAAGGCCTGGCCTTCGGCAACCGTGCCTGCAGCAGGCGCTCCTGACCTTTTCCAGGGACTCCTTTGAAGGTCAAAAGTTCGAAGGCGTTCGAAGCCGAGCAGGCTCCCTCCAGGGGCTGGAAGGTGTGCGCAAACCCGGGCTCTCCCCCTGCCTGTCCCTAGCCCCTTGCGGAGTCCACATCGTGGCCAGGGCTCGCAGGCTTGGTGCTCCGAAACCGCGACGCCACGCGAGCCGGACGCACAGAGTAACAGCGCTTTCCTTTGGGGTTTCGGATCCAGGAGCGCTTTCCTGTTGCAGCGGCTTGAGCAGAGGGCCATGGGCTAGCGGCGCGGGTCTCCAATGCCCAAGCCTGGCGAGTCGGACCCACCTCCGCGCCCAGGATCCCGCTCCTGGCTGCGCTGACAGCTGCCGGCTCCGGGCCTCTGGGAGAAGGAGCTCCAAGGGGTTAGAGGCTACGGACCCAGCCCCTGCCGCAGCTTCCGCAGGCGGCCCCCTGAGCCCGCTCTGGCACCTCCTGGGCTTCGGGAGGATTTAATGCGTTTCTCACCCCCACGGCTTCCGACCCTCAATTATGGACCCGGGAGAATTCCTCCTGGGCTTGAAAGGGATTACCCAGATCGCAGAAACATGGCTAAGTGGAAGTGGGAGAAACCCGACAAGTAACAAGAACGGAAACTTTCCTCAAGGCAAATTTCCCGGATTTTACGGGAAAGCGCACTTATCTTCCCAGGGACAGCCTCTGTTCACGTGTCCGCGAGGCAGGTTCGAAGCGCGCTACGGGAGGCAGAGCAATGCCGTGTTTGAAGACTGGAAGATACGTGGGTGTGAGATACCTCCAGGCCCAACGCCTGCCCAGCAGCTGCCCAAGCAGACGTTGTGTACTCGGCTCCCCCAAGCACATCCTTTCGCCGTACACGCGCGCGCGCGCACACACACACACACATCCACACACACACGCAGCTGTGGCTCTGGGGTCCCTGATGGCACCACGCAAAGTACCAGAAGTACACGGGCACCGCACCTCGAGGTTTCCCAGGTAGGAAGGACAGGGATGCCTCTGTGGAATTGTGAAGGAAGAAACCCAACCCTTGGTGGGGGCCGTCCCGGAGCTCTCCCTGCTGGAGGGGGAGCCTCGGGCCCTCGGAAAAGGACACTTAGAGCTAATACCCACAGGCCGTATGTGGGATAGTTAGTATGAAGCTGGAAGCTCTGTTGGAATGGAAAAGTACCGGGCAGGTGCTCACTAGAGTGGTCAGGAGCATCGGCGGTGACCGCAGATTGGGACACCTCCTATGTCTTTCCCTTCTGGCGCGGGGAGAAGAAATTCCTGGTCCAGGTATTGGGCCTAAAGCCGAACGCCCAGCTCAGAAAGCCCGGACCAGCCTCGCGGGCCCCAGGGGGGAGGCAGAGATGGAGCGCACGACCCCCGAGTCCGAGGCACCGTTCTAAATGGCGGTTCACCCACTGGCCCCAAAGGAGCCTGAAGAGTAGGGAATGAAAGGAGACTGGGGGCTGGAAAAGGGCGGTGTGGAGACGGGTCGGACGCATTGAGGTCCGGACCTCTCAGTACGTCCCCACCCGCAGTCTGTCCCACTGCGCGTGCGAGCAAGCCGCCTCGTACCCCACCTCTTAGAAATGTTCCATTAGGAAACTTATCTGGAAGAAATTCAGGCCCCAAGAGGAACGAGGCGGGCCCGGATCGCCTCACATCTGCTTGGATTTTCCGCTTCAGATGCTCCGCAACTGTTCTTCCCCAGGCCGCGCCGGCGCCTACCTGCGATCCATCCCCAGCGGAAGCCGACTCGGGAGAGATCAAGGGAAGAACTCCGGCCGTTCCCCGCGGGATGGGAGAGGCTATTGCAGTGGCAGCAGGAGATCAGAGACCTTGTCACTAAGGAGGTGGGGGAGGGGGAAGAATTTCCAACCTCTGAAGTGGAGTTTAAGAACTTCCACTGCCCCAGCAAGCAGAGGCAACAGAAAATCCAGGACTGCGTTGATTCAAGCCTATTTGGTTTATACGCTCTTGTCTACATCCGCAATCAGTTATGATATGGTTACTCCAGAAAAGTCCGCTTGGCCCAGCATCACATATATGACCTTTTCATGGCTGAGAGGATTTTTGGTCTGGGCTATCTGAAAGAATTCCTCGATTTTTCACTCCTTTCCATGTGTAAACCCTGTGGAGACGTCACCAATTGTCCTTGGGGTCATTGCTACTTCCAGAAAGGACCGGGGGACAATTACAGTATTACTACCCACAGCTTACAAATAATTACAGGTATCCAGACCAAGTCGGAAATAATTTATTCCTGCAGAGGCCAAGACCCTAATTCGTTCTGTTTGCTGTTTCCTCAAGTAGTAGAGAGAAATTTATGTCTCTTTTTTGCTTTTTTTAATAAATTATTTCACTGGGAGTTACTCCCTGGGAGAGTCTTTTCTTTTAGGTTGGTCAACATGTCTGATTATCTCATTACATGCAGTAACCCCTGGCAGATTGGCCTTTGTGCCCTGGGTCTAGAGACCCCATTAGTCCAGAGCCATCGCGCCCAACTGGGTGACCACAGCTCTCTCTCCCGCAGGAGAGAAGAGGGAGGGATGGAGAAATCCCAGGGGTGGGGGATAATGCCCACCTCCTGGGCCGCTTGTGGGGGTAAGGAGCTGCCTGAAGCTGATCGTCTTGGTTCATGTGCTTGGACTTGGTTGTCGGGGATAACTTCGGGTTCTGGGATTGGGAGTGAGAGAGGGTCCTCAGGCAGTGTCTCCTGTCCCAGGATTTGCATAGCTGCTGCCCAATTCTCCATTCCCCTCAAGGTGACGCTTTTAGGGGAATAAAAACGGTGTCCTTGGTAGTTAATGATAGTGATTAATTAATTAATGGTAGTGACTAGCAAAGTCCTTGAGCGAGCGACCAAAGCTGCACCTGGGTTGCCACACGTTCCTTCTAATTTTACCTGGGGTCGAGGGGTGAGCCCTTTCCCCTGCATTTTCCTTCCCTGTCTCCCAAGCCTGCTCCTCTTTCTCGCTGGTCCCTGAGAAGGCTTCGGGACTTCGGTGGGCCCCTTACGATGCACACAAACATCCAGTGACCGACCTTCAGTGAGGGTGGGGACTCATCTCGAGCACCCAGGGGTGGCTCCCTAGGCCTGACCATGGATTCTGGGGAAAAGGACAACGACAAGGGAGCCCAGCGTCCAGCGACGACCTCATCTCGCTCCCCCTCACCCCCGCCCCCTACGACCTGCCTCCCTCTCCCAGAGGGCTCTCGGTCCAGATTAACGGAAACATGGCCTCAAAATCCTGGGTCGGGGAGAGGCAGCACATCTGCTCCCCAGCAAAGCCCTCCTTTCGGTCTGGAAACATCCCCATGGCTTCCAGAGGGCCCAAGAAGCATCTGGAATCCCCTGCGCTGGAAGAGTCTTAGTCTGGTGTGCACTGAAATTCCTCAGTGGTTACATCAATTACACACCGTCTTGAAATCTGAAAACCGATTAGTTCATTAATGACGTCGCGAAACAGCCCTTCAAAGACACGAACCAAAAAAATCCCATTTAAGAAACAAAACAAAACCTATCCACCTAAGATAAACCTTTCTGTACATCAAGAAAAGCACAAACTACGGGGCTTACATTTTTTCCCTAAGCATATAATAATTGTAATAGCCAACCCTTAACATAGAATGGGGCTGCTATAGTCCTTTAAAGACACAAACTCGTTTGGTTTGAATAATATAGGAGGTCTTATTTGCAAAGCAACGCTATCAGCGAGGAATCTATTCCCTAATCTAAACAAATCCGTAAGAAGAGGCACGTTCATTCATTGGAAGTTTAAAGAGAGAAAGTTACAGAAAGGCCGGCGGGCAGGCGGGCCCCGCTGGGTTGGCCCCTCCAGCCAGGCCGGGGCGCGTGTCCACCCCAAATCCGGGCGTGGACATTTTCCCGCTTCGAGCGGATTTTTCTTTTTCTTTCTTTCTTTTCTTTTGAAGGTCAGCGTGAAAGGTGAGTTTTCTGAGAGGTGTGTGTCGGGGAGCCCATTCATTCCTTCCAGGAGGAGGAGACGAAGCCCACGGCCTAGAGCTGCTCCGGGTCAGAGGTTCCGCCGCGCAGGGCGAGCGAAAGCCGGACTTCAGATCTGAGCGGCGGCGGGGCCACGCCGGGCGTAGGGACCGCACCCCATCTGGTCAGGCACTGGGGCGGTGGCACTGGGGCGGTGATGGGCCCGGGTCGCCAACTCTCCCCGCCCTAGGCCACACACACCTGGGCTTTGGGAGCTGCGGGCCACACTCGGGCACGCACGCGGCAGGGGCTGCTGGAGCGGTCACAGGGGCAGGCTCCCCGGTCGCCAGAGGTCTCCTTAATTCCGCAAAAGGGACTCGGGACTCTACCCCCGGCCCTGGGCGCCGGCTCAGCAGGGGGTTATTTCGAAGATATCATTATTGGGAGTCGCGGTCCTGCCTTTTGCGCGAAGTCTCGGGACCGCCCGCGTGGTTAGAAACGCAGGCCAGGCAGGTGGGCGGAAGGGGGCGCAGTGTGCACGGCCGCCGGAGCGGCTCGCGCACCTGGAGAAGGGGTCGTTCAGTGCGCGCACACCCCCCAGGTAGGGGCCTCGGTGCGCACCCCGCCACTGTCTTGTGCGGTGTTGGGGTGACTTGCGTGACACTCAAGTGAGTGCCTGGGGCCGCGCGGACGTCTGTCCTGGCCCTGATGCGGGCAGCCTCTGCCCATCTCCCATCCTCCCTCCCACTCTCCGATCAGCCGCCTCTCCGCCCCCACCCTCCCCAGATTCTTCCCGCGCGGGGAGTAAGGACCAGGGCTGGGACCCGCGTGGGGCGGGCGAGAGACTGCGGGACCCAGCGCACGTGGGTGTTGAGATGTCTGGTGAGAATAAGAAGCCAGTGCTTTCTTAGCTTCGCCAAAGCCCCCAGCGGTATCCCCAGCTCTCGCCTACTTAGACAGAGTCCTGATCTGAATCCACGCGCTGGAGACTCAGCCTTCTCCGGGGAGACCTGGAGTGGTCCCGATTGCGGAAGAAGGTCCAACGCCCTCCACTGTCCCTCGCCCCTGCCCTAAGCCAGAATTCCTTCTAGGTGCTAGAGCAAATTCCTGAGCAGTCAAAGAGTGCAGCACATTTTCGTGTGAAACGAAAGACTTTAAATTAGCACGTTTTCCAGCTCAAGAATATTTTCCCTGGACACAGCATCGGCTGCTGGTAACTTCAGGGTGACTGCAAACCGTGCGGTCTGCCAATAATTTTGGTCCCGACTCCAGTCCCCTCTTCATTTTTTAGAGGACGAAAACAAAATAATCTCGGTGATTGCACCATCGTCCTTCCCATCCTGCGAGTATAGACAAAGACTTTAACCTGACAACGGAATTCTTTTGGGTGCTTCTCTCCCACAAGCTTTTGAACCAGGCAGAGTGAGCCCTCGGGCGCCTTCCTCGGGAGGGCACACAGATTTGCACAGTCGGGACCCTTCTCGTGGCTTTTCTCTTTGTGGGAGAGGCGGCGGTGGTGCGAGTGTGCGCAGGGCTCAAAGGGGCTGGGCAAGTGCTATTCCGCTCCCCCGGTGGAAGCCAAATTAAACCGCTTTATTATGATGTGAGAGACCTATGTTCAATCTTGCATTTAATTTTGGAGAGGTCCTCCTATTTGCCAGGCCCTGCGTTATTGACAAATCTAATTTTTGAATAAATACAAGCAAAAAGAGCACGGAGGTGTCGCCGTGGGAGGAGCGCCGTTCAGTGACACAGGTAGACGCTGGCTTCCTCTGGCTAAGCAGCCGGCGCCACGTTCAACTTGCTCGGGAGCTCTCGACACTGGATGGAAAGCCACAGCCTCCAATTCCTTTTAAACAATCTAAACAAGGTTGTGAGTCCTGGAATACTCCTGTGTGAATTTGCTTTATTCCTGGATAGTTGGGAGCCGGGGAAGGAAAAAGATAAGCGCTGTTGTTACTCATGCAAAAATAATTTTCGCGTTTACTGGAGTCTACTTAAGGTAATTGACCAGAAAATACCTCCCTGTTTAAGCAACATTAAGGGTGCTCCACTGAAAGCTACTTGAGTTATTTGTACTTCTGTTTAGCCTGATCCCTAGCCGACATTTTCGCAGAAGCTGTGAGCTCTGACAAATGCAGGAAAGTGGTTTCCAGGAGAGATACACCTGCGAAAAGTACTTGAATTCCAGAGCTGACCCCACCCATCTGTTCTTTGACAGGGTGTCACTTGGACCCTCCTTGATTGAGTTTCAGTAGCTGGATTTTCTAAAAGTAAATCCCAGAAATGGAAATTCATACTCATTATCTTGCACAAACATTTTAATTTCTGAGTGGCCTGCGTTGGGCCATGGAGCAGGAACGTTTCCTGCTGTAGCCACAGCGATCCCTTAAAAGCTGCAAAACGTCAGCTGAGGATTAGAAAGGCAATAATTCAAACACAGAGAAAATTCCTAACTAGAAGAAAAGAAAAAAGGCTCCAAGTGAAGTTACAAAATTTATATTTGTACAAAACTCCTTTGAACAATTATTTGACAGTAACCGTCTTTTTCTAGTTATGTTTGTTGACCTGAATTTCTCAGCCACCCTTTGCATGTGCGAATCGTGAGACTCTTGTTCTCAGCAAAGATGACTAATGGATCTTTTAGAAATTCATGCTTTGATTTTCTGTGTTAGCCGTGGAAGCTGCTTCATTTTAGATACTTTATGTGATGGCTGTCAAGGGAAACTTGGGTACAATTTCTCAGGAGTATCTCTAAAAACATTATTCATAATTAAAAACTGATTCATAGAAATCACCAGAAAAATTATGGCACATTATGTTCAAACATATTTTTAGGCATGTGGAATAAATAAAATCATTTTGGTCTGGCTGAGTAATACTGCCTCCCAACCTTCCTCTCACGGTGCCAGGAAGTCCTCATATAACTTCGTAGATTTCAGAACCGCCTGTGTGACACGAGCCAGAAAACATCTGTGTTTTCTCCAGGAATGTTCTCTATTGATAATGCAAGTTACAATTCTGTTCTTTAAAAAACAGCTGAATAGTGTAGCCCAAGGGGTGGGGAAGGCAGTACTGAAAGGAGTATCTTTAATAACCTTAGGATTGTTTTAAAGGGGGAGAAAGACTATAAGAAAATTCCACGTGATATAGTCTGAAAGATGGAATAAATTCACTGGAACGTAGACCCACCTCATTATAGGCCAGCTGATGTGCCATGGTTTTTTGGCATCTTAGTGGTGAAATTCCCAAGAGCAATCATTCTTTTTTTTTTTTTTTTTTGGAGACAGAGTCTTGCTGTGATACCTGAATGGAGTGTAGTGGTATGATCTTGGTTCATGCAACCTCCATCTCCTGGGTTCAAGTGGTTCTCGTGCCTCAGCCTCCCGAGTAGAGAGTAGATGGGACTACAGGTGTGCACCACCACGCCAGGCTAATTTTTGTATTTTTGGTAGAGACGGGGTTTCACTATGTTGGCCAGGCTGGTCTCTAACTCCTGACTTCAGGTGATCCACCCGCCCCCCACCTCAGCCTCCCAAAGTACTGGGATTACAGGTGTGAGCAACCATGCCTGGCCCCAAGAGCAATCATTTTGCCTCTACACTTTGCTCTGTAGGAAAAAGCAGTACACGGAGGTCCCAAGGTATTAGCAATACCAATCCCTTCAGCTGGTAGTTGTGTGAGTATAAACCCCTTCCTGGTAGAGAAGTAGGGCAAGGCTTAGGAAGGCTATTTGGTGGCCTGCAGTGGTTAATGCATCTTCTGAAGTCCTCGGGCTCACAGTCTAACTTGTCTGGGCATTGGTGGACTGTGACAATACATATGAGTCGCTAATATTGATTTAGAGAATCAGTATTAAATAGGACAGTTAACTTATTAAATAATCCAAAGTGACACAGTTGCACTTGCTAAAAATTGCTCCCATTGACCTACCTAAAGCAATGGATGCAATCTGCAGTCTTGTGCACAGTTGCTTGGATGCCTGATTTATCAGACCATGTTCATTCTCTTCACAGGCAACATGGTCATGGAAAGTGCGATGACTTAGCTGGTGCGTGAAGGTGGCTAAAGCAGATAGAGGGTTGCATGTTTCAGGCACTCACTTTCATGTGTGGTCTAGAGCTGGACTAGCCTAGATACAGCTCGTGCTTTGTGCTGCAAAAGGAATGCAGTTCTTTGGACTGGAGTGCCTTCATGCACTTCTGCCTGCACACCCACTGTTACTCACGGAAACACCCACGGAGTGGCCACAGTGTGCCAGTCGCTGAGCCAGGCCTTCAAGTGATAAAAGGGAGCTCCTGCCATGCAGGTGTTCACAGTCCTGACAGTGACGTTAACTGAGAATCTGGCCTGCTCATTCATGTATCTCAAGGGATTTAGAAGCATTCACAGCTCTTGAACAGTATGTAATTCTATTTCTGGTTATTTGTCCAGTGGAGATCATTTCTAAGACCAAAAAAGTCTTTTTGCATGAGTATTTGCATATTGGTTAAAGATGCAAGCTTTGGTCTTAAATCTAGCTCTGACTTCTCTTTAACCCTCAGTTTTGTTATGTGTACAATGGGATTAATAGTTACCCCATAAGCAGGTTGTTGAGTCTTAACTAAAAAATGATTGACAAATATAATGAATATAAAAGGGCCTACCTAGCACACTGCCTGGAAGAAGGAAGTATTAAATAAGCTGTAGTTGTTATTATTGGCAGTATCGTTATATTATTTATAATATTAAATGTTGGATTCTTAATATTCATAATATAAAACTCTGGAAACAAAGTATCCTAAATAGGTGGGGGGGTTGATTAATTAAATGCATATATATATATCTATGTATGTATATTTAATGAAAAGTTATGTAGCTATTTTAAAATAGTTTAAAAGCTTCTAACATGGTTTGGTAAATACCTTTCTATATATAATTGTATTTTCCGGCCTCCCTTGCAGCTAAGGTTCTTGATATCAATTAGGTGTGACCAATTGGATGCATTTATTCGA
The DNA here is from genome assembly GCF_000001405.40 of Homo sapiens. Lineage (NCBI taxonomy): Eukaryota > Metazoa > Chordata > Mammalia > Primates > Hominidae > Homo > Homo sapiens. The sequence continues at coordinate 36,688,749 of NC_000021.9, read as the reverse complement.
GAAGTAAAGTGGCCGCCACACTTTGGCTGCCATTGTGGTTTCTGCTGTAAGCACAATCAGTGAATGCTTTTTCTGGATATGTGTGTGCCTGGCAGCATTAGCAGAGGTGCCAGTGGCAAGGCTCTGAAGCCGGCAGTTCCAGTGGTGGTTTTCAGATCCCTCAATCACAGCTAACAAGGCCGTTGCTGGATTCACCAGTCACAGTGGCAGCTTCCTGATGCTATTATTGGCTGTGGCAGTGCTAACAGCTGCCTTGGCTGGCCAGTTCCGCGTGTGATCCATTCCTGGGAAGCCAGTCGAGAGTCTCTACCCAGTCTTTTTAACAGTTTCGTAAACACCAAAGAGTCCTTCTGTTAAATCTCTTTGTGCTTGAAATAGCTCAATAAATTTCTGGTGTTGGCACCTAAATCTGACTGTTATACCTTAGAAATCATTCCAGTCCTATAAAACTCTATGTATTGTATGATGATGATTAAGTAAAATAACAACGAAATTACAGGTAGAAAAGTACCAGAGGGATCTTCCTCACAATGCTGATCGTGAGTATCTTTGGGTAATAACACCTTAAGTTACAGTTCAATTTACTTTGTATTGCTCCCTTGTTTTCTTTTCTTAAATATGGCTTTATTGAGATATAATCATGGTCTTAGCCCGTTTCTGTTGCTATAGCTGAATACCTGGGACTGAGTAATTTATTTATTTATTTATTTGAGACAGAGTCTTGCTCTGTCACCCAGGATGGAGTGCAGTGGTACGATCTTGGCTCACTGCAATCGCCGCCTCCTGGCTTGAAACAACAAAAATTTCTTCTCACCGTTCAGACCAGCCAAAAGTCTGAAATCAATGTATCAGCAGGGCTGCCCTTCCTCCGAAGGCCCTAGAAAAGGGTCCTTCCTGCCTCTTCCGGCTCCTGGTGGCCCCAGGCACTCCTTGGCTTGTGGCTGGATTATTCCGGTCTGCCTTTATGTTCACTTGGCTTTTTCCTCGGTGTTTGTGACCTTCATTTCATTTTATTTTATTTTTTTGAGACAAAGTTTCACTCTGTTGCGCAGGCTGGAGTGCAGTGGTGCGATGTCAGCTCACTGTATCTCTGCAACCTCCACCTCCCGGGTTCAAGCAATTCTACTGCCTCAGCCTGCTGACTGGCTGGGATTACAGGAGCCCACCATCATGCCCAGCTAATTTTTGCACTTTTAGTAGAGACGGGGTTTCTACTTATAGAGACCAGTTGGCCAGGCTGGTCTTGAATTCCTGGCCTCAAGTGATCCACCCACCTTGGTCTCCCAAAGTGCTGGGAGTTCAAGCATGAGCCATGGGTGCCCAGCCTTTTTTTTTTTTTTTTTTTTTGAGACAGGATCTCCCTCTTGTTGCCCAAGCTGGAATGCAGTGGTGTGGCTTGGTTCACTGCAGCTTTGCCTCCCAGGCTCTGGTGATCCTCCTGCCTCAGCTTCCCAAGTAGCTGGGACTACAGGTGCAAACCACCATGCCCAACTAATTTTTGTATTTTTTGTAGAGATGAAGTTTTGACGTGTCACCCAGATTGCTCTCAAATTCCTGAGCTCAAGCGGTCCGCCTGCCTCAGCCTCCCAAATTGCTGGGATTATAGGCATGAGCCACTGCACTTGGCCCGGCCCCAACTCTTAATACTGTTACAATGGGGACTAAGTTTCACCAGGAGTTTTGGAGGCGACAGACATTCAAACCATAGCAATCACATACCATACAACTCACCCATTTAAAGTGTACAATTTAATGGCTTGTAGTATATTCGCAAATAGGTGCAAACAACATTATAATTTTAGAACATTTTATCAAAATGTTCTAAAACAAACCCCATACCCTTTAGCTATTAACCTCCTATCCCTCCACCCTGAACACCAGGTCCAAGCAATCACTAATCTACTTTCTGTCTCTACAGAGTTACCTGTTCTGGATGTGTGTATGAATGGAAATATATAGAATAGTATGTGGTCTTTTGTGTCTGGTTTCTTTCACTCAGTATAAGGTTTTTCAAGGTCCATCCATGTTGTAGCGTATATTAGAATTTCATTCCTTTTTATGGCTAAATAATATTCCATTGTATAGATAAACCACATTTTGTTTATCCATTCATCTGTTGATGGACTTTTGAGTGGTTCCCACCAGTTGGCTATTAAGAAGGATGCTGTTACATCCCCGCAACTTTTATTGCCCATGTAGTAATTTTATGATATTTAGTACACTTTGTAATATAAAGAAAATCTGGGCTGGTTAGCTAGTAAAATAAGAAGGGGACAATATTTTGTATATTTTGCCAGTGCAGCACTGGCCAGTTAACTCATTATACATTAGAAGTCTAAGCCAGGCCGGGTACAGTGGCTCATGCCTGTAATCCCAGTGCTTTTGGAGGCTGAGGCAGGCAGATCACCTGATGTCAGGAGTTTGAGACCAGCCTGGCCAACATGGTGAAACTCCACCTCTACTAAAAAATACAAAAATTAGCTGGACATGGTGGTGAGTGCCTGTAATCCCAGCTCCTCAGGATGCTGAGGCATGAGAATAGCTTGAGTCCAGAAGGCAGAGGCTGAAGTGAGCCAAGATCATGCCACTGCACTCCAGCCTAGGCAACGGAGTAAGCTCTGTCTCAAAAAAAAAAAAAAAAAAAAAAAAAAAAAAAAAAAAAAAAAAAAAAAACAAAGTCTAAGACAGATCTATAGGCTCCATCTGTAACCCCAGATCAGTAGGCTAGTCTGTAAGTGGTGCTCTTGGTCACCAGGAGGGTAGAACAAGGAACTGTAAACCCATCTCCACTGGTAAGGAGTTGGCACTGGAGTGAGGCAGGACTGATTGTGGTAACATAATAGAAGTTGTGGGATTCAACTTTTGGTATTTTCACATTAAAATGTCTGTCTACTGTGGGTGCTGGAAATGTTCTATATCTTGATCTGGGTGGTGGTTATATGGGATTCATGTGAAGAGTTCCTTATGTTGTGTGCTTAAGATTGGTGCATGTTATTACATTTTACTATATGAATGTTACACCCTGATTAAAGAAGAAACGATAGCTATGTGGTTTCCCCTGGATCTTCCTTGCACTCTCCCATTTCATCTGCTTCTTCCTTTCTGACCATTTCTAAGTGACCTCAGGCTCATGCCACACAGATGGTAAGGGAGGGAGCTGGGAATTTAATCTGGCTCTTCCTGACTTGGTGTGGAGTGCCTCTTTCCCTGGGAACTCTTCCAATGCCTCGAATCTATGTGATTTTCAAGACTTGGCCTGAACCCATGTGGCCAGTGAGTGCTGGGGCTGGTGTAGGAGGCCAGCTCTCCTGGCTCTGGGCACAGGCTCTTTGTCTTGTGCACTTCTTTACTCTCAGCACCAGGCCCACAGTCAATGACTAAAAACTATGTGTTATGTGAATGTGACCAAAGTGGGGTTGTCACCAAGACCAGGCAGGCTGTCCATGTGGCAATTACTGAAAAACCAAGGCAAAAACCTCATTTCTTATTTTTTGTTTCTCTGTGGCAACATCAGTGGATGTCAGTCTGTCACAAGAGCAGTATGGAAAATTTCCACTGGAGATATCAGAGCTCTCTGGCAAAAGTCATGAACTGTTAATTTTAGCTTTCAATGACTGATGCCCTTGTATAATTAAATGGGTCAGGTGGAGTGTGAACCAAAGCTGAAGGTGACAAACTCAGAGAGGTTTCCTCTCCTGTAGAAACTAGCTATTTACACATTTTCTTGGAGAGAATTTCTGCTGTTTTGAGTGCAGTCTGGTAATTGTGAGCTACTCCTTAAAAATATTAGTGATCTATCAATCAAAGTTTCCCAGAGCTCATGTATTAATCATGATTGTGACTTACAATGTCAAATGCCAAAAGGCTACAGGAATAACCATGAAATAAACAAAATACTTGCATGGCCCTACATATTCTGAGTTGAAAGATATATAGGTGGAATATCAGTTACTTGAATTAAGGAAATAGGTATCCACAGGGGCTCCTTGTTTTTGCTCAGTTTTCCTCTTTATACCCTAGTAGGGAATAAAGTTCCAGGGAGAACACGTATGAAATGCTGCAAATATAACATTGGAATTATGTCTATAGCTAAATAGATAGTTAACAAGGGAAAATTTGTCCCTATGGAAATATTCTAATGGAAGCATAAAAGAAGGGTGGATAGAATGAGGATAAAGCATTTTGTAAACCTTTGTTGGGATTATAGAACTTAGCAATGATCAGCTTATCATCAACGACTGCTAACAGAGAGAGGAAGGGAGGAAGAGAGGCACGTAGGGAGAAGGGAAGAGAGAGAAGGAGGTTTCTCCAGAGTGATTTGGAGATCTCACTTGCCTCCTGATGGAGTACATACCCCTTATAAAACAGTCTTGCTAAAAACATCAGCTGTGAATCTGATTCAGTCCCTAACTAGACATCCTAACCACAGGTTTTCAGGAAATCCAGGGATGGAGGAATACGTGAAACAGTGTCATAGGATGCTACCAGCAAGTCTAGAATACGGGAAATTATCGGAAAGACAGCCCAGTTCCTTCAACAAATGAGTGGCAAGGAGAAAAAAGGGAGTGGGGAGGAAGGAAACCCATAGTTGAAAAGACACCTGAGAGGCATATCAACCACATGCAAAGTGGGAATCTTGTTTGCATTTTAATTCAGGCAAATGTATAAGAAAATCAGGGAGATGTGAAGACTGACTGGATACTCGATGTTACCAAGACATGAGTGTCAATTTTTTTTGTATGGTATCAAGACACGAGTGTCATTTTTTTTTCTTTTTTTTTTTTTGAGACAGAGTCTTACTCTGTCATCCAGGCTGGAGTGCAGTGGCACGATCTTGGCTCACTGAAACCTCTGCCTCCTGGGTTCAAGCAATTCTCCCGCCTCAGCCTCCCAAGTAGCTAGGATTACAGTCATCCACCACCACCCCTGGCTAATTTTTGTATTTTTAGTAGAGATGGGACTTCATCATATTGGCCAGGCTGGTTTGAACTCCTGACCTCAAGTGATCCACCTGCCTCGGCATCCCAAACTGCTAGGATTACAGGTGTGAGCCACCACGCCCGGCCAAGTGTCAATTTTTTTAGTACAGTATTTTTCATCCTTGAGAAATATGATCGACAGTGATATTGTAATTACATATTTTAGGAAAGAGCCCTTCTGTTTTAGATGTACATACCAAACTATCTACAAATGAAAAAATGTATCTCAAAGAGAAAGTGTAAGTCAGGGTATTAAAAGAAGAATGTTTAGTTCTCCAAGGGTACCCCCTTGACGTGCGCATCTGTTGTTCAGACTTCTTCCATCTGAGCCCAGTGCAGGGAGGTGTTCAGGAGTGCATCACAGGCATGTGAGGCATGGGGCTGGAGAGCAGGCTTCACCAGCTCCATGATCTTCCGGCCTCAGAAGGATGGTCTCAGCTATGTGACTCCTGCTGTGTCTCCCCTTTTTTGAACTCTGCTCTAAGCTATGCCTTGAGGTACAAAGGGGAGCAGGGCAATCTACATCATTTGGAGGGCCCAGTGCACAATAAAAATGTGAGACCCTTGTTCAAGAAGTAGGAACAAGTGACATTGAAGGTACTAAAATTCGAAGCACATTTTTTTCTCTTTCTTCAGTTTCTCTCTTCACTTGTGATGGTGGTTTTGATTTTTGTTTGTTGCTATTTAATGCCACTTTCCCTTGGGCATGAGGATATAATACTTTCATGGAAGATCTAGACCCTTGCATTACGAAGGGCCCCACTTTGCAACTCAGTGCACCCATGTGCACTCCACTAGCTGCCAGGCTCCCCTTCCTGCCAGCCCCTAGACAAATGCCCTGTGCCTGGCCAGAAGCAGCTAAATCAAGCCAGGCATCTCTCCTTCCCAAGCATCTGCTTCCTCAACCCAGCACATAGGGTAGACCCCCAAAGGATCATAATCTCTGTGCCAGAACACTCCTGGTACCTGCACTAGAGATGGGTGAAGGGCTCACACCTGCCAAGTAGCCCAGAGAGCATGCCATGCTGTCTGCAAAGAATTACAATTTTATCCTTTACAGTCCTTCTTTTCTGTTATTTATTTCTTGACTTAGTGCAATGGACTAGAACTTCCAATACAATTTTCAATCGAAATGGTGAGAGCAGACATGCTTTCCTTATTCCTGGTCTCAAGGGGAAATCTTTCAGTATTTCACCATTAAGTATGATGTTGGTGGCAGGTAGATACTCCTCTCCTCTCCCCACCCCCATTAAATAGGTATCTTTATATTCCATTATCAGAATTAGTTACCATGTTCTGTTGCTCTTGTTGAAAAGTCAGTTGTTGGTCTTACGTTTTTGCTCCTTTAAAGGTAATGTGTTTTTTCTTTTCTCTAGCTATTTTAAAGCTTTTGGGGGTTCAGCATGGTGATTAAAGTTAATAATATTATATTTTTCACTTGAAATCTGTGAAAAGAGTAGATTTTATGAATTTTATCTTATTTTATGAATTTTTATTTTTATAGATTTAGAGAGTACAAGTGCAGTTTTGTTACATGGAGATATTGTGTAGTGGTGACGACTGGGATTCTAATGTGACCATCACCTGAATACTGTACATTGTACCTATTAGATAATTTCTCATCCCTCACTCCCCTCCCACACTAAAGAGAGTAGATTTTAAGTGCCACATCACACACACCCACACACACACACACACACGGTAACTAATTCTGATGTTAATTAATTTGGTTGTGATAATAAATTCACTGTGTATGTGTGTGTATTAGTCTGTTCTCATGCTGCTGTAAAGAACTGCCTGAGACTGGGTAATTTATAAAGGAAAGAGGTTTAATTGGCTCACAGTTCCACACGGCTGGGGAGACCTCAGGAAATTTACAATCACGGTGGAAGGGGAAGCAGGCACCTTCTTTGCAAGGAGGCAGGAGAGCAAAAGTGAATGAAGGAGGAACTGGCAAACACTTATAAAACCATCAGATCTTGTGAGACTCACTCACTATCACGAGAACAGTATGGGGGGGAACCGCCCTCATAATCCAATCACCCCCCTCCCTTGACACCTGGTGATTACAGGCCCCTCCATCAACATGTGGGGATTACAATTTGAGATGAGATTTGGGTGGGGACACAGAGCCAAACCATATTAGTGTATATCAAATCATGTTGTACACCTTGAATATACGCAATTTGTATTTGTCAGTTATACCTAATAAAGCTGGGGAAGAAAAAATATATTTTTTGGTCTTGGTTTTCATCAGTTTTACTGATTTTCCTAGAAATAATTTATCCTCTTTGGAGTTGGCAGAGCATCTTGATTCTGTGGTTTGATGTCTTTCATCAGTTTTGGAAACTTTCCAGTTTAGTATCTTTTCAAATATTGCTTGTCCCCATCCTCTCAGCTCTTCTCCACTGCAATTATACCTATGTTAGATCTTCATGCTGGCTCTGCATGTCTTGTATGCACTTTTTGGTGCGGTATTTTTCATCCCTGAGAAAATTTAGTCTTGTGTCAAGACTAAGTCTGATTTCCTTTATACTGGGGCACAGTCCTTCTGGGATCACAACTGAAAGCCTGGGGTATTTACCAGGGTCCCTCTTCTCTGGCAGGCCCTGAATGATGATTTTTATATCTTCAGCACCATTAGACTTGTATGGTTTCCTGGAGCTGAAGTAAGTAAATTACCACAAATGGGGTGGTTTTTGAAAAAGAAATTTATTCTCTCACAGTTCTGGAAGCTAGAACTCTGAAATCAAGGTGTCAGGAAGGCCATGGTTCCTCTGAAGGCCCCATGGAAGAATCCTTCTTTACCTTTCCCAGCCTGGCCCCAGGCACTCCTTGGCCGTGGCTGCCTCACTCTAATCTCTGTCTCCTTGGCCACATCTTCCCCTCTGTGTGTCTCTGTGTCATCACCTCTTCCTATAAGGACACCAGTCATTGGATTAGAGACCACTGTAAATCCAGGAAGATTTCATCTCAAGATGCTTACTTATTACATGCCCAAATATCGCTTTCTGAGACTTAGGGAAGACGTGAATTTTGGGGGTACATTTTTGAAGTCAATAAGACTGTTGTTGTTTTGATTTGTAATTTCTTTACAGCAGCTATTTGTTTTTCAGTCCTGAGCTGGAAATACCTATAGCAAAAGCCACATGGAATGTGAAGCTCATATCTCTGCAGTCCCCCCTTCCCCTGAATTTTTGCCCCTCAAGTACTGGCTGCCTTGGTAGTTCTACATTCAAATAGTTTTTCTTTCCAGCCTTCTCAATGAGACCGATGCAAGTTCCCCGCTACTGCTTTTTATTCATCCCCTGTGGCCTGTACTTCAAATCGGCAGATGCTCCGAGGGAAAAAGTAGAGGCTAGAATGGGGCTCACCTCAATGTGTTTCCTCAGGACCTCTCCAGGATCCAATCTGGATGTCTTGTTTGTTCTCTCAGGCACTCTGAATGCTGTCTTTTGTATTTTATCCAGCTAGTGTAGTTGTTCCTAATACAAAGTTTGCTAAGACACTTCTTCATAGATGGAAATAGACATCTAATATGGCACTTCTTCTATTCTAGGTTCATGTCTCCAGATCACAGGTAACTATCTCCAGTGTATTGCCTTCCAGAGCCCAGTTATTGAGGGATGTGCCTTTTATTTTTTCCCCTCCTCTTTACTGTGTTTACAAAGAAGGATGTGTCTATGAGCTTGCCTTTGTTCTCTTGGAGCAGGGATGCTTCTGAAATGTAAAGAAAGAAAAAACGAGATAGGTCTTGGGAAATAGTGGGACATGTCAGAGCAACATGGGGCTCTTGTCACCTTCTTTCTGTATAGGATCCTTAACAAAATTTGAATATCAGGCATATAAAAGAACAAACTGCACAAATAAGCCACACAATATTGACATTGCATGCTGTGATCTGAGCAACCAGAACAAGAGAGGGGTTATGTCCATAACAGTTTTCTTTTCTTTTCTTTTCTTCTTTCTTTCTTTCTTCTTTCTTTCTTTCTTTCTTTCTTTCTTTCTTTCTTTCTTTCTTTCTTTCTTTCTCTTTCTTTCTTCTTTTTGACAAGTTCTGGCTCTGTCGCTCAGGCTGGAGGGCAGTGGCACAATCTCAGCTCACTGCAACCTCTGTCTCCCAGGCTCAGGTTATCCTCCCACCTCGGCCCCCTGAGTAGCTGGGACTACCAGCACATGCCACCATGCCTGACTGATTTTGTATTTTTTGTAGAGACAGGGTTTCGCCATGTTGCCCAGGCTGGTCTCAAACTTCTGAGCTTAAGCGATCCACGCACCTTGACCTCCCAAAGTGCTAGGATTAGAAGCGTGGGCCACCCTGCCCTGCCCAAGGGTATGTTTCTTAAAATGAGCTTTTTTAATAAGGTGGTATGGATGCTACCCGTTTTACGTTATACAATCCTCAAAATTTATGGTATAGGTACTATTATTAGTCACTTTGACCGATGAGGAAGGTGAGGTATAGGGAGGTTAATTAGCCTACTGTCTACCTCTGGGTAGATGCTCTTTAACTTCTGTTATATTGCCTTTTAGTTCATTGGTTCCTTTAGTAAAACCACAATTTTTTTTTTTTTTTGAGACAGAGTTTCACTCTTGTTGCCCAGGCTGGAGTGCAATGGTACTATCTCGGCTCACTGCAGCCGCTGCCTCCCTGGTTCAAGCAATTCTCCTGCCTCAGCCTCCCAAGTAGCTGGGATTACAGGCGCCCACCACCACGCCTGGCTAATTTTTTTGTATTTTTAGTAGAGATGGGAATCTCATCATGTTGGTCAGGCTGGTCTTGAACTCCTGACCTCGGGTGATCCATCTGCCTTGGGCTCCCGAAGTGCTGGGATTACCGGTGTGAGCCACTGCACCTGGCGTAATACCACATTTTTAACTATAAAATGTAAATTTTGGGGGGAAATGAAATAATAATAAAATGAATGAGCCTTTTAGTAACTTTTTATATAATTCCCAACTTACATGAGTGTTGCAAGAACACTCATGTACTTCTACCTAAATTCACACATTGTTTACATTTCCTCCCATTTGATGAATCATTTTCTCTCTCTCTGATTCATTTGAAAATAGGTTGGAGATATCCTTTACCCTTTATCCCCAAATACTTTAGTGTATATTTCCTAAGAACAAGATTACTCTCTTACATAACCTTGATACAATTATTAAAATTAGAAAATTTCCTGTCAAAGGACTGCTATTATTTAACCCAGAATTAATCTTTGAAGTTCATTAATTTTTCCACCAAGGTGCTTTATAACTTTTTTCTCCCTGACCCAGGATCCGATCCCGGATCATGTATTTCATTTAGCTGTCATGTCTCATGAGTTTCCTTTGCTCTGAAGCAGCCCCTCTGCCTTTCTGTCCGCTGCTGCCTGTGATTAGATCCAGGTGAGGCATCACTGGCCAGAGCGCTGTGTTCTCATTGCATCCTTTCAAGTGTACATGATTTTCATTGGCCCTATTACTATTGATGTTAAATTTCCTCATTTGATTAAGGTGATATCTGTCTTCCCCACCGGGAATTTGTTTCAATTCTCTTTGTAATTAGTAAGTTTATTTTCTTTTCTTCTTCTTCTTCTTCTTTTTTTTTAGTTATGGACACCTCTCACAAATATAATGTAATTAGTAAGCGGCCAGGCATGGTGGATCATGCCTGTAATCCCAGCATTTTGGGAGGCCGAGGCAGGCGGATCACTTGAGGTCAAAAGTATGAGACCAGCCTGGCCAACATGATGAAATCCCATCTCTACTAAAAATACAAACAATTAGCAGGACTCCTGCAGTCCCAGCTACTCAGGAGACTGAGGCAGGAGAATTGCTTGAAACTGGGAGACAGAGGTTGCAGTGAGCTGAGATTGTGCCACTGCACTCCAGCCTGAGCGGCAGAGTGAGACTCTGTTTTAAAATAATAATAATAATGTAATTAGTAAGTATTTTTGTGGGTGACTTTGAGACCATATATTTGCCATTCCCCATCAGACTCTACTGGGCTGTGATACCTCATGCCTCCCATGTGTTAGTTTCTCTCTCTCTCTCTGTCTCTCATCGTGTCTTACTTGGATCATTTATTGGAGAAGCACATTTTCAATTAGCTTCCTGAGAAAGGATGCATGGGAGTCCACATGTTTGGGATTTTGCCAATCTGTGTCTTCATTCTACATTCATTCTCGAATTGTTGTCTAGTTATATAATTCTAGAGTCTGGAAATTGTATTTGAAGCTGTTGCTTTACTGTCTTCCAGCATCAATGTTGCTGTTGAGAAGTTGATATCATCCTAATTTTTAGAAATAGAAACTATTTTTTCCCTGTGAAAGACCTTAAGATTTTTTTTTGAAACAATCTTTATGGGGGCTTTGCTCCATTCATTGTGCTGGGTACTCTCTGGCCTATTCAGTCTGGAAAATCATGCATTTCAGTGGTGGCAGTTGTTTGGGGTCTTCCTTCTTTAATTTTTTTTCCTCTCTGTATTATCTGTCTTCTCTAGACCACCTGTTGTTGGATGTTGGCTTCTGAATTGACTTTTTGCTTTTCTTTTTATCTTTTTCTCCTCTGGTTTATCTCTGTCATTTTGTTCTACTTTCTGGGATAATTTTTTCACTCCATCTTCCAATCAGACTACTGAATTTTTCATTTTAGCAAATGCATCGTTACTTTCTAAAAGCCCATTCTTGCTCTCTGATTGTGCCCTCTTTTTCTCTATCATTCTGTTCTTGTTTTATGGATGCACTGTATTCTCTTTAAAAATTTTGTTTTTAATTTTTGAGCTTCTCATCTGCTGCCCACATTTGTCTTTTCTCCTGTTTGTTTTTTTGCCTGTCGCGTGAGAGACCATCTCATATTAAAATGCTGGGGAAAAATGTCTGTAACCTGTGTAAGAGAATGGTGTCTAATATGATAGAGAACAAAACAAACCAACAAAAAAGGAAAGATCCTGGAGAGTTCTCCTGTAAGAGAAGGAGCCTGCAGGGAAGGTCTGCAGAGTTTACTGGGACATGTGGTGGTTGGGCTTCTCTGCAGGGTGATTGGAGGGCTGTTTGTTTGTTTGTTTGTTTTAACCGGGGGCCCTAACTGTTAATCTCAGCAGTATTTTTACTGAGGCCATTTAGATTCTTCAGAGACAAATCCTCCAATTTCTTGCCTGGAAAAAAGGCACCTCATTTTCAATGTTCTGGGAGCTGAGTGGGAGTACATGGCTATTCAGGACATAGATCTTCGCTTAATTCTCCTATTTCCATGCAGTGCCCACCCCCACCCCCTGCTGTGCCTGCCCTCTCTGAGTTCAGAGTCTCTGGGAATGGAAGATTTTGAGACAAAAGCATTTGGGGAAAAAAAAAAGTTTGCTTGAAAAAGATCTGCAAGGATGTTCCGGGGCTGGAAGAAATGGATCATCAAATAAAACAGGCATTTAAAGTAAACAAACGCAAAAATTACAAAGGCCACTGAGTTTATAGTAGTCTGTGCATGGCAGAGAAACAAAATTCATCACACAATTGTCATATCCACAAAGGTCCTGATAAATCCTTAAGCAGCAGCATTGCAAAAGTCTGGGGTAAAGGTTTCATTGAGGAGTGAGTAACTTACAGGAAAGGCACAAGGTTTTCCTCATTTTAGGTGACCTTGTTTTGTTTGTTTGTCTCAGGTATGTTGTGTTTTTTATTTCTGACTCTGGGATGAGGTGTGCATGGTTACATAAGTGAGTACCACTTTGTCTCTACAGTTCCACAGAGTGGTCAAGTTTCTGGCCCTAAGGCACGTATTTAACGATGAGTTTGTTTTTATGATTGATTTGATTCAGTATTTGTTAATTTGATGTTTTGTTTTATTTGATAATTTGATGTTTTATTTGGTAAGATTTATTTACTTAGTTGTAAAAATAAGTGTTTAGGCTGGGCATGGTGGCTCACACCTGTAATCCCAGTACTTTGGGAGGACGAGGCCGGCGGATCACCTGAGGTCAGGAGTTCAAGACCAGCCTGACCAACATGGTGAAACCCCATCTCTACTAAATACAAAAAATTAGTTGGACGTGGTGATGCAGGCCTGTAATCCCAGCTACTTGGGAGGCTGAGGCAGGAGAATCACTTGAGCCCAGGAGGCAGAGGTTGCAGTGAGACAAGATTGCACCATTGCACTCCAGCCTGGGCAATAAGAGCGAAACTGTCTAAAGAAAAAAAAAGTGTTTATTAATACTACTATTTAGAAGAAGGCCTTCCTGTGTGTGTTAACAATATTAGAGTCATATGACACTAAGACCTAAGGGTTAACTTTTGGCTGGATTCTCTGGGAAGCTCCTACTCATATGTATCTAAAGAATTTACTATTATCTGTCTGGGCGCAGTGGCTCACGCCTCTAATCCCAGCACTTTGGGAGGCCGAGGCAGGTGGATCGCTTGAGCCATGGAGTTTGAGACCAGCCTGGGCAACATGATGAAACCCCTTCTCTCCAAAAACAAAAACAAAAAATACAAAAATTAGCTGGACATGATGCTGCACGCCTGTAATCCCAGCTACTGGAGAGGCTGAGGTGGAAGGATCATTTGAACGTGGGAGGCAGAGGTTGTAGTGAGCCGAGATCGTGCCAGTGCACTCCAGCCTGGGCAACAGATCCAGATTCTGTCTCAAAAAAAAAGAAAAAAAAAGAATTTACTATTATCAGCACATCTGCTGAGAATAGCCAACCAAGAACCAGCCATTTATCTACACCTGGTTTTGCCTACAACGCCTATATCTGTAAGAGTCTCTTCTTCCTCAAGGTTATAGATGCCTCATGATTCTGTGGGTTGACTGGGATGAGCTGGGTGGCTCTTCTGCTGCAGATGACATTGCTTGAAGCTGCAGTGGCTCCACTGGGCAGAGGCATCCAAGATGGTTCCCCACATGTAACAGAAGCCCTGGGGCAGGACTGGCTGATTCTGAGCTGCCTCTGAGGAAGTGCTCCAGGACCCAGAAAGCACTAGGGGTTCCAGTCCTGAGAACCAGGCCCTGGAATGGGACAGGAGTGAGGCAAAACTCAAAGCCAGTTCCAAAGAGGTGGGAAGAAGGGGCATCTAGAAGGCCAGGCTTAGCTGGAGTTGGGGGCCTGCCTTCCTCCATGTGGTCCCATGGTCTCTCTCTCTCCTCTGGCTTCTCCACATGGTCTCTTCAGCAGGGTCACTGCACTTCTTTTGTGGCAGCTCCCGGCTCCCAGTAGTGTAAATGCAGACTCTGCCACGGCTTCTGAAGGCTGGGGCCTGGACCTGGCATGGCACCTGATATGGTTTGGCTGTGTCCCCACCCAAATCTCATCTTGAATTGTAGTTCCCATAATCCCCACATGTCATAGGAGGGACCAGGTGTAGATAATTGAACCATGGGGGCAATTTCCCCCATCATGTTCTCGTATTAGTGAATTAGTTCTCATGATATCTGATGGTTTTATAAGGGGCCTTCCCCTTCACTGAACACTCATTCTTCTCCTTTCTACTGCCCTGTGAAGAAGGACATGTTTTCTTCCCCTTCTGCCATGATTGTAAGTTTCCTGAGGCCTCCCCAGCCATGCTGAACTATGAGCCAGTTAAACCCCTTTGCTTTGTAAATTACCCAATCTCAGGTATGTCTTTATTAGCAGCATGAAAACGGACTAATACAGCATCACTTCTGCATATTCTGTTGGTTAAAACAGTCACGGTCCAGCCCAGATTCAAGAGGAGGGGAAATAAATAGTATCTCTTTAGTGTGGGGAATAACAAAGAACTTGGAATCATTTTTTATTCTCCCACATCAACACCAAAATCTGTGTTTGTTCCCTGGGGCTGCCGTAACAAATCACCACAAACTGGGTGGCTTTAAACAACGTAAGTTTATTCTCTCACAGCTCTGAAGGCCAGGAGTCTAGAATCAAGGCGTGCTCCCTCCAAGGGCTCTAGGGGAGAACTCCTGCTGCCTGTTTCAGCTTCTCGTGGCCCCACACTCTCTTTGGCTTGGGCAGGATTTGTTTTCACGTGGCTTCTTCCCTGTGTCTTCATACCACTGATCTCTCATTCTCTTTGCTTTTTTTGTACGAAGACATCAATCATTGAATTTGGATCCCATATCAAATCCAGAATGGTCTCATGTCAAGATCCTTAACTTGATTACATCTGCAAAGACCCTATTTCCAAATTAGGTCATATTCACAGGTGCTGAGAGTTAGAATTTCAACATCTTTTGCAGGAATACAATTCAACCTAGAACAGCAGTATGACTGTCTTTTATTTAGCCTGCTCAGAATATGTTGTACTCTCTGGATATGTGGCTTCATGTTTTAAATTAGTTTGGGAAAATCTAGTCATTACCTTTTAAAATATTGCCTCTCTTCCTTTCTCTCCATTTTTTCCTTCTGTGTTCCCAGTCAGATATAGACTACAGCAGGGGAAATTTTTTTTTTTTTTGAGACAGGGTCTCACTGTCACTGAGACTGGACTGCAGTGGTGTGATCATGGCTCACTGCAGCTTCAACCTCTCAGACTGAAAGCAATCCTCTCGTCCCAGCCTCCTGAGTGGCTGGAACCACAGGTGTGTGCCACCATGCCCAGTTAATTTTTAATTTTTTTTTTTTTTGTAGAGACAGGGTCTCACTATGTTCCCTAGGCTGGTCTCGACCTCCTGGGCTCAAGCAATCCTCCCACCTCAGCCTCCCAAAGTGCTGAGATTGCAGGCATGAGCCACCACGACTGGCCCAAACTTTTTTGGTAAAAGGCCAGAGAGTAAATATTTTAGGCTTTGAAGGACATGTACATTCTCAACTCTACTCAACCCTCTTGCAGTGTGACAGAAGCCAAAGGCAGTGTGTAAACAAAGGAGTTTGTTTTCCAATAAAACTTTATTTATAAAGACAGGTGGTGTATTAGGGTTCTCTTAGAGGGACAGAATATATATATGTGCGTGCGTGTGTGTGTGTGTGTGTGTGTGTGTGTATACATATATATATATAGGGGAGTTTATTAAGTATTAACTTGCACGATCAAAGGTCCCATAATAGGCCGTCTGCAAGCTGAAGAGCAAGGAGAGCCAGGTCTGAGTCCCAAAACTGAAGAACTTGGAGTCCGATGTTCCAGGGCAGGAAGCATCCAGCCTAGGAGAAAGGCCCATCTCTCCTTTTCACGTTTTTCTGCCTGCTTTATATTCACTGGCAGCTGATTAGATGGTGCCCACCAGATTAAGGGTGGATCTACCTTCCCCAGCCCACTGACTCAACTGTTAATCATTTTTGGCAATGCCCACGCAGACACACCCAGGATTAATACTTTGTATCCTTCAATCCAATCAAGTTGACACTCAGTATTAACCATCACAGGTGGCCAGCAGGATTTGGCACATGAGCCATTGTTTCCCAGCCCCATGCTAGACCTCCTCATTCTAGTCTCCATATCCTTTATATTTTTCACATTTCCAGCTCTTTATTTCTCTGCTGAATTCCAGATAAGTTATTCAAATATATCTTCCAGCTCATTAATTCCCTCCTTAACAGTGTAATCAACTGTTTAACTTGTCCATTCAGTTTTTTAATTTAATAGTTATAGTAATACATTTTTTACAATTTAATTATGTTTTTTTCCTGATTCTATCCATTCATGCTTCATAGTTTCTTCTTGTTTATTCATCTTTATAAGTATATTCTTTCTTCTTTAAACATTGTATACTTAACTATTCTGCATTTTGTCGCAATGACAGAACATCTGTTGTTCTTGGGATGGAATGTTTCTTGCCCCGGTTAGCTGTCATTCATAGTGACTTGCCTTCCCAAGTATCTGTCAATTTTTGCTTGTGAAGTCATGCATAATTTTAATTTGTGGGATTCCTGCAAAACTAACTTGGGGAAAAGTTTCCTCCAAAGAGACTACCTCTGCTTGTGCCAATAGCTGGGGAAGCCCCCTCTCCTCCATTCATGATCACCTTAGAATCTCTCAAATAATTTTTCATAGAGTGAGAATCTCAGATTCAGGCCCCACATGGGACCCTGCCTCGGGACCACCTGACCCCCTGGCCTGTTGCCACAGGTTCAGGCCAGTTCTGATCACTCCGATTCTCAGTTAGTTACTCCGGCCCCAGCTCCCTGCCTTTCAACCAGCTCCTGAGTGTGGAGGCCCTGGTCACTGGTGATTCCTGTTCAGTTCTGGTCACAGGAGCGATCATCTACCTCCTTTCCTCTCCTGCACCTCCCCCATCCTCTTTCAGGCTCAGCTTTCCTTTGTCTGTGTCTGTCTATTTCATGGCATCCCTGAAGACTTCCACCTCCAGGAATATGTCATGTCTGAGATCTTGTTGGGAAGTAAGTCAGTCCCTCAAGCTCCTAGTTCTTCATGGTCTGGAAATAGAAGTTATCACTTACAGTTCTTTTGTAAAACTTAACTTTATATGGACATACACCCTTAACTCATTTGGTGTCATTTTGAACTAGAACAGTGGACTTAGGAGCGACCTTTTAGATCCCATCCCACTCACACCTGGAGGAGCTTTGGTGCCTACCTCACAGGTTAATGTGAGGATTAAATGAGACACTCTATGTGGAAGAACATAGCCCTGGATGTCGAGTAGGCACTTAGTACATTTTAGGTTTTCTATAAAATCAGATTCACAGAGGCCTTCTCCAGGCATAGCCTGGGACTCAGCCCGGACTGTGATTGTTCATCTTCACCCTCAATGATGTCTCCTTATCCTATCTGGTGCATCACCGTGCACTATAACCATCTTGTTCTTAGAAAATGACAGAATTGGTGGCTTACGCCTGTAATCCCAGCACTTTGGGAGGTAGAGGCAGGTGGATTGCTTGAGATCAGGAGTTGGAGACCAGCCTGGCCAACATGGTGAAACCCCGTCTCTACTAAAAATACAAAAACTAGCCAGGTATGGTGGTGTGCACCTGTAGTCCCAGCTACTCGAGAGGCTGAGGCAGGAGAATCGCTTGAATCCAGGAGGTGGAGGTTGCAGTGAGCTAAGGTCACACCACTACACTCTAGCCTGGATGACAGAATGAGACTCTGTCTCAAAAAAAAAAAACAAAACAAAAAAGAAAAGAAAAGAAAATGCCAGAATAAAGGTATAAACAAAACCGTGCTTAAAATGTGACTCCTTCCAGCAATGTTAATGTTTTGACCAGGGGCAAACCCAAAGAAAGGAAGCTCTAATGGTAGAATTTGGGACTTTAACCTAGTTGCTTCACTGGGTCAGCAAGGTTGAGGTCTTGGGGATTGTGACCCTTTCTGGCTTCTCCGAAATCACACTTTGTGTTCAGCGGCCACTGTGAAGTCTGACAGCAGAGACTTTGTACATTTGGAGACATGCTCGTAATTATTCCTGTTTTTATTAAGACTGAAGAATATAATGCAAAACCCTCTTCCATATGACCCCCTGCTGAAAAAGCAACCTACTCACTCTCACATTTATTGCAATTGCTGAACAGAGTTTTTCTCTGCAGAATTATAATGAGGAGTGAGTTTTCTAAGGGTGTGATTTATGAGCCATTCACAAATGGGTTTTAAATGGGGGCACTGACAGTTCCACTCCAGCTTTCTTGGCCCAAAGGTGTTGAAATAAGCCATTGGGAGGCTGGGGGAGGTTGGGTGGCGGGGGTTCTCACCAGGAGCCGGGGACACCCAGCTACTCCCAGCCCTCCCACGTGTGCGCCGTTCCACTCGGCAATACTGGATGATTCGCTTTGTTTCTCCCAAGGAAGAAATAACACATGCCGATATGAAGACTGAAGGTCTGATCTCTCCTGTGGCGCAGAAGGCACTAGAAATGGAAACATCGCACTTTTCCCTGCTCATGCGTCTCGGAATTTTAGAATTGTTGGGTTGGCATTTCACTTGTTTTTCTTTCTTTTCTCTTTCTCTGCTGCACATTTCAGCCAGGGGAGTGAGGATGGTATGCTAGATTGAAAAATGCCCCCCACCCAAAGCTAATCCCCGGAGCCTGTGAATGTGACCTTGTTGGGAGAAAGGATGTGACGGTTAAGGATCCCGAGGTGAGGTGATCATCCTGGCTTACCTGGCTGGGCCCCACATGGCACCCCAAGTGTCCTTAGAAGTGGGAAGCCGAGACAGCTTGGGCAGAAACATAGGGAAGGAGGCGCTGTGAACACAGAGGCAGAGATAGGAGGGGGATGCAACCACAAGCCAGGAATGCCAGGGAGTGCCAGGAGCTCCTGAAGCTGGGAGAGGCAAGGAAGGATCCTGCCCTAGCCCTGTGTACACCTTGTTGCCAGACCTCTGGCCTCCAGGACTGAGACAGAATACATTTCTGTTGTGTTAAGCCACCCAGTTTGTAGAAGGAAATGAACACAGATGATATGCCTCTACACCCATTCCAGAAAATTAACGAGGTGATAATTTGCAGAAGGCAGCCTCCCGCCCCTCCGCAGAGAGGCACCATTTTCCAGAGGCAAAGCTAGTTCAGCGCCCTAGAAAAGAGCCTGCAGCAAAGCTTATGTGTGAATCCCTTTTTGGGGTGGTGGTTGGTGCAACCCCAGAGAAGCCAGAGTGAGGGGAGAAGGAAAGGGAGGCAGAAAAGGAGGGGTGTCAGTGCTAGGCGGGGCTTTGCTCAGCTGGCCACAGCGCCCCAGGACATCGGGCACATGAGACATCTCAGGAGAAGCCACCTTTAACCACTGATGCTTGGGACAGGCTGTGGGATGGGGAGACAGGGAGAGCAGCTCTCTGAGGGCTCCTTCCTCTGTCTCTCCTGGGCAGAGTTTGCCTGGACCTTCTAGACTAGACTGCAGTTCCCAGCGGTGGGGCCGGCCAGGCCAGACCCAGGTGCCAGAGTCACTGCAGCTCCTGCCGTCAGAGGTGCAATGGGGGCTGGGCTAAGAGCCCCCAGTGGAGCGCTGAGATGGGGCTTGGTGGGGGTGGGCATGGCAGGAGGCCTCCCTGGGCCACCGCAGCTGGGAAGCCGAGGAGGTGGGCACGGTGGGGAGTCAGCGGACCACTGACCCCCAGGACAGGCCTCCCCAAAGCTTGGGGCTGGCAGCCAGGGTCAGCTTCCCCTCAGCTGGTGTCCCCTCAGAGACGGTAGACTTGAAGGCTAATTTGTCCCAAGCACACATACCCTGCCAGAGTCCCCTTTGCCAGCGCTGTGCTTCAGCCGTGTTTCTGCTGAAGTTTGCCAGCTCTTTCTCACTGACTGGATTCCTCCTCCTTGCTTGTCACCCACTATCATTTGGCCTTTGCTACTTTCTGTGTGTCCCACCATTTGCAGAGATGTCCTCTCCCATCTTATCTAACTTGCGTATCCAACCTTGCTCTCCTTTGGGCTCAAGACTTTTGTCCTATTTGTGCATCTGATTAGATATCAGAAAGATAAATCCCCCTTCGTTTTACAGAACAGGAATACAGAATTGGGAAGAAGAAGGAGAAAAAATGAGGAAGTTTTTTTTTTTTTTTGAGGCAGAGCCTTGCTCTGTCACCCAGGCTGGAGTACAGTCGTGCGATCTCAGCTCACTGCAACCTCTGCCTCCCAGGTTCAAGCAATTCTCCTGCCTTAGCCCCCTGAGTAGCTGGGATTACAGGTGTGCACCACCACGCCTGGCTAATTTTTGTATTTTTGGTAGAGACAGAGTTTCACCAAGTTGGCCAGGCTGGTCTCGCGCTCCTGACCTCAAGTGACTCACGTGCCTCAGTCTCCCAAAGTGCTGGCATTCCAGGCGTGAGCCACCGTGCCTGGCCAGGAAAAGATTTTTTGACAGATCAAGTAGGCACCAGGACACTGTTCCCTTTTGACAGGACAAGGAGAAGGCTAAACTTGTTAGGGAGGAGATATCTGAGCTGTTTCGAAATTGAATCTCGTTGGGTGAAGGATGGATCTAAGTCCTGCATATGGCCCCCATGTGTACACAGTCAGACTCTGGGGTCCCTCCTGGGGTCTCATGGTTGCTCCACAAAGCCAGGAGTGAGGAAATGGGCTCTTTATTAAAACAAAACATTGAAGCCCCCAGGAATTGGGGGAGGACAGGAAAGAAGGTGAACCATGCACCCAGCCCTCAATGGGGTCTTAGATGGCCCTAGCCCAATGGGATATGGGCAAAGAGTGAGTATTTCCAGGTGCCTGGCAGGGAGGTGTTGACAATGCCAGCCATGGGTCCCTGAGCTGAGGGACAAGGGGTCATAGGCTGTGGGCTGGATTGGAAGTCAGATCCTGCCAGAACAAGGGTGGCATTTTTCTGGAGGAGTGCCATCACCAGTGCCAAGAAAGGGGGTGACCAGAGTGGGCAGACACGGAGGGGAAGCTCCTGGAATTGATCTGAGAACGATGAATTGTCTAAAGAGTTACTTCAAAGGGATTATGCTTTAAATAACAAATAGCTGGAGTTGACCTTGACTTGGCAAGATTAATACCAGTGTATCCCACCACCAGCAGAAACGGGGCCTTGAGAGCCAAATTTAAGTTACAGAAAAAAGAAAATCTGCATTTCCCACAAACCAAGATGTCAGGGGGATCTTGTAGTCACTGCACAAATGTATTTCCTGACCCTGCAAAATCCAGCCCTTCTGCACTTGAGCAGAACATCAGTGCCCTTCGGGTCAAGGCCGGGTCCGAGAACCGGCAGGGCCACAGGAACTTCCCATGCACTGAAGAATCAGTTTTTTTACAGTGGCTCAGAGAGAGCACGGGGGAGGTCACCTACATGGTCCACACAGCCACGTGAAAGAACCCACGAGTGAGGCAGCAATTGTGGGTGAGGATGCTGGCCGTGGCCCTTGCAGAGGTGGGCTCTGGTGGGGCCAGTGGAAGATCGTTTTGTCCCAATAATGACAGCGGTGGGTATATAATGAGCAATTCTTCTCTTTCCCAATCCAGCACTAATTATACTATGTACCATTTAATTTAGACTTTGATAACCCCAAAATGTGACTTTACCTGCAGGTGCATAAGGTAGTTTTACAGAGTTCTTCAACTGTCCAAATGGCCTCCCCGCCTCCAGCCCTAACAGCTCTGGCCTAGGGAGCAGCTGGCCCATTCCAAAGATTGCTGGTGGTTGATACAATGAATCCCAGAGGCCAAAGACCCCCGCCTCCCTCTCCTACCAAGATCCTAGGCTTAGACCAAGAGCTCTGTGAATCTAAATGAATATTTCTTGCAAACACATTGGATGTCTGGTTTTCCACTGCCCGTGCTGAGGTCAACACGCTTTTCTGCTGAGGCTCAACCCAGCCTGGGAGACTGGAGATGGTAGTTCTCTGTTGGGTCCTCCACTCTTCTCAGCCTTCTCATGTTCCTCTCTTCTACGAGCCCCTAAACAGAACGCTTCTCTCCTTCAGAGGGTAGAAAAAGGCTCTGGTGCACGTCCACATATGGAGATACATGTGAGAAGAACAGTGGGCTCACCAGTTTTGAGAGGCATTAAACCATAATTTCAGTTTGGGTTCCGGCGATATCCTGCAAGTTTGGGAACACTGGTCCCTCCAAGACTACACCATACTTTTCAACACCATTGGATGGGGTGGGTTTATCTCCCTGTTCAGTGAGCATGCTTTTCATTCTGCTGCCCTCAGCTGGATCCAGTGCCCTGAGCCTCTCTGGTTCACCTGGTCAGAGAGGAAATATCCAGTATTCTGAAGGGGAGGGCAAGCAGCAGACATTCAGAGATCAGGTGAGCAGCACCAGCAACACTGGTGCACCCAGGAGGGGCCTGAGGGTCTGCCTTCCCCTGCACAGTCTTCCAACCAACCCTCCTCCGCAGCTTGCTGGTGTACTCTCACATTCAGAAATACCTGGGGCTGGCCGGGTGCCGTGGCTCATGCCAGAAATCCTAGCACTTTGGGAGGCTGAGGCGGGCGGATCGCTTGAGCTCAAGAGTTTGAGACTAGCCTGAGTAACATGGTGAAACCCTGTCTCTACTAAAAATACAAAAAAAAAAAAAAATTAGCTGAGTGTGGTGGTGTGCCTTTGTAGACCCAGCTACTTGGAGGGCTGAGGCAGGAGGGTCACTTGAACCTGGATGGTCAAGGCTGCAGTGAGCCGAGATCATGCCACAGAACTCCAGCCTGGGTGACAATGTGAGACCCTATGTCAAAAAAAAAAAAAATATATATATATATATATATATATGGAGCCCCTGATTTCTGAGTGTTTCTGTGATTCTGGATCAGAAATCATCTTGTTTCTTGAGGGCTCACCCCCTCCACCTCACTCCAGCTGGCAGGGCTCATCTCTCTCCAGCCCGCTAAGCCAGAGACCATTAGCCCATGCATTGTTCTCCCTTCAAAATATTGCTAAGCTTTCTCATATTCCACGGTTTCTTCTCCTGACCTTGTTGTCTCTGCAAGTGTGTTCCTTTTTTTGCCTTTACTGTCATTTTAGTGAGATTTGAGGAGAGTGTAGAGATAAACACATGTTGGCCGGGCATGATGGCTCATGCCTGTAATCCCAGCACTTTGGGAGGCCAAGACGGGCAGATCACGAAGTCAGGAGTTCGAGACCAGCATGGCCAACACTGTGAATCTCCATCTGTACCAAAAATACAAAAATTAGCTGGGCGTGGTGGTGCATGCCTGTGATCCCAGCTACTCGAGAGGCTGAGGCAGGAGAATCGCTTGAACCCAGGAGGCAGAGGTTGCAGTGAGCCGAGACTGCGCCACTGCACTCCAGCCTGGGTGACAGAGGGACTCTGTCTGAAAAAAAAAAAAAAAGAGAGAGAGAGAGAGAGAGAGAAACACCTGCCTAACTGGAAGCACCCTACAGTATCTTGATGTCTAGAGTAGCCTAGATTGGTCCTGTATAGACAGGAGACCTCCCTCCTTAGGGAGCTTAAGGGCCAAGAGTGGGTCACAGAGGGACCAGCGGGGTGTCCCGGATTGCCCCTGTTCTCTCTGGAGGCCAATCCCAGTGCTAAAGTGCAGTATACCTAAGTCACAGCTCCTCACCTTACAGGGGAAGCCTGAGCCCAGAGACCCGAAGTAACCCGCTGCGTGCCACTGCCAGCAAACGCACGACAAAATGACAAGGCTGGCAGGGAGATCTGGGCTGGGGTGTGGCCAGGGACAGCAAGTTGTCAGACTTTGTGCAACAGCGTTGTTGGCCTTCAGATTTGGCAGATTTTCATTCATTCGGGGAGTGCTGCCAGGTTTTGTTAATTAATTAAATGGAATTTATTAAATATAAAATGAAATGTCCATTTTCCTCTCTTCCAAGAATATGCCAAAATTGTAGCTTTACTCTTGTTTGAATGCTAATATTCTCTCTCGCTCTTTCTCTCTCTGTGTGTGTGTGTGTGTGTGTGTGTGTGTGTGTGTGTGTGTGTTTAAGGAGGAGAATAGCTATTGGTTCTGGAAAAAGTGTAACTAGGCTCTGAAATGGAAGTGCCCACTTCTGACCTTGGCTTCCAAACTCCCCTTTTCCTTCTGCACCCCCTCCTCATGTTGCCACTTTCTCTCTGGCCTCACAGCCTTGGCAGTGCTGGCCTCTGCCTGGACCCCTCTCCCCTCTCCCTTCTCTTCCCCTCCTCACTCCTGCTGCTTCTCCAGCTTAGATGCAGCTTCCTCCAGGAAGTCTCCTGAGATTTCCAGATGAGGGGAGGGCACTGATGAGGCTGCCCTGGGTGCCCCATTCTCTGCCTCGGGGGATTTGTCCCACATCATTGTGCTATCACCCCGAGTCTGTGAGCTCTGGAAGAGCAGCTGCCAGGCTTGCAATAATCTCTGCAGTAACCCCGGGCTACTGTCAGCACACCACAAATACTCAAGGGACTGAATGAAAGAGGTGGAATCCATCATTCTTTCTTTATTTCCTTGGCTTGAATCCCGCCTTTCATATTCATATTCATATCATATTCCATTTCTGATCTGTTTTTTATATTAAAAGTGTCATCACAAAAATTTAGCTGGGTCATTGCCGTCCCCTTCTAGTTGAGCATTTTGCTATTTTAATGCAAAAATAACTCTTTGAGGGAGAGGTGAACAAAGCTGTTAGATAAAATTAATTGGAGTCATTAAAAGTGAGTAAGTTTTTTTGGGAAAACCAGATTTTAGGGGCCAGTCCGGGGAAGCTCTGCAGGGGAGCAGCAGCTCCCGGGGTTCACCCCGCATTGCTCTCTGCTTTGTTCTGTGACCGCTGGGCTGTGGCAGCTGACTGGTGGTTCTCACTGGTAGCTGCTTAGTGGCGGTGACATATTAATTGAACCTCACTATTTCCAGGTGTGTGGCACACTCCAGGGTCACCAGTGCAGGGGGTTCATGTGTGTTCAATTACTGCTGCGATATGAAGGAATGCAACATGTCATTGTTCAAGTGTCAATTACCACCCCTCGCGGGGCTGCCTGAAAACTAAACCAATCAGCCCCTTCCCTGTGGAGCGTGTTCTGTTTGGGCTTGAAACGCTGTAAAGCACGCTGTAAACCATGTGCGTGTTCTCGAGAAACAGGGAAGAAACAGAGAGCCGAGAGGGGAAGGGCTAAAGGGCTGGTAAATTTATCTGGAAAGTTCAGGCATGTTCCCATTTATTTCCAGAAGGCACTAGGCAGTGTACAGGATATAAGATTGGAATTACAAAGTCACAGAGAGCTGAAATGATTCACTCAAGGATGCAACTATTTGCTAGGGGCCAGAGATGATGAAATATCTGTCGTTGTATATACCGGAGTTTTTATATGAAGCTAGTTTATGGACTTTACTTTTTTTTTTTTTTGAGACAGGGTCTTGCTCTGTCTCCCAGGCTGGAGTGCACTGGCACAATCATGACTCACTGCAGCCTCGACGTCCTGGACTCCAGCAATCCTCCTGCCTCAGCCTCCGGAGCAGCTAAGACTTCAGGCATGAACCACCACGCCTGGCTAATTTTTTTTGTAATTTTTATAGAGATGGGTCTCACTATATTGCCCAGGTTGGTGTCAAACTCCTGAGCTTAAGCAATCTTCCTGCCTCAGCCTCTGAAAGTGCTGGGATTACAGGTATGACCCACAGTGCCTGGCCAACCATATATATATATATATATATATATATATATATATATATATATATATATATGTATATGTGTGTATATATATATATATATGTATGTGTATATATATATGTAGGCCAACCATATATATATATATGTATGTGTGTGTGTATATATATATGTATGTGTATATATATATATATATATATATATATATATATATTTTTTTTTTTTTTTTTTTTTTTTTTTTTTTTGAGATAGAGTCTTGCTCTGTCACCCAGGCTGGAGTGCAGTGGCACGATCTCAGCTCACTGCAACCTCCGCCTCCAGGATTCAAGCAATTCTCCTGCCTCAGCCTCCTGAGTAGCTGGGATTATAGGCGCACGCCACCCTGCCCAGCAAATTTTTGTATTTTTTTTAGTAGAGATGAGGTTTCACCATGTTGGCCAGGCTGGTTTCGAACTCCTGACCTCAAGTGATCCGCCTGCCTCAGCCTGCCTTGGCCTTCCAGAGTGCTGGGATTACAGGCATGAGCCACCGCTCATTTTACATTTTACATTTTAAATGTTTATAGCTAGCATTTACGTGAAGTGCAGAAATATACAATTATCTGCAAGTCTTGGCCCCATGTATATTAATCTAAAGTTGTGATAATGTGGCAATTGAAACATGAAATTAATTTATGTAAAACGTTGAAAAAAGCGAAGGTCTTCTGCCTGCTCCTGCTGTTGTGAACTGTCACCGAATCCTTTCCCCTTTGGATTTATTCGGACCGGCACGAGGCCATGACACACCAAGCCTGTCCCAGGAGGCCCCCTGTTGGAGGGATTGTTCTTTCCTTCCTTCCTTTTTTAAAAGGCATTTTTCTTAGAAGCCAGGAATGGTTATTATAATTAGTATTTATTATACTGTCTTCCTTCCTCAAAGTCACAGTGATCAATCATGTTTACCCTCCTTTAGTGCTGCCCTGTATGGAATAGATATTATCCGCCTTTTTCATAGCAACAAAAAGAGGGTTAACATTCTCATCCCAGGTCACCTGACGAATTATTCCATACTGGAAATCAAAGTGGCTTCAGCTCCACCACTGCTTAGACAAACAAGCCGCATTCCCACTCTCCATTCTTTCACTCTGGGGTGCTGGTAACCCTCTTTTGTTGACCTCTGTGTTTGTTCATCAGTGAGCAAATACTTGTCAAATACCTACTTTTAAATCTGTTCATTGTTGGTTGAAAGAATACAGATCAAATTCCAAACCTCAAAACCACACTGAACTCTTCTCCATAGGAAAAGTGGTCCTTGTTGGCCACTTTGATTTCATGCCGATTTCTTTTCTTTTTCTTCTTCTTCTTTTTTTTTTTTTTTTTTTTTTGACGGCATGATCTCTGTTCACTGCAAGCTCCGCCTCCCGGGTTTATGCCATTCTCCCACCTCAGCCTCCCAAGTAGCTGGGACTACAGGCGCCCACCACCACACCCAGCTAATTTTTTTGTATTTTTAGTAGAGGCGGGGTTTCACCGTGTTAGCTAGGATGGTCTCGATCTCCTGACCTCATGATCCGCCCACCTTGGCCTCCCAAAGTGCCCATTTCTTATTCTTTCTCCTTCCTTCCTTCCTTCCTTCCTTCCTTCCTTCCCTCCCTCCCTCCCTCCCTCCCTTCTTTCTTTCTTTCTTTCTTTCTTTCTTTCTTTCTTTCTTTCTTTCTTTCTTTCTTTCTTTTTTCTTCCTTTCTTCCTTTCTTCCTTTTCTTTTTTTTTGACAGAGTCTTGCTCTGTTGCCCAGGCTAGATAGAGTGCAGTGGCGTGATCTCAGCTCACTGCAACCTCCGCCTCCTGGGTTCAAGAGATTCTCCTGCCTCAGCCGCCCAAGTATCTGGGATTACAGGTGCCTGCCACTGCCCCCGGCTAATTTTTGTATTTTTAGTAGAGACGGGGTTTCACCACCTTCATCAGGCTGGTCTGAAACTCCTGACCTCGTGATCCACTTGCCTTGGCCTCCCAAAGTGCTGGGATTACAGGCGTGAGCCACCGCGCCCGGCCCTTTCCCCTCTTTCTACATCTCTTCCTTTAGTCCTTCCCTTCACAAAGCCTCTGTGTAATCACGTTGCCTTTCCCCTGGAATCTGGACGTCGGCTGCCGAATACATTGAACCCTATGGCACTGCTACTATTCAACGATTCTTAGCTCAAGGCTGCTTGAGCTGTAGCTTGTGCCATTGTAATCAGACTGCACAATACCTGGAAAAGAATTTTTAAAACAACACAATGCCATACAAATCTAAGGTGTGTGTTACTGCTTTTAATATTAATGTAACTACCTCACTTGTTGCTGGATTATCAACAAATGAGGTAGTTGCTTTAATTATCAACTTTCATTGATAATTTACTCATGAGAGCCCTCAATGAGGATCCTTCAAAAGAGCCATGTTCTCCCCTTTTGTGGGTGGTAAGTGGGACCTGATCAGGAAGGAGCACAGCTGGGTGTGCCCTCGTGGACTCTCAGGTGGACAGAAATTGGATGAGCGCCCTGTTGTGGATTGGCCGACCTAAGAGAGAGCAGGTGTCCCTGAGGGTAAGGCCTCCTGCCTGCCCAATTCATGCACCAGCAGTTAGGCTGCCATGTTGTCCTCATTACCCGAGAGCAAATCTCTTTCTACATAACTACAACTGCATTAATTTATTAAAATATAGCACAAGGTAAAGGAGAGAATCTGCTCTGATTCTCTGCCCTTGCTTGGGTTTCCATGGCTGGAATTTGCAAGCTGCTAAAGAAGACACAGCCCCACACACAAAACGGCTGAGAGGAAGACTTTTTGGGCTATCAGGCTGGGCTGAGCTGGAGCCCAGGGGAGTGAGCTGGTGCATGGGGCCCACAGCCTGGTGCCTCTGATTTTCTGATGACCTGGGCTCCAAGGTGGTAGTTGGCATGACCATGTTAATCAAACAGTTCAATAAAAATTCACTGAGGCCAGGTGTGGTAGCTCACACCTGTAATCCCAGCACGTTGGGAGGCCGAGGCAGGTGGATCACAAGGTCAGGAGTTTAAGACCAGCCTGGCCAAGATGGTGAAACCCCATCTCTACTAAAAATACAAAAATTAGGCCGGGCGCAGTGGCTCACTCCTGTAATCCCAGCACTTTGTGAGGCTGAGGCGGGCGGATCACAGGGTCAGGAGATCGAGACCATCCTGGCCAACACAGTGAAACCCTGTCTGTACTAAAAACACAAAAAATTAGCCAGGCGTGGTGGTAGGTGCCTGTAGTCCCAGCTACTCGGGAGGCTGAGGCAGGAGAATGGCGTGAACCCAGGAGGTGGAGCTTGCAGTGAGCTGAGATCGCGACATTGCACTCCAGCCTGGGCAACAGTGCGAAACTCCATCAAAACACACACACACACACACACACACACACACACACACACACACACAATATTAGCTGGGCATGGTGGCGGGCACCTGTAAAACCAGCTACTCAGGAAGCTGAGGCAGAGAATTGCTTGAACTCGGGAGGCAGAGGTTGCAGTGAGCCGAGACTGCACCACTGCACTCCAGCCTGGGCGACAGAGTGAGACTCCGTCTCAAAAGAAAAAAAAAATTCACTGAATGGGCTTATTAACAATCCCAGCCCTTGTCTCATACATGGTCTCAATTCAGAAAGCCTTTTCCTCCCTGTTATCTGGCTTGTGCAACGTTCACATGACCTGTCTTAGCCCAAGTCCCCAAGAAAACAGAGCCTGAGGCAAGGATTAAGGGCAAAGGCTTTATTTGAAAGGTGCACTCTTTGGGCAGTGAGAGTGTGGTCAAGGGGAAGTGAGGCAAGCAGGATGGGACGCAATGCAGCATGCCGTGTAGACAGAGGCCATTGCCTGGCAGGTATACTCATCAGCTCCATGGAGTGTCCCCAGATGGGCTGTGTGGAGTAACTGTGTTGAAGAGTAATAATTAGAGGGAGAAAGAGAGAAGGCTCTTGTCTGCTAGGCTTCCTCCAATCTCCTGCGTCCCATTGGCCCAAGTCCACACACTGGGAGATTAACTCCCCTGTACTATCAATTGCCTCATCCAGTTCCTTCCCCAGCCAGGGAGAAGCCAGATCCCATATCCTATGGTGTGGATTTCATCTGAGCCCCCACACACCAGAAGGAGCTAGAGATTCTGGGTGTGGAGCTGGTTGATTTCAGGCAGTAAAATCACATGGGCCCAAGGAAGTTGATCACCCATGGAGGCAGAACCCACAGATGAGGGCCTGGGGGAAGGGGAGGCTGAGAGAACCTGAGGAGTACATTAAGTGTGTCCAATACACGAGTCCACTCGAATGTCAATTAATAAATATTTATTAAGTGCCTCCTCAGCTCAGGGCTTCTGAGGACAAATCACACATGGAACATTAATTACAGATGCAATCAGGGGATTCCCACCTGTAGGATGGTCCAGGGGTAAGATACATGCCCAAGAGCATAAATAAAGTACCACGGCATCCAGGGGAGAGGGAATGTCTGCTAAACAATGCTGGACACACTCACTTGTTTCCAAAAGCTTATTAGTGCTACAAGCCTCAAGATTGAGCTGCTGGTGCTATCCAGGTATTATTTAACCTTATTTCATTTTTAAATTTGTATTTATTTATCTTTATATAATAAATAAATAAAAATATTTATAAATATATAAATATATAAAAAATAAATAAAAATATATTTTTATAAATAAAATTTATTTTATATAATAAATAAATAAATAAAATAATAAATAAATAAATAAATAAAGACGGAGTCTCGTGCTGTTGCCCAGGCTGGAATGCAGTGGTGCGATCCCGACTCACTGCAACCTCTGCCTCCTGGGTTCAAGTGATTCTCCTGCCTCAGCCTCCTGAGTAGCTGGGATTACAGACGCCTGCCACCATGCCCAGCTAACTTTTGTTTTTTTTTTTTTTTTAGTAGAGACAGGGTTTTACCATCTTGGCCAGGCTGGTCTTGAGCTCCTGACCTTGTGATCTACCCGCCTTGGCCTCCCAAATGCTGGGATTACAGGCGTGATTTTTTAACTTTTATTTTAAATTCAGGGATAAAAGCGCAGGTTTGTTACATAGGTAAACTTGTGTCATGGGAATTTGTTGTAGAGAATATTCCATCACCCAGGTATTAAGCCTCATACCTATGGGTTATTTTTCTTCATCCTCTCCCTCCTCCCACCCTCCACCCTCAGAAAGGCCCAGTGTGTGTGGTTCCCCTCTATGTGTCCATATGTTCTCATCATTTAGCTCCCACTTAAAAATAAGAACAGGCAGTAGTTGGTTTTCTGTTTCTGCATCGGTTTGCTAAGTATAATGGCCTCCAGCTCCATCCATGTCCCTGAAAAGGACATGATCTTGTTCCTTTTTATGGCTGTATAGTATTCCATGGTATAAATGTACCATATTTTCCTTGTCCAGTCTATCATTGATGGACATTTAGGTTGATTCCATGTCTTTGCTATTGTGAATGGTGCTGCAATGAAAATACATGTGCATGTGTCTTTGTGATAAAATGATTTATATTCCTTTGGGTATATACCCAGTAATGGGATTACTGGGTCAAATGGTATTTCTGGCTCTAGGTCTTTGAGGAATTGCCACACTGTCTTCCACAATGGGAGTGTAAAGTAGAACTAATTTACACTCCCACCAGCAGTGTATAAGCATTCCTTTTTCTCTACAACCTCATCAGCATCTGTTATTTTTTGACTTTTTTTTTTTTTTTTGACGGAGTCTCGCTCTGTCGCCCAGGCTGGAGTGCAGTGGTGCAATCTCAGCTCACTGCAACCTCCGCCTTCCAGGTTCAAGTGATTCTCCTGCCTCAGCCTCCTGAGTAGCTGGGATTACAGATGCATGCCACCACGCCCAGCTAATTTTTATATTTTTAGTAGAGACTAGGTTTCATCATGTTGGTAGGCTGGTCTCGAACTCCAAACCTTGTGATCCACCCACCTCGCCCTCCCAAAGTGCTGGGATTACAGGCGTGAGCCACCAAGCCCAGCCTGTTTTTTGACTTTTTAAAAATAGTCATTCTGACTGGTGTTACATGGCATCTCATTGTGGTTTTGATTTGCATTTCCACAATGATCAGTGATTTTGAATTTTTCATATGCTTGTTGGTTGCATGTAAGTCTTCTTTTGAAAAGCGTCTGTTCATGTTCTCTCCACACTTTTTAATGAAGTTGCTTGTTTTTTTTTTCTTGTAAATTTTTAACCCTGTTTTAAATAGCAGAAATAAATGCATTTCTAGAATGCCATTTCATTGGTCACTGATTCAATAGAGATTTGTTGAGAACGTATTATGGCCTGGCCACGTGCTAGATGCTTTCTCAAATTGTCTTATTGGGTACTCACCCCTGCCCTGTGGAGTAAGTTTATCAGCCCTGTTTTATAGTTGAAGAGATTATGGCTTAGACAGGTTAGGTAACTTGCCCAAGGTCACGCAGGTTTTAGGAAGCAAAGCTGGGATTTTTTTTTCCCTGCGTTTCTGGCCGTATGGTATGAGGAAGTGAATGTGGGGCACAGTGAATGCCCACTTGGGTGCTGATCCACTCAACAGGGGTGTATTGAGTAACACAACTGTGACTCAAACACCATGTCAGTGAGCACCAGGTGCTGACGGGCTTCCGTGGCATGCAGGTGAGCCAAATAAAAAGTGGCTTAAAATCTAAACTGGCTCTCGCTGGCACCTGATTTTTTTTTTTAAGTAAATTAATTTTGCTGCTTAGGTTTTGTTTGAAGAATGTTAAAAGGGACAAACGTGTTGGGATTTGGCAGCCCAGTTTTGCTTAATAAAGAGACAAGAGGGTGAAGGTGAGTGTGGGGTGGAGGGAAGCATAGGATGGAAAACCTGGCCCCACAGAGCTGGACAGTGACAAATCCAGGGTTGAGGAGGTGATAAGGGAATCATAGCTCAATGCAGCCTTGAATTTCTGGGCTCAAACAGTCCTGCCTCAGCCTCTGGAGTAACTGAGACTACAGGTGTGAGCCATAATCCATGGATACATTTTGCAGAGACAGGTCTTCTTACACTGCCCAGGCTGGTCTTGAACTCCTGGCCTCATGATCCCCACACTTTGACCTCCCAAAGCACTGGAGTTAGAGGCATGAGTCACTGCACCTGGCCAGGATAAGCTTTGAGCAGTGGTCTGTGAGATCTGCTCTTGACCTGGGAGCCCACCTGTGGATGGAGAATGGGAACTGGTAAACAGGATTCCCAGGACACTGAGAGCCACAGCAGTGCAAAGCTGACACCCAAACTGGAGTTGAGCAGAGCCAAACGGGGGAGTCAGAGCTCAGGGAGTTTAGGTACGCTTAAAGATCCCCTTTCCAAGCATTGTTCTGTTGCAGAGGCCTCCCATCTTTAAGAGCTAGAAGACGAGTCTGAATACGAGTCAAAATGCACAAAACAGGAGGCCCTTGTTGGGATAATCAAGAGGGATCAGGTTTGCCAAGGAGTCTTCAGCGCATGGTGGTTTGTGAAAGCAACCTAATGAGAGAAGCCAAACCATTGGCATCATGGACTTCTTCACTGCTTCAAGACCAGGTCTTTCTGCTGGCCAGTCTTGATCAGATCCAACACTTGCCTTGCCCCAGATCCTGGTTCAAGTGCTTCCCTATCGACCACAGCATGGAGGGCAAGGAGTTCCTGTCCAGTCCATCGGCGTGAGTTTGGAATGTTATTTCCCAGTAATCAGAGTGTCTCCCAGGAGCTTGGGCAGGGAGAGGGGATGGAATTGGGAGAGAAGTTCCTTCCGCAGCTTTACCCCCACCCCTGGGGTGAACCAAGTCCAGACCCTGGATCTCTTTCTCTACCAGCTTCTTCTCTTTCTTGCTTCCCCAGAAGGTGCTGCGGGCACGTCTCCATCACCCCAGGCTGGCTGTAGATCAAGGCAGCAGTCGGGAAATCCCTCCTTTTGGAGTCACTGAGGCCTTTCCGTGGAGCCCCCTCCCCCTTGACAAATAAACCAAGGCATGGAGATCATTACACTGCACATTATTAGGCAAAATTGGATTAATTAACCTCGTCTGGCCTCTCAGCTTGGGAGACAGAAAAACGAGGTCTACTTCAAAAGCAGCATTTTGAAAATGTCAGCCATGACTTGGTGATAAATATTTATAAATATATATGCTGCGTATCAACAGGGTGGCCAGTGTATTTTTACATGTAAGTACACAAAGGCACTCTGTTGTTACCACGCATTCAAAGCAGGAGCCTTGAAAGAGCCATTATGGCTTGGGCTATGAATGTTTATTAAGAATAATATGCAAAACCGGGCCCTGGCTGAATGAGCCCATTGACGGGTATCAGAGCAGCCAGCCCGGCACGGCAGATCGTCAGGAATGATAATCATGTTCCTACCAGGACTTGGCCCTGGCCGGGAGAGTGATGTGGTGTGTTGGCGGCCCTTGCCGCTTCTGGTCGCGGGTGTTTGTTCTGGAAACGTTGACTTAGGGCTTGACCGCGTCCTGAAACCGTGGCACTCAGGCCCAGAGTCACGGATCCATGTAAAGGATTTTTCCCGTGATGGAGCTCCAGGGAGTAATGGGAGGCCTAGATGCACGTTCCAACTAAATTGCTTCCTCCTCCCTGTCCTGGGAGTGGAAACATTTCTTAACGGGTTTTCAGCAGCAGTCCCTTTCCAGCCTATCCCCTGCTTTTCTTGTTAGAGACTTTTTCAGCTTCATCCCTCTGGGCATCCCAAGATCTCTTCCTCATTTTAGGGGACTTTCCATTCATTTATTCAACCAACAGTTATTGAATGCCTACTGTGTGCCCACATGGACCCAGGAGTAAGATAGGAGAAGGTAAACACACAGTCCCTACAAGTCCTTCTGGAAGGAGCCATGAAAATGCAGGTAGACAAACCACACTGATGATTTAAACACCCAGCAGGCCCAGGCTGGGGAGGGCTAGGTTGGGGGCGGGTGGCGGCAGTTTCAGGATGGGAAGTTCAGGAACCCTCTCCAGCAGCGGCATGGACAGCTGAGGCTGAAAGAGCCCTCCAGGCAGAACATCAAGGGCAGAAGGCCCTTGATAGAGACCAATGGAGGGACCATCAAGGGCAGAAGGCCAGTTAGGTGTGGGCTTGACGTCTTCAAGGACCAGAAAGGTAGAAAGGGGAGCTTAGCAGAAGCCAGCAGGCAGGGCGCACGTGGCTGAAAGCCGGAGGAAGCCCATCTTGGATGTTAGTCTTAGAAAACCAAAGATGGCTCCTGGGATGCTGGTTCCTTGAAATCTGGTGTTACTCATGCTCCCACCGCTGAAAGCACTTGGAGACATCCAGAGATATTTACAAATTATTGATTCAAAGTTGCCATTGTTGATTTATTTACTTAGAAACATCCTGGGGGAAAAAAAACATGGTCCGTGGATTTTGGGTGTTTTCCCCTGTTCTGTAGTGAGTTTGAGCTTAACTCTGTCTGCCATAACATTTGTCATCACAGAGCTGGATAGGACCCTCTCTATTTGATTCTGTTCCATCGGGGGCTTCCAAGGTGACTTATTTTCTTTCAGACACTCCTTGGCTCACTTATCACTCAGCATGGTTGAAAGATAAAATTTTAAAAATCAACTTTATTTATTATTCCAAGAATAGTTGACATCAAGATCAATACATCCAGACAGAAGCTATTAACATTTTAATGAGTTACTCAGTAATATTCCAAAGATGTGTCAATGAGTCATGGCCCCTTTGATTAAAGATGTACTTCAGAGACTACTGTAAATATATATAAGAAAGGCCCAGAGCAAGGAGCTGTCACCCATCAATCCTGGAGGAAGAGTGAGGGTTCATGAATAAAGAAGCTCACAAGGTGACTGTCCCTGGGCTACACAGTTTCCTGTAAGAGAAATAACCTTTTAAAATGCCATTGGTCTCCAATAACTGACAAACAAAGACGTCTACCTCTGCCGGTTGTCAGGTGTGTGCGTGGGGGGTGGATGCAGGGCTTCAGCAGCAGATAAGGTGGAGGAGAAATGTCCATGAGTCTCACTTGTAGATTCAGATCAGTATGGGGAGAGATAAAGCTTTGGAGGGAAAAACAAAGCCAGGAAAGGGGGACGTTATTGGAAAAGAGAAGACCGGGAAATCCTAAGAAGAGAGGACTGGGTGACAAAGGCCAACAGAAGGAAGTGTCCTCAGTGTACCCACATGGTTCCATCCAAGTATCAAACGCTTTGGCCCAAAGACCTGTCAGTCCTCATAATCACTGTTGGGCCCATTTTCTCCTCTACTTCATCTAACTTCCTAACGTTTCCTGGACAGGTACCCTAGAGGTCCCCCACGATCTATCTGGGGTCTAGACAGGCAGAGTCTAAAGCTCACCTCTCCCCAGGGAAGTGGGTAGTGGAATCTGATTCTGACATTGGGGTACCTCTGGACTGTGGTCTCTGAGAGGCAAACTTAATTCTGTGTTTGTGCCAAGGAGAAGAGGTCCACTTGTGTGTGAACTCGGGCCGAGGCACACCACAGGACCCCATGCGCCTGCTGGTGCAGACACAGAACCCATGGTTTGCTCTTGGGCTAGACCTTGGCGTGGGGGAAGGGGTGGGAGCCTGGGGGAGATGGTAGGGCATTACTGATATTCATCACTCTGGGAGGTTTCTAGTGGGGAGCTGCTATAGTTTGGATGTTTGTCCCCTTTAAACCTCATGTTGAAATTCAATCTCCCCAGGCCAGATGTGGTGGCTCCCACCTGTAAGCCCAGTACTTTGGGAGGCTGAGGCAGGAGGATTGCTTGAGCTCAGGAGTTCAAGACCAGCTTGGGCAACATAGTGAGACCCCATCTCTAAAAATTAGCCTAGTGTGGTGGCACATGACTTTAGTCCCTGCTACCCTGGACGCTGACGTAGGAGGATTGCTCAAGCCTGAGGAGGTTGAGGCTGCAGTGAGCCGTGATTGTGCCACTGTACTTCAGCCTGGGCACCAGAGTGAGACCCTGAAACAAGAAAGAAAGAAAGAAAGAAAGAGAGAGAGAGAGAGAGAGAGAGAGAGAGAAAGGAAGGAAGGAAGGAAGGAAGGAAAGAAGGAAGGAAGGAAGGAAGGAAGATCTATTGGAGGTGGGGCCTAGAAGAAGGTGTTTGGGTCGTGGGTGGCAGATCCCTCTTGAATGGCTTGGTGCCGTCTGTTCAGTCAATCCTAGGACTCCACCCCCTGGCCACAGGGAGTGACCCAGAGATGGGCCAGTGACCTAGGTCAAGGCTCCAGAATTCTCTCCTGGGGTTTTATGTATCAATGCTGGGAAGAGCAACACTCTTCCTCTCCTTCAGGTTTGCTGAGATGGAACAGCATAGGTTGGGAGCTCTCTGTGGCTATTTTCCACCCCCCACCCCACAAACCACATGCAGGGAGCCCATCTTCAGTCATGATAGTGACATCTAACATTTACAGAGCAGTTACCAAGTGCCAAACACTATCCCAAACATGCTTTATGAGAGTGACTCAATAATCCTCTCATCAGTCTTCTGAGATAGGTTTGTATCCCCATTTTGAAGATGTAGAAATTAAGGCACAGAGAGTTTCAGTAAATCACCAAATGCCACAGAGATATACAGTATGGAATTACTAGGACCTGAAGTCCAATAATTGGGTTTCAGAGCCTGAGTGCTTCAAAAATACAGAGAGAAGCAGGGCCGTGAGAGAGATGGATGAATGGATGGATGGATGGATGGACAGATGGATGGATGGATGGATGGATGGATGGACATAGGGCTGGCTGGCTGGCTGGATGGATGAATGGATGGATGGACATAGGGCTGGCTGGCTGGCTGGATGGATGAATGGATGGATGGATGGAGATATGGATGACTAGTTAACCAGGTAGATAGATAGGAGTTCTAGTGGCAACATACAGGTCCCTGTGTCTTAGTTTATTTGTGCTGCTATAACAAAATGCCTGAGACTGGGTAATTTGTAAGGAACAGAAATTTATTTCTCACAGTTCTGGGGGCCGGGAGTCCAAGGCACTCACAGAGGGCCTGGTCTCCACTCCCAAGATGGCACATGTTGCCACATCCTCCAGAGGGACGAACGCCATGTCTCACATGGCAGAAGAGCAAAAAGGGCCTAAGCTAGTTCCCTCCAGTCCTTTTTTTTTCTTTTTTTTTTGAGACAGAGTCTTGCTTTGTCACCCAGGCTGGAGTGCAGTGGCACGATCTTGGCTCACTGCCGCCTCCACCTCCCGGGCACAAGCAATCCTCCCACTTCAGCCCTCCAAGAAGCTGGGACTACAGGCTGGCTAATTTTTTAATTTTCAGTAGAGACGGGGTTTTTCTATGTTGCTCAGGCTTGTCTCAAACTCCTGACCTCAAGCAATCCACCCACCTTGGCCTCCCAAAGTGCTGGGATCACAGGCATGAGCCACCTCACCCAGCCCCTCCAGTCCTTTGTACTAATCCATTCCTGAGGGCGGAGCCTTCATGACCTAATCCCTTTCCAAAAGTTCCACCTCTTAATACCACCACAATGGCGATTAAGTTTTAACCCATGAATTTTAAGGAAAAAAATTCATTTTGAGGCCAACGTGGTGAAACCCCATCTCTACTAAAAATACAAAAATTAGCCGGGCCCGGTGGCACGAGCCTGTAATCCCAGCTACTTGGGAGGCTGAGGCAGGAGAATCGCTTGAACCTGGGAGGTGGAGGTTGCAGTGAGCCGGGATCATGCTGCTGCACTCCAGCCTGGGCAACAAAGCAAGACTCTGTCTCAAAAAAAAAAAAGGAATAATCTAGACATTCGTGGTGGCCCTTCATCTGACACAGGAGTATGAGCCATGAGCCTCTTTGGGGGTATGTTCAGGGAGGGATCTGTGTACCAGCTGTGAGATGAGGTAGGCCCCCCGGGCAGGCCCGGTGCTTTAGCGCCTCACCAAATTCCATCAGTCCCCCAAGGCTCACTGGGAGATGATGCCCGCCTCCAAGGTTAGCCTGTGGCATTTGATGCTCACCCTGGAAATGGCAGAAACACTTAATCCACCGTGGAATCAACTGATAAAAATAACTCTCAGCCAATAGCTTGTTTCTGCAAATTGCAATTAAGTGGCTGCTGGTACTTCCAAATAAATACGGTAACAATTTCCATCTCTGAGCAGCTTTATTTAATGTCCCGTGACATCTGACATACCATATCATTCTTCAAGCACCGAAACAAGAAACTCCATGTCATTCAACCCCTATTGCAGATGTGGAAGGCAATGGGTGGAGGGTGGCTTCCCAAGGACACTGTTGTTATCGTTGCATTCGGCTAAAGGGAAATCAGCCATGCATCAGGAACACGGGCCGGCGGGGAAGTCCTGGCCATTGCGTGTTCTTCCCTCAACGCCTCTATTCCTGAGTTGATGGTGTTTCTCCGGAGAGGAGAGATCCAAATGTTCTGGAATTGGGCCCTCTACACCCCTAAAGCCAAGGAGTTTTATTTTTAAAATATAAATACAATTTGCCAGGGGTATCCAGGTGAAATCAAAGATTAAAATCATGGCCTCTTGGGGCTTGCAGTGAGCCGAGATCGCGCCACTGCACTCCAGCCTGGGCGACAGAGCGAGACTCTGTCTCAAAAAAAAAAAAAAAAAATCATGGCCTCTTTTGGGGATGTAAGCAATAAGTGTGCATGCATGTGTGCGTGTGTGTGGGGGTGGGTTTATTGAAGTGAAATTCACTTAACATAAAACCAACCATTTTAAAGTGCACAATTCAGTGGCATTTCTACACCCGCTCCCTCTATCTAGTTCCAAAAGCCTTTCATCACCCCAAAAGGAAACCCTCTATCCACTAAGCAGTTGCACCCCATTCCTCTCTCCTCCTAGCCCCTGGAAACCACCAATCTGCTTTCTGTCTCTCTGGATTTGCCTATTCTGGGCATTTCATATAAATACAATCATGTCATGTGTGGTCCTTTGTGTCTAACCTCCTTCACCCAGCACATCTTCAAGGTTTATCCATACTGTAGGGTGACCAGAACTATTCCTCTTTGTGGCTGAGTAATATTCTGTCACATGCATATACAGCATGTGGGTTTTTAGTTGTGTTTTTTTTTTTTTTTTTTTTTTTTGAGACAGAGTCTCACTCTGTCACCCAGGGCTGAAGTGCAATGGCGTAATCTCTGCTCCCTGCAACTTCCGTCTCCTGGGTTCCAGCAATTCTCCTGCTTCAGGCTCCCTAATAGCTGAAATTATAGTCGTGCACCACCACGTCCAGCTAATTTTTTTTGTATTTTTAGTAGAGACGGGGTTTCAACATGTTGGCCAGGCTGGTCTTGAACTCCTTACCTCAAATGATCTGCCCACCTCAGCCTCCCAAAGTTCTGGGATTACAGGCATGAGCCACCATGCCTGGCCTCCTTTTTATGACTGAGTAATATTCTATAGTATGTATATAGAGTGTGTGAGGTTTTTTTTTTATTTTTATTTTTTCGAGACAGTGTCTGACTCTGTTGCCCAGGCTGGAATGCAGTGGTGCAATCTCAGCTCACTGCAACCTTCTCCTCCCAGGTTCAAGCGATTCTCATGCCTCAGCCTCCCGAGTATCTGGGATCACAGGCACCTGTCACCATTTCTGGCTAATTTTTGTATTTTTAGTAAGTAGAGACAGGGTTTCACCATGTTGGCCAGGCTGGTCTCAAACTCCTGACCTCAAGTGATCCACCCACCTCGGCCTCCCAAAGTGCTAGGATTATAGGTGTGAGCCACCACACCTGGCAGAGTGTGTGGGCTTTTTGTTTTTGTTTTTTTTTTCAAAGTTACTTGGACTCTGTCACCTTGGTCTACCTTGCCCAGGAAGTCCTATGGCCCTGCCACTATGTATTTTATGTACACAGCAAAAGGTGGGAATGGATTCAACAGCTGTGTCCTCAACAGCCGCGTCCTCTCTTCTACCTGCACCTGGAACTGCAACGGGGCAGATAAATATTTCCCAGAGACGCCTGCAGTAGCACACAGAGTGTGTTGGGAACAATTGTAAAGTCGTGCGGCTAGTGAAGCTTAGGACGAAGGCATTTTGAGCTTGTGAGTCATCCATGGCTGTAGTGGAGCTTTGGCCCACAGGGTTAAGCAAACAGTAAGGACAGGGATAAAACTGGGGCAAGGCTTCTAGAAGGTTAGGGAAAAGGGAATTCAGTGAGTGTTCTTGGGGTGTACTCCTAAAACACACTGTTTAGGGAACTCTTGCTGGTGTGGACTTCCTTAAACAGAAAGTCTCTGATGGGGAAGGAGGGTCCCTCACTTTGGACAGCTTTTGAGACCATTGCTAATTTGATCTCATTTTGACAATGAAGGATTTTACTCAACTTTTCATTGTCTTCCTTGAAATTTCCTTCATACCCCTCCTTCTCCCCCAGCTACCTTCAGTCCCATTGTCCCGGCTGACGGGCGGGCGGAAGTATTTCCTGTGCTCTGTGAATGCTATCACATGACACCCGAGTGTGGAATCGCATCCCCTGCTGATACAGTCTGAAAGCTGAGCTTCCCCATCCTCTCAGGTTTAAAGAAATGGTCACTAAAATTCGTTTAGTGTTTTTCTTCTTTTCCAACCAAGAAACATAAATGTGTGTTTGAGATCAACACAGACGATTCTTGAGTGAAATGGGACTTTACACATGGGGGTATTTGTTCATAGGTTTGAAACATTGAAAACCAATACTGTTCCGACTCTCAAGAGAAAAACGAGTTGTTTTTTTTCTCCCTAATGGAGTGTCGGTGATGGCTCTCCATTAGGGAGGAACTAAAGGTGGAGGTCCGCTTTTTAGTGTGGGCATGTCAGGTGCGAACCCTCCCATGCACTCTCCTCTCCTGTTCTCACTCACACACACAATTTAAAATGTTTATGGAATCTCTGCTCTGGGACCAGGACTCTGAGACCCAAAATAAATAGGATTCGTGCCTGCCTCCCACAAGGAGGGCAGTGGCCCTGTTTGGTTTTGCTTGGCACCTAGCACAAGCCCTGACACTTAGTAGGTGCTTTGTAAATGCTGACAGAAAGAATGAATGCTTCCCCTCACCTGGCTGTGTCAATATTTGCCTGGTTCTG
This sequence comes from Homo sapiens, assembly GCF_000001405.40. Lineage (NCBI taxonomy): Eukaryota > Metazoa > Chordata > Mammalia > Primates > Hominidae > Homo > Homo sapiens. The sequence goes on along the minus strand of NC_000021.9, from coordinate 36,646,851 downwards.
CCAGGCCTGATATTTGCCACGTAGGCATTTCATGTCTGCACACACGTGGGGATGGCGAGTTGTGGACGTTCTCAACCTGACTAGCAGCAGTGCCTGCCAGGCAGGAAGTGCTACCATCTTGGAAGAAGTAAAAGAACCTGCTGATGGGATTCAGTCCGGCTAGGCTCTGCAGCCCACTTGGGGGTGTAAGGTGCCCATGCTGGCCTCAAAGCAGAGGTGTCCCTGCCACATGGCCCATTCTTTGCAATGTGAAAGCCAAAATGGAAAATGAAAATAAATAAATAAATAAGTAAACCAACAACAAGTAGTCCCAAGAGAAACAAAAAGGTATTCCTAATGGAAATCTCATGGGTGACTCCACAGGAGCTGGAAAAGGCTGATTCCTGGAGCCCACGGGTAGAAAAAGCCACATCCACTTACTTCCCAATTCTGCTCCAGGTCAGTGCCGAGGGCCAGGCAGCCTCCAGAGCTTTCTGGATCCCTGAGGACAGAGACTGGGTGGCCAGCTGGGAGCATCTCCAAACAATTCCTTGCTTCCCAGGATATGGTGTCCGGGGAGGAGAATGCTCTTTGTAGCACCAAAGTGTGTTTCAGGCGGGGCAGAGTTCACAGACAGCTGCAAGATTGTGGCCAAATGGGAATTTTTCGAAGTGAATTGGCTGTTTATTCAGTTGTGTGTTTGTGGGGCACTCAGACATAAATATCATGTGAGCCTGAGTTCGGTCAGACAATCGAAGTTGGGTAAGTTGGGAACTGTTTCATTTGTTATCCTGACTGAACTAGAACATGAGTGTTTTTGTGGGGTTGACCAAATATTGGAATCTCGACTGAATTTTTAGGAGAACAATATCTAGTGTGCCACTCAGGAGGAGAATACTTTTGTTGGTTGGTGGCCAACTCAGGATCATAAAAAGAAAATGAAGACACCTTAAAACATACAGGACAAGGAAACATTGATCAATGAGTAGCACTGATTTATTGGCCAGGGTTCTCCAGAGAAATAGAACCAATAGAATGTATATCATATACTTTTATATATGTATATGATCTCTCTCTCTCTCTCTCTCTCTCTCTCTCTCTATATATATATATATATACACACACACACACATATGCAGAGAGATATTACACACACACACACACACACACACACACACATACGCAAAGAGATTTTCAGGAATTAGCCCACGGGATCATGGAGACTGGCAAGATGTTTGTTTGTTTGTTTGTTTGTGATGGAGTTTCGCTCTTGTCACCCAGGCTGGAGTGCAGTGGCACAATCTCGGCTCACTGCAACCTCTGCCTCCCAGATTCAAGTGATTCTCCTGACTCAGCCTCCCGAGTAGCTAGGATTATAGGCACCTGCCACCATGCATCGCTAATTTTTGTATTTTTAGTAGAGACGGGGTTTCGCCATGTTGGCCAGGCTGGTCTCAAACTTCTGACCTCTGGTGATGTGCCTGCCTCAGCCTCCCAAAGTGCTGGGATTATAGGTTTGAACCACTGTGGCTGGCCGAGACTGGCAAGTTTGAAATCTGCAGAGCAGACCAGCAGGCTAGAGACCCAGGGAAGAGTTGATTGCAGCCTGAGTCTGAAGGCCTTCAGGAGACAGAATTCCTTTTTTTTTAGGGGACTCCAGTCTCTTTATAGGGCCTTCAGCTGATTGGATGAGGCCCACACACGTGATGGTACTTGGCTTTACTCAACATCCAATGATTTACATGTTAATTTCATCTGAAAAATACCTTCACAGCAACATTTATACTGATGTCTGACTAGACAACTGGGCAGCACGGCCTAGCCAAGTTGACACCTACAATTAACCACCACAACACCTTGCATTTCTTTTATATTTAAAATATCCTTTTACTATCAGGGAACACTTCTACACTGCTGCTGGGAAGGTAAACTAGCACAGCCACTATGGAAAACAGTGTGGAGATTCCTTAAAGAACTAAAAGTAGAACTACCATTTGATCCAGCAATCCCACTGCTGGGTATCTACCCAAAGGAAAAGAAGTCATTACACGAAAAAGATACTTGCACACGCATGTTTATAGCAGCACAATTCACAATTGCAAAGTCATAGAACCAATCCAAATGCCCATCAATCAATAAGTGGATAAAGAAACTGTGGTGTATACACACACACACACACACACACACATATATACACATATATATACATACATATACATATATATATACACATATATATATATGATGGAATACTACTCAGCCATAAAAAGGAATGAATGAACAGCATTTGCAATGACCTGGATGAGATTGGAAATTTTTATTCTAAGTGAATTAACTCAGGAATGGAAAACCAAACATTGTATGTTCTCACTGATACGTGGGAGCTAAGCTATGAGGACACAAAGGCATAAGAATGATACAATGGACTTTGGGGACTTGGGGGGAAGAGTGGGAGGGGGGTGAGGAATAAAAGATAACAAATATGGTGCAGTGTATACTGCTCGGGTGATGGGTGCAGCAGGAGCTCACAAATCTCCACTAAAGAACTTACTCATGTAACCAAATACCACCCATACCCCAATAACTTATGGAAAAAATAAAATTTAAAAAAATGTCCTCCAAAAAACAATCTTTTGGAGTGCAATGGATGAGTTGTAAGGGTGGGCCACTGGAAGAAAATTAGCAGTTGGCACCTACCCGCTGTCTTGGGAGGCGGGGAAGCACCTCCGGGAGGTTGCAGGCTGGGCAAATGATGCGGAGCTGGTGGCTAAGTCTGCAGTGAAGCCAGGGGTCTTGGGAAGAGGAGGCCGCATGGGAGATGGGGGGCGTGACAAGACGAAAAAATCTCAGCTCAGGAAAAGAGGGGCCGCACCACACCGTATGCTATGCCCCTGAGGGGCGGCTGTGCCTCCGTGGTCCTGGGGGGAAGGAACCAGGCCTGCTGAGGACACGGTGGCCATGAGGCTGCATGACCAGCACCCTTCTGTAGGGTTTCTCCAGCTGAGAAATAATAAAGGTAAATAAAAATATTAATAAAATAATTTCTCACAAGTAAGAAATAATAAAATAATAATGACAAATGATGACTCAGTACTTAGTCATGGGACATTTAAATCAACTTTTATTTTTCTGGCAACTCATTGAACATGGCTTTGTCTTTGAATTAATGAAATTTGCCTTCTGCTAATCAAGAAGTCTCTCCCAGCCAGGTGTGCTGGCTCACACCTATAATCCCAGCACTTTGGGAGGCCAAGGTGGAGAGTCACTTGAGACCAGAAGTTTGAGACTAGCCTGGCCAACATAGTGAGACCCCCATCTCTACAAAAAATAAAAATAAAAAAATTAGTTGGGCATGGTGGTGGCATGTGCCTGTGGTCCCAGCTACTCCAGAGGCTGAAATGGGAGGATTGTTTGAGCCCAGGAGGTTGAGGTTGCAGTGAGCCATGATCATGCCACTGCACTCCAGCCTGGGTGACAAAACAAGACCCTGTCTGGAAACAAAAAACAAAACAAAAAATCTCTCCTGGAAACAGAAATGGAGGTCAGCAAGCCAGGTGGCATGTGCCTGTTGTCTCAGCTGCTTAGGAGGATTGCTTGATCCCAGGAGTTCAAGTCCAGTGTGGGCATTGTAGAGACCCTGTCTCTACAAAAATAACCAAGCAAACCAAGGGACCGTTTTGGAGAAGGGTGATGATCTGGGGCACATGGTGCCTCTAACTCTTGCAGAGATTGTCCAAAATCTTTAATGGTCAAATGACCCAGGTCTGTTTCACTCATTTTCCTAAGGATTGAAAAAACTCAAGGGCATATGGATTTAAGACCAGGCAAAATTCTCACCCTGTCCTTCCTCCTCTTGTCTTAGATAGACGCCAGCTCGAATGCCGCCTCCCGTCTGCTCCTGGTTGGGATCCTGTCTTCAAGTGCAACAGCCAAGCCAGCTGCCCACTCCTCTGTGTCCTCTTAGATTGTGCTCTGGGTGTGTGTCTTCTCTGCTGGATTAAGGAGCTCACTGGAGTGGAGGTGACTGCAGTCAGCAAAACACTCAGGAAATGATTGCTGGAGAAGAGTGGGGAAGGGACCCCACATCTCCCCTCTGCCTGCCCTCCCTTCTGCCTGCACCTTGCGGCCTCTCTTGCAGTGAGATGTGGCCGTGGGACTAGATTCCTGCCCATGGGAATGTAAGGAAGTGCCGTTTCTGGATATGGGACTCATGTCTCTGTGTAGGACTCATCTCCTCCATACTCTTTCCCCTTCCCCTGGCTGGAAGCAGGGGAAGGCAAGTGAATTCAGTCACGTAGACAACAAGAAAGCCATGGGGATGGGGGAGCTACACGGGAAAGGGACTTGGGTTTCTGAGTGACTGTGTGGAGCTGAGCAGCCCTCACTACTTGGAACTCCCTGTAAGACAGAAAGAAACTTCTCTGGTCTAAAGCCACAAGGACTTAGCTTTACCCCAAGAACAGAGCACACCCAGTGGAGCACTACGTCTAAGAAGTGTGAGCACCCACAGCATGGAGTGTGCCAGATTGGACAACAGACATTTCCTAAGATTGAGTGACTTTAGGAGAGCAGGGAGTGCCTGGCTCAGGCAAGGTGGCACCTTTGGGGGTCCCAGGTGGCAGACAGAGCTTCGCCCAGGTCGAACTGTGCATGGGCCCAGGGTGCTGGCCAGAGGTGGGGCGGCTGGAGTTCACAGGCCAGGCAGCCAAGGGGTTGGTCTGGCAAGTGGTCTGCCACCATGGACCCAGGCCTCAGACCAAACAGGCTGCTAAAGACACGGGTCCTCAAATCATCTGCAGGCAGGGTCTGGCCTGGGCCCCAGGAGTCCACAGGCAGGGAGCACCCTGGGGAAGAGCTGAGGATGCTGCATCAGAAAAGAGGTAGGGAAGGCGGGGCAGGCCGGAGCACCCACACATGCGCTGCGTGTTAGGCACATACACACACGACCCTATTTAACCCCCAACAGCCCTGACAAGCAGGTGTCATTGAATTCATTGTTGGCACCGTGGCTGTGGCACTGAGTCCAGGAGCCCTGGGTCCTCCTCACCACATCACCCTAGTTAGATGGGCAACTCATTTCTTCTTTGTTTATACTATGTGAAGTTTGGTTTCTTTCCATTTATTTGTCAAATAAGTAAATGTTTTAAAATTTATTTTAATTCTTTTTTTAAAGATAGGATCCTGCTCTGTTGCCCAGGCTACAGTGCAATGGCATGATCACAGCTCACTGCAGCCTCTAACTCCTGGGCTCACGCAATCCTCCTGCCTCAGCCTCTCAAGTAGCTAGGACTACAGGCACATGCCCCTGTGCTTGGCTATTTTTTTCTTTTTTCTTTCAGTAGAGACAGGATCTTACTATGTTGACCAGGCTGGTCTCTAACTTATGGCCTCAAGTGATCCTCCCACCTCAGCCTCCCAAAGTGTTGGGATTCTAGGCATGAGCCACCTTGCCTGGCCAACAAATGTTTTTGAACATTTACTCTGTGCCTGGAACTACATATAGTGTAACAGGGGAGGCAGAATATTAAACAGTTAACATGATAAGTAATGAAAATAGTGAGTGAGCATAAATAGGGTGCTCAGGGGAAGTCTCGTGGAGAAGGTGACATTCAGTTAGTAACTAATTCCCTTGGGAAAGGCTAATGCGAGAACACCGAACACTGTTTAAATGCATGCTCTGAGCTCTTCCCAGCAAAAGTTCTTTCTAAGTGGTTCTCAACAGGGGGTGATTGTGCCTCCCACTCCCAGGGACATTTGGCAATGTTCAGAGACATTTTTTGATGGTCATATCTGGGAGGGGTGCTACTGGCATCTAGTGGGTAGAAGCTAGGGGTGCGGCTAAACAACCCACCACGAACAAGACAGCCTCCGACGACGAAAAGCGATCCAGCTAAAAATGTGAATAGTGCTGGGGTCGAGAACCTGCCCTGGAGGACAGATGTGCTTTTGCTGAAGTCACTTAGAAGGCAAGGTGGCTCCATCTGCCCTTCCCCTCTGCAGCTTGGATAAAGGGTGGACCACACATTGTTCAGCAGAGCAGATGGGAGCGCCTGGCGCCCTGGGATCCCGCATCCTGGCCGCGGTCTGCCGACATGGGGTAAGGAAGAGAAAGATGATGATTTGTACTAACTGGTACAACCTACTGCCAAATCGCCAGGGAAAGCGAATGAAACACATCCCAAGAAACTCTGTTTATGGTGCAGGAAGGGTTTAGTGACTTTACTGCTCAGATTACCATTTGGATATCAGTTTCATCATCGTCAACCTCCAATTTCCTGTTTTGCTTATCTTAGAATGACTCTTTTAAAAAATGTTTGCACTGCTCAGATGGCTTTGGCTTCAAGTTGATTAGATATGGAACTGGTTTATAATGGATTAGAATGCAGGATTTGTTTGCTTTGTAATATTTTAAGAAAGCAATGAAAGAAGCGGCAATGACAGGGAGAGATATTGTATACTTACAGTCTGATTCTTTTTTCATTACCGGAAAAGACAACTAATTTAGGAATGTGGATTATGGCCCTTGGTCCCTTTTTGATTTGTGTTTCACTTCAGGGTTTTCCTGAGTTACAAATCCCTGCAGATTTGTGAGACTTAAGAGGTACACATGTACATTTATTTTTCCTTTTAGCATTTTTTTTTTTAGCCTGCAGGATCCCATGGGGTTTTTTTCCCCCTCCTCCTTTCCTTTATGTGTTTCCTGATAAGCCAATCTGTGTACTGCTTTCCCTGCACTGTCTGTACAGTTGGAAGCATTATTCAAATGAGTCCTGTGAAACTGATGGCCTGTGGCCCCGGTTGTTAAACACCGACACGCTGCTCATTAACACTCAGCATCCGGATATCCTAATTTCAGCTCAGATTTTGGTAAATATATATTTTCTTGATCATTTCCAACTACCATGCAAAGCCACATCCTGTCCTCTCTGAGATGCTTAGAAGAGTGTATTGTGCAGGGACGGCTTTGCAGACAGGCAGCAGGAGGCTACACATGCTGATGTCGGGGCCAGGAGACCATCAGAGTAGTTGAGAGAGGGCTTGCTGTTGGGTCCAAGACTGAGAGCTTAGATTCCTGGGGCTTTCTGGGCCTCAGGGTTAGAGGTTGTCTTTGGCGTATTTCAATATAACCAGTCTTTAGGATCCTTTGATATCATTGTTAGAAACAGTAATGCGTAGTCATGGGCTGAGAACTTGGGACCAGGATCTAGGATTTTTGGTCTCTCAGCCCTGGCTCCCCACTTCCTGGGATAGAACCAAACCAGTGTGTATGGAAGTTGACAGGCACACTGTGCATTGGGGGTTGAGCTGTGTCCCTGCAAGAGATATGTTCAAGTCTGGACTCCTGGTACTTGTGAATGTGACCTTATTTGGAAATGGAGTCTTTGCAGATGTAACTAAGATGGAAGTTATAAGAAGAGGAAAATAGATACAGAGACACACATACAGAGGAGGACACCATGTAAAGGCACAGACATGCGGAGGGATAACAGCCATGTGACAACAGGGATGGAGACTGGGGTTACGCAGTTGCAAACCAAGAGCAACCATTAGAAGATAGAAGAGAGGCATGGAACCAGTTCTTCCTTTGAGTCTCCAAGAGGGAACCAGTCCTGCCAACACCTTCATTTTGGATGTCTGCCTCGAGAACCGTGAGAGAATGGTTTCTGTTATTTCAAGCCAGCCAGTTTGCAATACTTTGTGACTGCAGCCCTAGGAAGCTACTACGGTAGCTCATTAAGGGCAACAAAAGGATTCTTCAACTTCCAATTTTTAGGATAAAAAGAGGCAAATGTATTTAACTCAGAATAATTACACTGAAACTATTTTTTTTAATAAGTGAGAAAACATCAATAGCGGTCAAATGGATCCCATGAATTAGTCAGTAAAGGGGTTAGGGGTAGAATATAGGCATTTGTATTTTTAATCAAAATGAAGAACTAAGCAAGGCACAGATAGAGCCCCCACTCCAGGCTCAGTCTCTGGTGGTTACTAGTTTAGCGGGATAACTGGTCAACCTGGACAGGGCATGTAGATCAGTTTTGAATTTCTTGGTTGCACAGAATTTAAAAAGTTCTTGGGCCGGGCACGGTGGCTCAGGGCTGTAATCCCAGCACTTTGAGAGGCTGAGGCGGATGGATCCCCCGAGGTCAGGAGTTCGAGACCAGCCTGGCCAACATGGTGAAACCTCGTCTTTACTAAAAATACAAAAAATTAGCTGGGCGTGGTGGCGGGTGCCTGTAATCCCAGCTACTCAGGAGGCTGAGGCAGGAGAATTGCTTGAACCCAGGAGGCAGGGGTTGCAGTGAGCCCCAAGATCTCACCATTGCACTCCAGCCTGGGCGACAGAGAGAGACTCCATCTCAAAAAAAAAAAAAAAAAAAAAAAAGTCCTTGATTCACCACTGCCATTGAGACCAATAAAGTTTTCACTCTTTCACTAGAAGATTCTTCTTGAGTAGCATCCTTTCTCTTGCTTCTCTTAGCTCAGCTTTAACATAATTCTAATGGTGCTGTTAGTTGACAGTGAACAACTCACACTCAGTTCCCCCTGTAGCCACTTTTGAGTGGAAAATGCATCCAACTATTTTGTTAATCACAGCAACGTGGTGGCTGCAAGAAATAGCTTTCTGGTGCCTGGGAGTCTTTCTGTCCATCTCTAGGCCTCAATTTGTTAAGATCCCACTGCATATGAAAGACAGAAATAAATGAAAATAGCATTAATGCTTCAGACATGAATTGAGGACTACGGCGTATTGTTAAGTTCCATGACAGCGCCTTAAGTCTCAAGATCCAACATCTGCCTTGATAACTCTGGGCATTGCCACAATGGTTTATCAGCGCCCATTGTTTCAAATGGACCCCACTGCCTGGTCAATTGGGTTGCAGCTCATCTGGAAAGATTATACATGTAGGCACCAGCAGACTGTACAGGCTACTCTGGGCTACTTGGATGTCTTAATTTCAGGGCTTCTAACCCCCTGCCTACAAAATGCTGGTATACACTTTGGACAGAGATAGGTATCTACTGGGCATTCAGGAAATGTGATAACCTGGCACCTAGGGGGTATCTTTGGAGATTTGCCCCAGTGTTGATGAAGCCCTTGAAGAGATATCTTGAGCTAGCTCACACTATAGGTATGGACTTGCTGGAGCTGTTGGATGGGCTCATTGCCCATGAAATAATCCAGTAGAGAAGAGCAAGAGGTCTATGCAGGGAGAAGATGAAATACTAGAGAACAAATGGGTCACAATTCCCAATTAGCCGATCCAAGCAGTTGGTCAGACTTACACAGTAACAGTACCTGTATTAACCAGTCCTGTTACTGGTGCATATACAAATGGCAACCAAAGGTCACCATACATTAAAAGAAAAAGGGCCCCAAATAAGAGGACCAAGAGGATAAATAGAATAATTGAGGCCAGGGAAAGCATAGATTAATTAAGCAACAGGTAAGAACTTAAAACAAAATTCCTATCTGAACCTCTAATAAGTTTCTTAGAAAAAACTTAGAAGATATTACATTCATAAAATGTGAATGGTTGCTCTGAAAAAAAGAGCACTTAGAGAATAAGAAAGTTCTTGAAAATTAAAAACTTTATTACCAGAATAAAACTTCTAATAAAAAGCTTGGAAGATAAGTAAACAAAATCTTCCAGAATAAAAAGTTGGAAAATAAGAAAGAAAATGTAGATGACATGGAGGACCAATTCAGTAAGTACAGCATTTTATCAGATGGCAATCCCACAAATACAAAAGAGGAAAATTGAAAGGAGAAAATATTCAGAAAAAAATAATTGATTTGAAATTACCGGAGTTTTAAAAATGTACCAGAGCTGAAGAGAAACACAAGGATCAGCTAGAAAGTGTTCACCAAATGCTGGACAAGTATAACAGGTTAAATTTCACCCCGGGCACAATTTTGTGAGATTTCAGAACACTAGACATAAAGAGAAGATCCTAAAAACTCACAAATACAAAAAACCAACACCTACAAAGGGATGAATATCAGATTTGCATTGGATTCTTCATCAGTAACACTGGATGCTAGAAAACAGTGGGATAATGCCTTCAAAGTTCTGAAGGTAAGTGATTTAACCATGGATCTTTATGTCTAGCAATCTGTCAATCAAACGAGAAGACAAAATAATGGCAGTTCATGCATAAAAAGACTAAAAGTTTTACCTTCCTGGTACTCTGTCTGAAAAGATTACTTAAGAATATGCTCCAGCAAAATAATGACCACAATAGCTAGCACTTACTGAGGGCTTACTAAAAGCCAGGCACTGTTTTTAAGCACTTTATATACATTAACTAACGTCATCCTCACAACTACCCTATGAGTTGGGTTACTATTTTTATCATCACAATCCCATTTTATATATAAGGAAACAGATATGGAAAGATCAGATAACTTGTTCAGAGTTGTGCAGCTACTCTGTGGTGGCCCTAGAAGTTGCACCTGGGAGTGTAGCTCCAGAGCCTAGCACTTGCCCACCATGGCCTCTTGGAGCTAGAAAGGATCCAACAAAAGGAAGTTGGCTGCAGGAATAAGGGAACTTAGCTGCAGGAAAGATGAGAGCCACACAGCAGAACTAGAAAGCAAATATTCCAAATTAGAACAAAAGCAGCTTTCAGGAAGTACAGCTTTACAAAGAAAGCAGATTCTCTTAACAAGCAGCATGATTAAGAAGCTACATGATCATATGACGAGGTGAGGCAATCTGCTTCCTTTGTGAACAAACATTTAAGACAACAGTTAAAGCATGACCAAAATAAAGAAACTGCAAAGATGTCATGGTTTAAATGTGAAGCCAAATATAATAGGGTATGATGTGAACTACTCATGAAGTGTAAGAAAAGAGAATCCAGTTGACCTTAACACTTCTGTTCAGTCTCCTTTGAGGGTCCCAAGTTGGTGGCAAAAAATCAAATTTCTTTCTTGGTGGATTGAGTGTCACCATACAGTTCACAGACACCAATATTTGCATAATCATAGTATTATGAATACTGTTTATTGGGTTTCACTTTTTAGAACCAACCTTGAGGCCAAACTCTTAGTTATTGTTACTAAGTAGAATGTAGATGTTCAAATCTTGACTAGGTTGAGAGGAAAGAGAGGGAAGATTTGGAATGAAGTAGAGGGGTCATGTCCTTCATTATAGATCCAAAGTCAGATATTATCTATAGTTGGTGGGTCAAGAGATTTTAATATATTGTTTAAAGCAGGACTTCTCAACCTTGGCACTATTGAGATTTGGGCTGGATAGCTCTCTGTTGTGGGAGCTGTCCTGTGCATTGTAGGATGTTCAGCAACATTGCCAGCCTGGACTCACTAGATGGCAATAGCACTCCCCAAGTTGTAACTACCAAAATATGTCTCCAGGCATTGCCAAATGCCCCCTGAGGAGAGGGAGATTGCCCCCGGCTAAGAACCACTGGTTTAGATTTATAAATATAATCATTAGAAGAACAAAAACCAGGCCAGGTGTGGTGAGTCACGCCTGTAACCCCAGCATTTTGGCAGGCCGAGACAGGCAGGTTGCTTGAGGCCAGGAGTTCAAGACCAGCCTGGCTAACACGGCAAAACCCCAACTCCACTAAAAATACAAAAAATTATATGGGCGTGGCGGCATGTGCCTGTAGTCCCAGCTGCTGGGGAGGCTGGCATGAATGGCATGAACCCGGGAGGCTGAGTTTGCAGTGAGCCGAGATCATGCCACTGCACTCCAGCCTGGGCAACAGAGTGAGACTCCATCTCAAAAAAAAAACAAAAAAAAAAAAAACAAAAACTAAAATAAAACAAAAATTAGGTGAAGTTGGAGGTGCTGGGTGGATAGTATTACAGATAAGCAAATCACCCATCTTTCATAGCTATAAGTTAATAGATTGTGTTCTAAAGTTGATAAATCAGGAAAAGGCCCTATAATTTTAATATGCAATAGTTTGAAAATCAGGTGTAATAAAGTTAAAAAAATGAATCTACTGGCGTCTAGGCTGCAAAAGGAAACAATTGAAACAGAAGCCTCAGCTTGCAAAACTGTGGTATAAAAACTCCCAAGCAATAAAACTCTCAAACAATAAACTGTACCAAACCATAACATTCAAGACAAACTATCTAAGCTCATTGTTAGGGTCTGAATGTTTGTGTCTTTCCAAAATGCATATGTTAAAATCCTAACCCCAAAGGTGATGGTATTGGGAGGTGGGGTCTTTGGAAGGTGATTAAGTCATGGTGGGGGGGCGTTTTGGGGGAAAGTCCTCATGAATGGGATTGGTGCCCTTTTAAAAGACAACTGTTCCCTCTCCACCCCTAGAGCAAGGCAGCCCCTTCTACCATGTGAGGACACAGAAAGAAGGCATCACCTAAGAACCAGAAATCAGGACCTCACCAGACATGGCATCTGCCTATGCCTTGATTTTGGACTTCTCAGTCTCTAGAACTATGAGAAATACATTTCTTTTTTTCTTTTCTTTTCTTTTCTTTTTTTTTTTTTTTTGAGACAGAGTCTTGCTCTGTCACTGAGGCTGGAGTGCAGTGACATGATCTTGGCTCACTGCAACCTCCATTCCCCAGGTTCAAGTGATTCTCCTGCCTCAGCATCCTGAGTAGCTGGGATTATAGGCACCCGCCACCACACCCAGCTAATTTTTGTATTTTTAGTAGAAACAGGGTTTCACTGTGTTGGCCAGGCTGGTCTCGAGCTCCTGACCTCAAGTGATCCACCCACCCTGGGCTCGAGAAATAAATTTCTGTCATTTATAGACCACTCAATTTATAGCATTTTGTTAAAGCAGCCTGAACTAACTTCACCCTTATTCAGATGGCTATGTTCTCAAGAAGACCATGGGCACGCTGATCTCACAGTAACGGCACAGGCTTAAGTGTACTGCATGTATTCTAAAGGAAAGATGCTGTCCCAGCAACTCACCTTGTTTACAAGTTGACCAGTCCTCCCAAGAATGACCCCACATCCCCTGCTAGTTCCCATAATGATACCCTTCCTGACTGTCCTTATTTGAGAAGTCTATAGCTCCCCAGTGTGTGCTCCCTTGCAAGCTAATGCAACTCACTGTGTTTGACAAGTGTGTTCCTGGTGGTCTTGGGCTGGTAGCTTTAACATTTGAAACAATTTAAAATGTGAAGTCTTGCATTGTTGGTTATCTTTGCTTTAGTCTGCCCAAAATATCTATTTGCCAATAGGGATACTTGAATTTGTTACAGAAGCAATCAATGCAAAAGGGTAAGTTTTGGCTTGAGAGAGGCTGCTCCTAATTCCTTTATCTTTGCTCTCTTTGAGCCAGGAGGACTCAGCTTTAAGAAACAGTGAAGCCTTTGAAGAAGGAAGTCTCCCATTTATCCTACTCTAGGAAGGACCTTTACATGCTCCATGCATTCAATGTTTACAATAACAAAAGTGGCTCTGATGTTTCCTGTTGTGCAAGAGAAGGTGAAGTCAAGAGATATTCGGTGACTTGCCCCAGTCCTCCTTCCCAGGAAGTGGCCAAGGGGTCTTTACAGGTTGATGTAAGATTGGCCCTGTGCAGTTCCCAGGAGGTCTGGGGTAAGAGTGGATGGGCCAAGGCCCTGCGGGGCCACATTCTCCTGATGGGACTCGTGTGGCCAGACTCTGCTCCTGTCACTTGGAGACTGTGTAGTGGCCATCTCCACTCATCCTGGGACTGGTGCTATGAAGTTGCCACCAAGAAGGATGTTTCCCTTTTCTTCCTCCCCACACCCACTTCCCCACAGGGTGTGGTGGCAGCAGGTGCCTCTTCTGCATGGCCAGGGTCCCCCATCGCTCACAGCTGTCAGTGTGCACATGCTCAGACCTGCACCATTCCTGTCCAGCCCCTGCAGTTACCACCTGGAATCTTCAGCCAGGACTTGGAGGCTGTGAGGTCAGTCGGGAAGTGGATCAGGAGGCCACCCCCTTCTGTGGCACTTCTGAGATGACAACTTGTTTCACAGTTGGATGGGGGTGGGGAAGGAAAGAGCGGCCCCATTATTCCAGAACATTTTATCCACACAGGCTCAGACACCCTGTGATGAAGAGTCCAAGAACAGCCTGAGATAAGGATGTCATTCTTCTTTCACAGGCCCCACGATGGGTTTATCTTTTGGGACCAAGACATTGGGTCCCTACATGTTTTCCCCTACCCTTCTTAGGAAATAAAATATCAAACAACCCACAGTCCCGGAGCAGTTATTATTCAGATAGTTCCAACCAGAACACCCTCATGAATTCTGTCCAGTTCATGCAGCATTTTGCCTGCATTACTGGGTGAGGAAACAGCTCTCGGCCCCTTTGCTGGATGGTTTGAGAGAGGACAGGAGCATTCAGTCATCCTGGCATCCCAGATCCTCCAGGAGCTTGTTATCATTTAGGGACAGCCTGCATCTGAGAGAAGGTTTGGCAGGACTGCTGTCAGCCTGACTGCTGGCTTCTTTGAACCATCAGTTCCGGGAGAAGCAGGGGCCACTTTTCTTGTAAGTTCCTGGCGCTCAGACATAATAAGCATCAGTTAGCAGCTCTTCACCCCTCACCAATGTTAGTGCTGGCTACTGAGTCTTCAGAGCTGTGAGGGCACGGAGTTTATAATCCAGAGAAGTCACCCTGCCAGCACGTTTCCCACCTGGAATGGGAGGCAGAGGGTGGGGGAAGAAGGCAGCATTGGAAAAAACACCCACAAGTCCTGTAGACCTGATCTCCCTTTCAGGGTTAGGATGTGGCTTTTTTCAGACTTACAGGAAAAGACAGACTGTTGGCAGGTTAATCCAGATCATCAAAGGAGGGACAGGCCCAGTGGTTCACTCCTGTAATCTCAGCACTTTGGGAGGCCACGATGGGCAGATTGCTTGAGGCCAGGAGTTCAAGAACAGCCTGGGCAATATGGTAAAACCCCATATCTACAAAAAATACAGAAATTAGCCAGGCATGGTGGCATGCACCTGTAGTCCCCGCTACACGGGCGGCTGAGGTGGGGGAATCACCTGAGCCCGGGAGGTTGAGGCTGCAGGGCGCAGTGATTACACCACCATACTCCAGCGCAGGTGGAGTGAGACTCTGTCTCAAAAAAAAAAAAACAAAACACTAAAGGATAAAACCCCAAACTGGTCTGTCTATGATATAGACAGATAGGTTATTTTTATTCCAGGGTATGGTAAAAAGTGCAACTCTCCTAAGCTGCCCTTATCTGTGGCAGCAAAAAGCCAAACATTCGCCTTCTTGTTAATGGGTTTTCACAACTCAAACACTCAACGTAGGTCAATTTTGAATGTCAGGTGCTCAACCACCCCGCTTTTTTCCATCTTCTCCAAGAACTGTGATGGAGACCAAATAAGTCTTCTCAGTTCTTTGGTCAGCCTATCCTCCAAGCTGGCCCTGTATCTGCTGAGGGCTGGCTGCAGACCTGTTCTCCAACCTGAATATGTAGGCACTAAGGGTGTGGCTTCTGAACCACACTGCTCTCAAAGGATGGCTGTTGTTCATCCAAGTGGAAGGGGTGGTCTGAGAGATGTTTAGACACTGACGTGTCTCGGGCATTTCAATAGCTATGGGGGCCATACTAGCTGCAGTCCCACTTCTCAGTGGCCAGGGGTTGAAGGCAAGAGTCAGAGACTTTTCCCCCCAGCTTCCAGCAGCTCCCAGATTCTTGCCTGCAACTGAATCATATACGTGAGCGTACTGAAAAGATGTTTCCCCCATAGACAGCTGGCCCCAAACGCCAGAAATTTCCGAAAATAGAGTCATCCAGACCAGCTGCTCAGAGGCGTCAATAAATTGCAAAACAGGTTGGTAGCGGAGATGGTGTGATTCTAGCCTAATCCCTGGGAGGCTGTCACATCCCCGGACATCCGGAATCCTTCCAGGGCTGGATGGGAAAGCTGGGGTCACCTCACCTGTCTGCAGGGTTAATCCAGTCCGGTGCCACCGCCTGAAGCGGATCAGGCGCCCCCTGGTGGATGCTTTTCAATATTCCCCTTAGGAAAGGCGAGCTCATGCGACCCTAGGAATGGTTGGTTCCACAAGGTTGTAATAGGCTTCAGAAAAAGGGGAGACATTGAGATCATCTAAGACATATCTCTGGTTTCAAAGATAAGGAAAGGGGGGCCAAGAGGATAAGCTCCATCCCCATGGCTGTAGAGCTACTAAGGGCGGAGCAGGGATTAGACTCGGCCAGTCCAATGGTACCCCAGGACCATCTAACATCACAAGGGACTTGGTCTTTCTACCTCGCCATGTCTTTAACTGGAAAAATCTCAAATCGGGTGGGATGAATTGTAACCTTTTTCTAACTCCTGTGTGCAGCTGGCAATAGGTTAGCTATTTGGCGGAAACCAAATAACTAGAGGAAACTCTCATATTTTAGTGACATTTTGAAAGACTTCTGCTTTAGCAAGCTGTGTATCTCCCAGCAACTGTTTTTCTTTTAAATCAGTGACAGCTTGGAGTTTCTAACTAGGAATTTAAAAAAATATATATTCTGGAGGAGGGGTGAGTGAGAATGTATTCTTATTTTCTTTCTTTTTTTTTTTTTTTTTTGTCATCCATGCTGGAGTGCAGTGGCATGATCATAGCTCACTGCAGCCTCCAACTCCTGGCCTCAAGTGATCCTCCCATTTCAGCCTCTGGAGTGGCTGGGATCATAGGCTCATGCTACCACACCTGGCTAAGTTTCAAATTTTTTTATAGAGACACGGTCTCACTATGTTGCCCAGGCTGATCTCAAACTCCTGGGCTCAAGTCATCTTCCCGCCTCAGCCTTCCTAAGTGCTAGAATTACAGGTGAGAGCCAAGGTGCCTGGCCCAGAAACTATTTCTTACAGAAAATAGGGCTACCTGTCCCCTCATTTCCCAAGATTGAGTGGGGAAGTTGCTGCTTTCTTTCTTTCTTTTTCTTTTTCTTTTTTTTTTTTTTTTGAGATGGAGTCTCGCTCTGTCACCCAGGCTGGAGTGCAGTGGCGCGATCTCCGCTCACTGCAAGCTCTGCCTCCCGGAGTTCATGCCATTCTCCTGCCTCAGCCTCCCGAGTAGCTGGAACTGCAGGTGCCCGCTACCATGCCCGGCTAATTTTTTGTGTTTTTAGTTAGAGAAGGGGTTTCCCCGTGTTAGCCAGGATGGTCTCGATCTCCTGACCTCCTGACCACCCACCTCGGCCTTCCAAAGTGCTGGGATTACAGGCATGAGCCACCGCGCCTGGCCACTTAATCATTTTTAAGGGCATTTCTCTCCTGGCATTATGTTAAAAATTTTTTTTTTGTTGGACCATCTACTGGGCTCCCTGGGTGACAAAACGAGGGGCACCCTTGATAACGAAACGACGTCAGTTCCAATGCAGAAGCTTCTTAATCATCTTCATCTAGACGCTTCTTGTAATGACCTCAGTGAAATCAAAGGACATAACCATCAACATGAACATGTTGAAAAAACTCTAGGACCCAAATAATACAGTCCAGGACCCAAATAATACATTCCAAATAATACAGCCTTCCTTGTAGGCAAGCATCATGAAGGGATGGAACATAAATCCACTTAGGATGGAAACCATCGCAGGGCATGGTTAGCAGATGGTGGGGAAGTCTGAGCTGCACAAAGCCTTCCTCAGGAGCGTAGCTTCAGAAGCTTGACGCACATCACGTGTGGATGCTTCAAAAGCTTGCATCACAGGCTGGTCCTAGTGGATGCTCACAGGGTCATTGTCTCTCTGCTGTTTTTTGGGGACAACCCTCATTTAGGGACAGAGTGCACAGCAATTAGCCTGTTCTTAAGCACTCGGGATGCCTGAATCTTTATTGCCTATATGCATTAACTAGCGAAAGTTGCAGTTTTTATTAAACTCAGCCCTGGCAGACGCCTGTTTAGTGTGAGTTAGAAAGCCAGGCTCAACTCAGAGGATAATGCAACCCACATGTTGAATGGCGTGCTTCACTGACTTACAGAAATATCTCAGGTAGCAAGTATTTTCTTACTGCCCTGTTAGAAAAACATGCGCCCAGCTCACACTGTTTGCTTTTTGCACCCTTTGCCGTTACAAAAATATAATGGATGTGCAGAGGTAGGAGAGTAGGTGACGCCCTGGCGTGGCTTTGGGGAGTCGTGTTTGCTGGCAGAGCAGAGCAGATGCTGCGGCAATGATAATATTCCGGAATGTATTTCAGGGTGTTTGTTGTGATAGCCAGTAAATCAGCGAAGGGACGAATTGACTCTATGGTCGACTTCCCCTCAAGCAGAGAAGAGGCAAGTGGCTTTTGCTTGTTACTTTTAGTTCACCTTGAAGTCCTGGCCCATGAAGTCCAATTTCAGATGGATGCCTGCAGGAGTGAGGAGGCTCTGTGGGGCCACCTGGCACCATTGCACTTCGTTCCCTGGAGTGTCTTCTAGGATGAAACCCTGGGCACAGGATGCTGGGTAGGGGGCTGGGGCGATGTGCACGCATTCATTAAAAGGTTATTTTTCTCCCTTACAAAACAATGGCTTACTGTTCACCAACGAGGCCAGGAGGCGAGGGACCCAGGCAATTAGCGGAGGCCCCCCTGGCTCATTCAGGTGTGGAGTGTGGGAACGCCAGGCCTCTCAGCTCACAGAGCAGAAGGAAAACCAGCCAGCTTTCCTGGCAGCCCCAGACGTAAATGAATGACAGACTGAACCCTTTCCTCAACCTGTTTTTATCCTTTCTCTTACCTGCCGTAGAAGCAGGATTGGATGGGATAGGGAAGAGAATGCTGAGAAGAAAAAGAGCCCCAGGGTTATTTGAAGATGTTCGTGATCTGGTGAAACGAATTTCACTGCACTTTTCTTTTGACAAGTCTAAAAGATTTATAATATTTTAAATATATTTTCAATCTGATCAGAAAAACAAACTGAAATGTTGGATTTAGTTTAGAGTAAACTACTAATAAAAATGGCAAACCACTTCATTCTGGAACGATAATAGAAATTATATGCAAATCTATGTGTCTTATCAAAATGCTCTGTGTGTGTGTGTGTGTGTGTATCTACACACACATTTTATATATGTACAGCCTTTTGCCACATAACAATGGTTTGGCCAACAATGGACCGCATATATGATGGTGATCCCATAATATTATAATACTGTATTTTTTCTGTACCTTTTCTAGGTTGAGATACACAGATGCTTACCATTGTGCTACAGTTGTCTGCAGTATTCAGTACAGTAGCATGCTGCACAGGTTTGTAGCCTAGGAGCAAAATGCTCTACCATGTAACCTAGGTGTGTAGTAGCCTACACCATCTAGGTTGGTGTAAGTCACTCCATGATGTTTGAACAATGATGAAATTTCCTAATGACAAGTTTCTCAGATCACATCCCCATTGTTAAGCCGTGGGTGGCTGCACATATTTCTGGGAGGAATCTTAGTTGGTGTATTAGTCAGCATTACCGCAGGAACAAACGGCCCCACATTCTCCACAGTTACAATGACGAACATGTATTTCTCATTATGTTGCAGGGTTTTACGTATATAACTCAGGACATGTCTCCATTATGCTGGTCATCTACATATTTAAACACATCATCTGGTTTGGCACTGGGTAGAAAGGCCACAGAGACACAGAGGTTGGGCTAGGGTCCTGTCCCATCTCCATGGCAGTATGGGGACACAGTCATAGGGCACAATCAAGGCAATGAGGGAGACAGGCCCTGCTGCCCCATGAGGCTCTGACACCCCTGTCCTCCACTCACCCCATTTCCTAGAGTAGAAACAGCTCTTGGGTGTCCCTGCCCAGTCTTGGCATCATGGACTCATGGGCTCCTTTAGGCCAATGTCCGCCTCCAGCAGCTGCAGAGCCTCAGAAGCATTCATGCCAGGTGCCGCATAGGAGCTGAAGGTTGTTTGGTCTGTGGAAGAGAAGACTGGGGAGGAAGATGACAGTCTTGAAATATTTGAAGGGACAGTCACAGGATACAGGAATTAGACTCATTCCTCCTCCCTCAACAGAGACTGAAGGGAAGTACATTTTGGTCCCACATAAAGGACAACTTTGTATCACCTGACCTGTCCCACGTGGTCAGGTGGGGGACTCTTAACTGTACTCATAACTGTTTCCAGCAGAAAATTTTCCACCTTGGTGGAAACACAATTGAGGCCCAAGCCTTGCCACTGAAACTCTCGGGTAAAACTGGAGAGTATTAGGGCACTGGCTGTGCAGTTACACAAAGATGGGGTTTGAATCCTGGGATCATGACTTCCTAGCTGTGAGCTGTACCTGTCCCCAGGGCCTGTGTGGTGACCTGGAGGGACGAAGAGGAGAGGACTCAGGCCCACAGGGAGCAGGTCAGTGGTCTTCAGGCCTCTTTTAACCAGAAGCTTGTGATCTGTGGAAACACCTGCCTAAGAAGCGGGCAAAAAGAGCCGACCCTTCTGGCCACAGTTTCTAAGTCTATTCCAGTATATCAGAAAACTCTTAAAGGGGGACTGGAGTATATTTTACAGTATTATTTTTGAGCCATTTGAATAGGATTTTACTTTTTGAAAGATTTGGGGAAATCCAAAGCCATATAAAGTTTATTTTAATTTAACATATGTTACAACTCAAAATAATCATCATGGAAAAAAATACCCTAATGATTTGAGATGACCTAATTCTTGTAGCCTTTTTCAGAAGAGTCCCATGGCCCCAACCACACGCCATGTACGACTGTTTAAGATGTGTTGAGAATGACAGATGTGCTGCCATTTTCACAGCAAAACGTAGGTTTTTGCTTTGTGAAAACATATTTTTATTGTTGAGAAGTGATTTGTGATATTTGTTGTTTTTATTAAAGAAATAAAGGCTGTCATAGACAAAAACATTATCCAGATCCCCATGATTCATCCACCAATGACTTTATGAATATCTGTTTCATTACATTTATTACATTTTCAGCTGCAACTAAAAAGAAATAAAAATGGAAAAAATAATCAAAATTAATGATGGCCTTACAAAGTAATGGGAACTTTCTAAAAATGAAAGCTGTGTCTATTTCTAAGCTGTGAAGAATTTATATGAAGGTTATGTTATTTTAAAACATTCCTTATAGCAACCTAAAACTTGAGTCTCATGTTGCCTGTGGTGCAGTAAGTCCATCTGACTTGCTGGTGTGGTGCTGCTGTGTTTCCCAAAGTGTGTTCCTGGGAACACCAACCCCACATGCTGCTCCTCAGATGGTTCTGTGGATTTTGTGATTAAAAAAAAAAAGTTGGGAAAAGCTGAAGCCCACTTTCCTGACCTGGAGATGATAAATCTCAATGACGTATTTTTTTGTTTGTTTTTTTGAGATGGAATTTTACTCTTGTCACCCAGGCTGGAGTGCAGTGGTGCGATCTCGGCTCACTGCAACCTCCACTTCCCATGTTCAAGCAATTCTCCTGCCTCAGCCTCTCGGGAAGCTGGGATGACAGGTGTACCACCTCGCCTGGCTAATTTTTGTATTTTTAGTAGAGATGGGGTTTCGCCATGTTGGCTAGGCTGGTCTCGAACTCCTGGCCTCAGATGATCCACCCGCCTTGGCCTCCCAAAGTGTTGGGGTTACAGGCATGAACCATTGCACCCAACCCCTCAATGGCATATTAAAGGCTCTGAGCTGTCTTATAACAAAGACCTCCCTGCCCATTCCGCAGTTGGTTAATGTATTAGTCCATTGTCCCATTGCTATAAAGAAATGGCTGAGACTGAGTAATTTATAAAGAAAAGAGGTTTAATTGGCTCACTGTTCTGCAGGCTGTACAGGAAGTATGGCTGTGGAAGCCTCAGGAAGCTTACAGTCATGATGGAAGACAAAAGGGAAGCGGGTATGTCTTACATGGTGGGAGCAGGAGCAAGAGAACCAATGGGAACATGCCACACACTTTCAAACAACCAGATCTCATTGGAACTCTATCACAAGACAGCACTGGGGGAGGATGGTGCGAAACCATTTATGAAGGATCCACCCCCATGATCCAATCACCTCCCACCAGGCCCCATCTCCAACACTGGGGATTACAATTCAACATGAGATTTGGGTGGGGACAGAGTCAAGCCATATCAGTTAATATCTCTTGGAAGAAATTTTGGGAGTAGGATTAAGAACATTGGATTGGTTGCCAGGAAATTTGGTGCTAGAGCTGGTTCTGCTGCTACCTGGTTTGTGGACCTTGGGCAAGCCACTTCCCCTTTCTGTGCCTCACTTTCTCCCGGCATATAACAGAGTTAGGGTTGTGCCATCTGTGGTAGTTAGAGTTGGTATTAACAATTCTTCACACCCTCTTCCCTGTTAAAGGATTATACATCTCTGTCCCTTGACTTTGAGCTTAGCCAGGGGACATGCTTTAGCCACTGAAATGTGAGCAAATAAGAGTTAAGCCAGGTGCTTGCACAAGCTCTATCTAAGAAGTACAGTGGGATCTCCTGCCAGCCCTCTTGCTCTTTTTCTCTGCCTTGAGACCCACATGACTGCTTCTTGAGTTTGGGTCCCAGAATGAGAAGATGCATGGAGCAGAGCAACAGCCGGGGCCCCAGTAATATAGTGAGAAAGGTGTGTTTGCTGTTGTGGCCACTGAAAATCTGGGGCTGTTTGTTGCTGCAGCAACACTGACTAATACACTGCAAGCTCAGTGTATTAGTCAGCTCTGATATTCTAGCATTCTTGAATGTGTCTCCCCCATCCCCAGGTTGTCTCTTCTAATTTTCACATCCTCATCTTCCTCCTGCCCACGAAGATGCTCGTGACACTTCTCCCTTCAAAATCTCCGAGTTGCCCCCTTCACCCCCTACACATGGAGATCCAACAATCTGTGGTGTGAGCAGAACAAGAACCTAAGCCGCTCACTCTAGGACTTGGGTGGGTTTGGGCATTTGTGAAACCTGTGGGTGCTTGAGCCAGATGTTTAGTAGTCTGGACGCCTAAGAGGCCACCTAGGAAAAAACCCATCCAAAGATAAGAGCCAGTAGATCTTCCATTCCAACTTAGTATAATAATACTGTCCTGGTATGGGGATTCTGGAATCTTGTAGGACAGAGACGGAAGGAGTCCAGGGAATATTGAGTTTGGATTGTGTATGATGGAGTCAAGGAACGACTTTGCCATTCATCTGACAGCTCAGAGGCTTGTGGCTCCAGAGATGGGATCTGGGTCCCTGGCATGGAAATTGTCAAGGTCCTGACTACCCCAACCCCAGCCCAGGTTTGCTGAATGTGGGTGAGGACCATTGTCAGCCGAGAGAGGGAACAGGGCCTTGGCATCTCATACAATCAGTACAGGGAAGGTAAAAAAAGTAAGTGGAGGATGCTGCAGGGTGGCTTAAAGGCCTGCGTCCTGCCCCCCATGAATAGAATTTAGTGGGGATGCTCCAAGGAGGCTTGGGGATCTGCAATGGCAAGCACAACAAAGCCAGGAATGTGGGTTGTGTTGTGACTGTGATGTGGGTGTTTACCTTTGGGGGATGTGGCCCAGCATAACACGCTTAGAGACACTAGGGCTTTTAAAAACTGCCCTGTAGCCTGGGCACAGTAGCTCGTGCCTGTAATCCCAGCACTTTGGGAAGCAGAGATGGGAGGATTGCTTAAGGCCAGGAATTCAAGACCAGACTGGGCAACATGGTGAGACCGCATCTCTATAAAAAAAAAAAAAAGCAAATTTGCTGGGCATGGTGGTGCACACCTGTAATTCCAGCTACTTGAGAGGCTGAGGCAGGAGTGTCACTTGAAGCCAGGAGTTCAAGGATGCAATGAGCTATAATCTCACCACTGCACTCCAGCCTGGGTGACAGAGAGAGACCCTGTCTCTAAAAATATTTTTAAAAAATGAAAAAATGTAAAAAAAAAATACATCCCTGCCCTATAAATCTGTCCTGAGGAAATACTTCAAGATGGGTAAAGATGCACAAGGATTCAGGAAATGCTCATGGCAGGGTTGTTTGTAATATCATGACGTCGTATCCCTGTCAGTGGGGAATTGTTAAGAGTCCATTCATCAATGAAGCTCTCACAGTTCCAAAAAAGCAAGCTCTGCACGGAGTGTATTACCTTGGAAAGACATCTTCATACACAATGGTGCCCATATTGTGGATTCTTCTTTCTTATTATATAAAACCATCTATAGTCCATCTACAGCCTTGGAAGTCCATTCTTGCAGAGCAGGGAGAGGAACTGAAGAAAAGGGAGATGAGCCTTTATACATTTATGCTTTTTGATATTTTATAATGAACCAGTACTTCTTTTTTTATTATTATACTTTAGTTCTAGGGTACATGTGCACAACGTGCAGGTTTGTTGCATATGTATACATGTGCCATGTTGGTGTGCTGCACCCATTAATTCGTCATTTACATTAGGTATATCTCCTAATGCTATCCCTCCCCCCTCCCCCCACCCCACAACAGGCCCCAGTGCGTGATGTCCCCCTTCCTGTGTCCAAGTGTTCTCATTGTTCAATTCCCACCTATGAATGAGAACATGTGATGTTTGGTTTTTTGTCCTTGAGATAGTTTGCTGAGAATGATGGTTTCCAGCTTCATCCATGTCCCTACAAGGACATGAACTCATCATTTTTTATGGCTGCATAGTATTCCACGGTGTATATGTGCCACATTTTCTTAAGCCAGTCTATCATTGTTGGACATTTGGGTTGGTTCCAAGTTCGTTCCAAGTCTTTGCTATTGTGAATAGTGCTGCAATAAACATACGTGTGCATGTGTCTTTACAGCAGCATGATTTATAGTCCTTTGGGTATATACCCAGTAATGGGATGGCTGGGTCAAATGGTATTTCTAGTTCTAGATCCCTGAGGAATCGCCACACTGTCTTCCACAATGGTTGAACCAGTTTACAGTCCCACCAACAGTGTAAAAGTGTTCCTATTTCTCCATATCCTCTCCAGCACCTGTTGTTTCCTGACTTTTTAATGATTGCCATTCTAACTGGTGTAAGATGGTATCTCATTGTGGTTTTGATTTGCATTTCTCTGATGGCCAGTGATGATGAGCATTTTTTCATGTGTCTGTTGGCTACATAAATGTCTTGAGAAGTGTCTGCTCATATCCTTTGCCCACTTTTTGATGGGGTTGTTTGTTTTTTTCTTGTAAATTTGTTTGAGTTCATTGTAGATTCTGGATATTAGCCCTTTGTCAGAAGAGTAGATTGAAAATTTTTCTCCCATTCTGTAGGTTGCCTGTTCACTCTGATGGTAGTTTCTTTTGCTGTGCAGAAGCTCTTTAGTTTAATTTGTCAATTTTGGCTTTTGTTGCCATTGCTTTTGGTGTTTTAGACATGAAGTCCTTGCCCATGCCTATGTCCTGAATGGTATTGCCTAGGTTTCCTTCTAGGGTTTTTATAGTTTTAGGTCTAACATTTAAGTCTTTAGTCCATCTTGAATTAATTTTTGTATAAGGTGTAAGGAAGGGATCCAGTTTTAGCTTTCTTCATATGGCTAGCCAGTTTTCCCAGCACCTTTTGTTAAATGTGGAATCCTTTCCCCATTTCTTGTTTTTGTCAGGTTTGTCAAAGATCAGATAGTTGTAGACATGCGGCATTATTTCTGAGGGCTCTGTTCTGTTCCATTGGTCTATATCTCTGTTTTGGTACCAGTACCATGCTGTTTTGGTTACTGTAGCCTTGTAGTATAGTTTGAAGTCAGGTAGCGTGATGCCTCCAGCTTTGTTCTTTTGGCTCAGGATTGACTTGGCAATGCGGGCTCTTTTTTGGTTCCATATGAACTTTAAAGTAGTTTTTTCCAATTCTGTGAAGAAAGCCATTGGTAGCTTGATGGGCATGGCATTGAATCTATAAATTACCTTGGGCAGTATGGCCATTTTCACGATATTGATTCTTCCTATCCATGAGCATGGAATGTTCTTCCATTTGTTTGTATCCTCTTTTATTTCAATGAGCATTGGTTTGTAGTTCTCCTTGAAGAGGTCCTTCACATCCCTTGTAAGTTGGATTCCTAGGTATTTTATTCTCTTTGAAGCAATTGTGAATGGGAGTTCACTCATGATTTGGCTCTCTGTTTGTCTGTTATAAGTGTATAAGAATGCTTGTGATTTTTGTACATTAATTTTATATCCTGAGACTTTGCTGAAGTTGCTTATCAGCTTAAGGAGACTTTGGGCTGAGACGATGGGGTTTTCCAGATATACAATCATGTCATCTGCAAACAGGGACAATTGACTTCCTCTTTTCCTAATTGAATACCCTTTTTTTCTTTCTCCTGCCTGATTGCCCTGGCCAGAACTTCCAACACTATGTGGAATAGGAGTGGGGAAAGAGGGCATCCCTGTCTTGTGCCAGTTTTCAAAGGGAATGCTTCCAGTTTTTGTCCATTCAGTATGATATTGGCTGTGGGTTTGTCATAAATAGCTCTTATTATTTTGAGATATGTCCCATCAATACCTAATTTATTGAGAGTTTTTAGCATGAAGGGCTGTTGAATTTTGTCAAAGGCCTTTTCTGCATCTACTGAGATAATCATGTGGTTTTTGTCATTGGTTCTGTTTATATGCTGGATTACATTTATTGATTTGTGTATGTTGAACCAGCCTTGCATTCCAGGGATGAAGCCCACTTGATCATGGTGGATAAGCCTTTTGATGTGCTGCTGGATTCGGTTTGCCAGTATTTTATTGAGGATTTTTGCATCGATGTTCATCGGGGATATTGGTCTAAAATTCTCTTTTTTTTGTTGTGCCTCTGCCAGGTTTTGGTATCAGGATGATGCTGGCCTCATAAAATGAGTTAGGGAGGATTCCCTCTTTTTCTATTTGATTGGAATACTTTCAGAAGGAATGGTACCAGCTCCTCTTTGTACCTCTGGTAGAATTCGGCTGTGAATCTTTCTGGTCCTGGACTTTTTTTGGTTGGTAAGCTATTAATTATTGCCTCAATTTCAGAGCCTGTTATTGGTCTAGTCAGAGATTCAACTTCTTCCTGGTTTAGTCTTGGGAGAGTGTATGTGTCGAGGAATTTATCCATTTCTTCTAGATTTTCTAGTTTATTTGCGTAGAGGTGTTTATAGTATTCTCTGATGGTAGTTTGTATTTCTGTGGGATTGGTGGTGATATCCCCTTTATCATTTTTTATTGCGTCTATTTGATTCTTCTCTCTTTTCTTCTTTATTAGTCTTGCTAGCGGTCTATCAATTTTGTTGATCTTTTCAAAAAACCAGCTCCTGGATTCATTGATTTTTTGAAGGGTTTTTTGTTTCTCTATCTCCTTCAGTTCTGCTCTGATCTTAATTATTTCTTCCCTTCTGCCAGCTTTTGAATGTGTTTGCTCTTGCTTCTCTAGTTCTTTTAATTGTGATGTTAGGGTGTCAATTTTAGATCTTTCCTACTTTCTCTTGAGGGCATTTAGTGCTATAAATTTCCCTCTACACACTGCTTTAAATGTGTCCCAGAGATTCTGGTATGTTGTGTCTTTGTTCTCATTGATTTCAAAGAACATCTTTATTTCTGCCTTCATTTCATTATGTACCCAGTAGTCATTCAGGAGCAGATTGTTCAGTTTCCATGTAGTTGAGCAGTTTTGAGTGAGTTTCTTGATCCTGAGTTCTAGTTTGATTGCACTGTAGTCTGAGAGACAGTGTGTTATAATTTCTGTTCTTTTACATTTGCTGAGGAGTGCTTTACTTCCAACTGTGTGGTCAATTTTGGAGTAAGTGCGGTGTGGTGCTGAGAAGAATGTATATTCTGTTGATTTGGGGTGGAGAGTTCTGTAGATGTCTATTAGGTCTGCTTGGCGCAGAGCTGAGTTCAATTCCTGGATATCCTTGTTAACTTTCTGTCTCGTTGATCTGTCTAATGTTGACAGTGGGGTGTTAAAGTCTCCCATTATTATTGTGTGGGAGTCTAAGTCTCTTTGTAGGTCTCTAAGGACTTGCTTTATGAATCTGGGTGCTCCCAGATTGGGAGCATATATATTTAAGATAGTTAGCTCTTCTTGTTGAATTGATCCCTTTACCATTATGTAATAACCTTCTTTGTCTCTTTTGATCTTTGTTGGTTTAAAGTCTGTTTTATCAGAGACTAAGATTGTAACCCTTTCCTTTTTTTTGTTTTCCATTTGCTTGGTAGGGCTTCCTCCATCCCTTTATTTTGAGCCTATGTGTGTCTCTGCATGTGAGATGGGTTTCCTGAATACAGCACACTGATCGGTCTTGACTCTTTATCCAATTTGTCAGTCTGTGTCTTTTAATTGGAGCATTTAGCCCATTTACATTTAAGGTTAATATTGTTATGTGTGAATTTGATCCTGTCATTATGATGTTAGCTGGTTATTTTGCTTGTTAGTTGATGCAGTTTCTTCCTAGCCTTGATGGTCTTTACAATTTGGCATGTTTTTGCAGTGGCTGGTACTGGTTGTTCCTTTCCATGTTTAGTGCTTCCTTCAGGAGCTCTTGTAGGGCAGGCCTGGTGGTGACAAAATCTCTCAGCATTTGCTTGTCTGTAAAGTATTTTATTTCTCCTTCACTTATAAAGCTTAGTTTGGCTGGATATGAAATTCTGGGTTGAAAATTCTTTTCTTTAAGAATGTTGAATATTTGCCCCCACTCTCTTCTGGCTTGTAGAGTTTCTACCGAGAGATCAGCTGTTAGTCTGATGGGCTTCCCTTTGTGGGTAACCCGACCTTTCTCTCTGGCTGCCCTTAACATTTTTTCCTTCATTTCAACTTTGGTGAATCTGACAATTATGTGTCTTGGAGTTGCTCTTCTCGAGGAATATCTTTGTGACGTCTGTATTTCCTGAATTTGAATGTTGGCCTGCCTTGATAGGTTGGGGAAGTTCTCCTGGATAATATCCTGCAGAGTGTTTTCCAACTTGGTTCCATTCTCCCCGTCACTTTCAGGTACACTGATCAGACGTAGATTTGGTCTTTTCACATAGTCCCATATTTCTTGGAGGCTTTGTTCATTTTACTCTTTTTTCTCTTAACTTCTCTTCTTGCTTCATTTCATTCATTTGATCTTCCGTCACTGATGCCCTGTCTTCCAGTTGATCAAATCGGCTACTGAAGCTTGTGCATTCGTCACGTAGTTCTCATGCCATGGTTTTCAGCTCCATCGGGTCCTTTAAGGACTTCTCTGCATTGGTTATTCTAGTTAGCCATTTGTCTAATCTTTTTTCAAGGTTTTTAACTTATTTGCATTGGGTTCAAACTTCCTCCTTTAGCTCAGAGAATTTTGATCATCTGTAGCCCTCTTCTCTCAACTTGTCAAAGTCATTCTCCCTCCAGCTTTGTTCCGTTGCTGGTGAGGAGCTGCGTTCCTTTGGAGGAGGAGAGAAGCTCCGGTTTTCAGAATTTTCAGTTTTTCTGCTCTGTTTTTTTCCCATCTTTGTGGTTTTATCTACCTTTGGTCTTTGATGATGGTGACTACAGATGGGGTTTGGTGTGGATGTCCTTTTTGTTTGTTAGTTTTCCTTCTAACAGTCAGGACCCTCAGCTGCAGGTCTGTTGGAATTTGCTGGAGGTCCACTCCAGACCCTGTTTGCCTGAGTATCAGCAGCAGAGGCTACAGAACAGCGAATATTGGTGAACAGCAAATGTTGCTGCCTAATCGTTCCTCTGGAAGTTTCGTCTCAGAGGGGTACTTGGCCATGTGAGTTGTCAGTCTGCCCCTACTGGGGGGTGCCTCCCAGTTAGGCTACTCGGGGGTCAGGGACCCACTTGAGGAGGCAGTCTGTCCATTCTCAGATCTCAAGCTGCATGCTGGGAGAACCACTACTCTCTTCCAAGCTGTCAGACAGGGACATTTAAGTCTTCAGAGGTTTCTACTGCCTTTTGTTCGGCTATGCCCTGCCCCCAGAGGTGGAGTCTACAGAGGCAGGCAGGCCTCCTGGAGCTGTGGTGGGCTACCCAGTTCGAGCTTCCGGGCCGCTTTGTTTACCTACTCAAGCTTCAGCAATGGCGGGCGCCCCCCCCACTCCAGCCTCGCTGCCGTGTTGCAGTTTGATCTCAGACTGCTGTGCTAGCAATGAGCAAGGGTCCGTGGGTGTAGGACCCTCTGAGCCAGGCGTGGGATATAATCTCCTGGTGTGCCGTTTGCTAAGACTGTCGGAAAAGCACAGTATTAGGGTAGGAGTGACCCGATTTTCCAGGTGCCATTTGTTCCCCCTTCCCTTGGCTAGGAAAATGAATTCCCTGACCCCTTGCACTTCCCGGGTGAGGCGATACCTCACCCTGCTTTGGCTCACACTTGGTACACTGCACCCACTGTCCTGCACCCACTGTCCGACAATCCCCAGTGAGATGAACCCGGTACCTCAGTTGGAAATGCAGAAATCACCTGTCTTCTGTGTCGCTCATGCTGGGAGCTGTAGACTGGAGCTGTTCCTATTCGGCCTTCTTGGACAGGAGGTGAACAGGTACTTCTTTAAGCAAGACAGCAATAAAGATATTTCCATTCTGAAAAAAAAAGTGTTTTTCCCCCAAGGAAACACCTAATGTTGCTTATGAATGATGTGTTGGCTTCCTGGCCTCTTGTTGCAACAAGGAGAGTTCCCTGCTTTATTTTTCCAATTAATATTGGGGTGAAAACCATGCAAAGCAAATTACTTTTGGATCCGTGGTAGCTTACTCATAACTTTTTCCAGCAGAAAAATTTCCACCTTGGCTCAAACACAATTGATCCCCAAGGCACACTACTGAAACTTTGGGGTAAAATTGCAGAGTACTCAAGGCACTGGCTGTGCAGTCCCACAAAGACAGGGTTTGCATCCTGTGATCATGACTTTTTAGCTGTGAGCTGGGCTTGTGTTCTGGGCCTCAGTTCCCTCAGATGAGAAAGAGATGACCACAGTGCTCTCCTCCCCACCACAGTCGAGGGAAATTCACAGGGTTCTGGGTATTAACCACTCAGCTGTGTGCTTACACAGAAACCAACCCAATAAACAGATCACTCTGCATCTTATTTATTTTTCTGTGCTTCTCCTTCTTGTTTTTTTTTTTCCTGTTCTTCTGCCTTATTTTTGTTCTACCACTCATGGTCAGCCCAGTCTTTCTCCATAAGTTCTTTATGTCCAGATGGAGAAAGGACTTCCTTTCTTCTCCTAATAAAAAGCAAGAGAACAAATTGGCCTGGTATTTGTTTATCTGTATCTGTGCTATCCAGCACTGTAGCCAAGGTATGCTTTGGCCACAGCGACAGCAAGCACCTAAGCCTGCTCACTCCAGGACTTAGATGGGGTTGGGCATTGGTGAAGCCTGTGGGTGCTTGAGCCAGGAGGTTAGTAGTCTGGAGAAGCAAGAGGCCCCCTAGCAAATAATCCAACCAAAGGTAAGAGCCAGTAGATCTTCCAGTCCACCTTAGCACAATAATACTGCCTGGCACAGGGGGTTTGGAATCTTCTGATTTCAGAGAGCACAGGCAGTAAACCTTCACATCCACCAGGCTGCGGAGTGCATGAGCTGTGGGGGTGTGGCTGGCGCCACCTAGATTTCAAAAGATGGAACCGCCTGCAGTCTCTGGCATGCAATGAACTCAGAGGGGCACCTGCAGGGCAAGCCCACTGCAGAGAGCCTTCACTAGGGCAATGCCTAGTGGGAGTCGTGAGAATGGGGCAGCCTTCTAGACTCCAGACTAGTGAAACCATCAACATGCAATTCCAGTCTGGGAGAGCCACAGGCATGAGACTCCAACCTGGGAGAACTACAGTGTGGGCTCGGTCCAGTGAAGCTTTGGGGGCAAAGCCACCCCAAAGCCTTGTGACCTCAAATCCCACCCCAGTGTGTCCAGAAGGTAGGACATGCAGTCAGCGGAGGTTAGTCTCAAGCATGAAGATTTAGCATTGTTTGGACTTACTTGAGTCCTATTGCCCCTTTCTCCCTTCCCATTTTTCCCTTTGGGAATGGGAATGTCTGTCTTCTGCCTGCCCCAATATTGTATCTGGGTGCACATAACTTGCTTGATTTCACAGGCTTATAGCTGGACAGCAATTTGCTTCAGGATGAATCCTACTTTGAGTCTCACCATATCTGATTTAGATGAAATTTAGATGAGACTTTGGACTTTAAATTTTTGGTTGATGCTAGAATAAGTGAAGACTTTTGGGGCTATTGAGATGGAACTAATGTATTTTGCATGTGAAAATGACATGAATTTAGGGGGGCTGGGGCAGAATGCTATGGTCTGTATGTTTGTGTCACCCTAAAATTTATAAGTTGAAACCTAGTCCTCAATGCAATAGTACTAACAGGTGGAGCCTTTAGGAGGTAATTAGGTCATAAAAGCAGAGTCCTTAAGAAGGGGATTAGGGACATCTTAGTCTGTTCTATGCTGCTGTAACAGAATAGTTGAGACTGGATAATTTACACAGAACAGAAATTTATTGGCTCATGGTTCTGGAGGCTGAGAAGTCCAAGACCAAGGCACTACCTCTGGTGAGGGCTTTCTCACTGCATCATCCCATAGATGAAGTAAGAGAGGGAACAAGAGAGGGATGAACTTGCTTTTATAACAAATCCAGTCTCTTGATAATGAACCCATTCCCTGGATAATAATGTGAAATCATTCATGAGCATGAGGGTAGAGTCCTTATAACCTAATCACCTCTTAAAGTTTTCATTTCTCATTACTGTTGCATTAAGGATTGTTTCCAACACATGAACTTGGGGAGACATTCAAACCACAGCAGCAAGCTTATAAAGGGGGATCTGAGGAAGATTGTTCACCTCTTCTGCCATGCGAGGACATACAGAAGTCACCATCTACAAGGAATGGGCCATCACAAGACACAGAATCTGCTTCCACCTTGATCTTTTTTATTTTTATTTTTTGAGACAAGGTCTCACTTTGTCACCCAGGCTGGAATGCAGTGGTACAAATACAGCTCACTGTGGTCTCAACTTCCCAGGCTCAAGCAATTCTTCCACCTCAGCCCACTGAGTACCTGGGACTACAGGTGCATGCCACTATGCCCAGTGAATTAAAAAACATTTTTTTTTTAGAGATGGGGTCTCACTGTGTTGCCCAGGCTGGTTTCAAACTCCTGGGCTCAAGTGTTCCTCCTGCCACAGCCTCCCAAAATGCTGGGATTACAGGCATGAGACACCACGCCCAGCCCATCTTGATCTTGAGTTTCTTAGCCTACAGAACTTGAGCAACAAATTTCCATTGTTTATAAATTGCATCATCTGTGGCATTTTGTTATAGCAGCACAAACAGACTAAGTCACCCGCACAGAGATATCCATGTGTTAAAGTCGCTTAGCACAATGCCCTGCCCCCAGAGCTCCAAACATGGGGAGTCCTTTTTAGAAAGAAGTCACCACCCTATGATTTCATTCCTTTTTCTGTTTTGTTTTATGAGGTACTATTACATATTTTGTTACACAAACAAAACACAACAGTAAATTAAGCCCCTCGACCTGGGGACATAGAGCGCCTCCAGAACCCAGGCTCCTGTAGTCTTGTGGGCAGCCCACATGCGGTTGAACTTGGGTGCACCCACCTCTTTCACAGCTGCAGCCACGGCTCTACTCAATTCCCCTTCACCGCCAATCTGTCCTCACCAATCAGCCCTCTCCCCCCGAATCACACTCTTCCTCAAACTCAGTTTATTTGGCTTTGCCAGTACAGGAACTAAGTCAACAAGAGGGCTGGCGTGCAGTATGTCCTGTCAAACGGGCGGCTGCTAAATGAGAACACGTAATCCAAACATGCATCTCCGCAGTGAGTGCACAGCATGATCCTCCAACATTCCTTTGCGATTAGGGGTCATTGTGCTTCCCCACATTCGGGTCAGAAGATTCTACCCAGGAGGGAAGACCTGGGACAGGCACCAGGATCATGCATTTTGGGCTCCTGGAGGCACTGGATATCTCTGTGACAGGCACCAGGATCATGCATTTTGGGCTCCTCGAGGCACTGGATATCTCTGCTCACCTTTCTCAAGAAGAAGCCAAGGTCTGCAAAATGCCCGGAATGGAAATGATTGAAACTGACATGAGCTACTTCCCACTGGAGAGAACGCCCTGCTGCTCCATGTGAAAGACTGGGCCATGGGCAGGCTCACCATCTACACCCGGAATAAAAGCAGGAAGGAGGATGAGTGGTCAGGCATTATCTCCACACCAGACGGGAGAGCATTTATCTTCTCCTTTCTCTCATCTGTCCAACGCTGAGGGTTGTTTGGGCAGGGAACAGAGGGCACGTCAGGAAACGGCAGCAACAACCAGGCCAGCAGAATTGCCTGCATGGCCACGAACTGCCACTGAGTCCCAGCACAGCCTGGTTTGGCCTGAGAATTAGTAAATTCAGCCCTCCCTGACAGATACAGCCAAAGGTTTATTTATAAAATCGAAGTAAAAGAATGACATTTGGGTATTTTAATAAACCATGGGAAATCGAGAGTTCAAGTGGTCCACAGAAGGAAAAAATTAAAAGGCAGTGTGCCTCAATGTTGAATGAAATAATATAATATAATATAATATAATATAAAATACTAAGACCATTCGGGTGTTGGGGTGGATCAGAGCAGAGGACCCCCTCCCCCGCCCCACACTGTGCCACAGACAAGGACAATGACATAAAAGTTTATCCAAATCCTTGAGATAGTGCACTTTTGCCCATGCAAAACATTTCTTCTGCATCATTTACACAATGACATCAGATTTCCTTGTCGTTAGGAAGAAACAAAAACACTATATATTAGTTGTAATTTTGAGGTCAAAAGGAAATTTTTGGACAGATATTTAATGGTATTCAATTATTAGAAACGTCTGTTTGTAAAATAAGGTAATCATCTTCAAAGATCACTCTAAAATAAAAAAGAGGATTTAAAATATTTTTTCACATTTACAGCAAAACATCTTTAACCAAATAAGAAGCCGAATCAGCTTTTCATAATTATGTTTTTAAGTTAGCTGCCTCCAACCCTTTCTGGAACTAGGCAGGGCATAATAAATACGACCTATTTTGAAGCTAAATCTGGAAAATCTGACAGGAAGCCTGCTGGGTGGGACCTGGACCGCCATAGGTGTTCAGCAGAGGACCTAGTGATGGTTGTGTCTGTGTGGCATGCAAAGAGCAGTTTGCAAATTTGAAAAAGATGAAAAAGCAGAGTGAAGATGAACCCATCCAATCCACCATTTGCTTTCAGTCTTCCAAGACCCTGATTGCACCTCTCTGGATTCCACTCAGATCAGACGACATCCAGGAAAACCCAAAGCCAGTTTGTTCATCGAACACCTCACAGGTGCAGCCAGGAATGCATTCTCGGGCCAGATCGGTCGAATTCATTCTCTTGAAAACGAAGCCCCCTCCTCTTCCTTAAACTACCCTCCACCAGAGTCCCACTGTGGCCCTCTCTGTCATGTTCTCTTGGGTGGGTAAGGGACATCTCTGCTTGGCCCTTGCCTTATGTGTGAAATTCTGCTGGAGAGTAGCCAGGACTAACCTCACTCTGTATCACTAAAAGTCGCAGGGAGGAGAGTCCGTGGCAGATGGGAGAGGCTGTGGATGGGATTAGTTACAGGTAGAATGCAGATTGCAATCATCTGCATGTTTTTCAGGCAAGGCCGAAAGCTGGAACACCCATCCATGGATAAGCGGTTATAAACAATGATCAGTGAAGGAAAGGGGATGGTTTCATCCTGATAAATGCATGGCACATAAGGAAACAATGGAAGTGAGTGCTTGGAATTTTGCAGATAGAATCCAGTACATTTTCGTCTACTCAACCCACGCTTTCCTGCCAAAGAGCTATAGCCCATGCCCATCCAACAAAAACACATCTGAGAACACACTGGACACCTTTTAAACCCATGAAGGAGACAAGAAAGTTGGTGCATTAAGGCTTATAACAAACGTCGGGTCTGTGGAACCATTAATAAAAACCTAATTGCCTTCAGCGTGGATTTGTCCCACTGTCTTACTCTGAGTTGAAAAATCTAATAAAAGAAAATATAGCCCTAAACGTGCAGACCATGTTACCTACCGTTACCTACAGTCCTAAAGGTTTCTTTTGTCAGGAAGCCCCAGGGAGTTCACAAAAATAAATGAAACCTAGGGGGAAATTAAGCTTGAGAGAAAGTTATTGAGGAGATGGGATATGGTAAGAACGTTCTATGTGGCAGTCAGGAATGCTAGGTTGACAGATGTAGCTAATTCTGAAAGAATAACTTCCTATTTGAATAACAAGTAAAAGGTGTTTAAAGAGAGAAAGGTTATAGTTTACTTCAGCAGGTACAGCTTCTGGGGAGTGTTACATAAATATTGTTTAAAAGCAATGTGTTGTTTTCCTTCACTTTGACAGGTAGAAAGAACACAAGACCATTAGCGTCTTTCCTCCTTGGCTGGTGTGTTACAGGAATCAGGCTCTCCCAGGCACGTCTGCTATATTCAGGGGAAATCAGGAATTTAGGTTTTATATTTTTTATTTAAAAATGGGAGGCATGCTTGTTAGTTTGACATTTGGTTTGGCTTTGAACTTTTCAGAGTTTTAAAAGACAAATATTGGCTTGCTAGTGTTTATTGTACACTGAGCTTGATATGTTCTTTGGGGCCAGATCACATAAGATGAGTCATTTTCCTGGACAAGTCCTGGAGCAACAGTTCATAAGGAATATTTCTGTAGCTTCTTAAAGGGCAGTTTATTAGCCAGAAATAGTTAGGGCAAGATTCAAGTGGCACAGTCTTTTAATACTAATAAGAATAATCATAATAGTAGTAATAATAAGCAACTGTAGGAGTAGTGTCTCAGTTATCTGTTGCTGTGTAACAAACAACTCCAACAATTCATACCTTAAAACAACAATCATTTTATTATAGCCCCCAATTTTGTGCTGTGAATTTGGGAAGGGCTCAGTTGGGCAATTCTTCTGTTGCACATGGTGTTGATGGATGGAGGTCATTGCTGGTACCAGTTGGTTAGGCTGGAGGGACTGTGATGTCTGGCACCTTGATGGGGATAGCTAGAAGGCTGGGCTCAGCTAGGACTGTGGAGCAGAATGCTCCATCTTACTTGCCCAGTATGGAGGTCTCAGGGTAGCACTCCAAGAGCAAGTGTTCCCATAAACAAGGAAGGAGAGGTATGCCCTTTTATGACCCAGCCTCAAAGTCACATTCCTATATCCCAGTGGTCAAGGCAGTTAGAGTCCACACAGATTCAAGGGACAGGAACATAGATTTACTCTCCCCTCCATCCCCCCCACCTGAAAAGAAAGAAGTGCAAAAGGATTTTTAACCCATTTGAAAAACTACCACAAGTGTTATAGTAATAGCTAACATTGATTGAATGTTTCCCATGTGCCAGGCAAACTCTGTGAACTTTACTTGTATTAAGTTACTTAATTCTTCAACAATCCTATGAAATAGGTATAATATTCTCCTTTTTATTGACAAAAAAACTGAAGAACAGAGTGGGGAGCTGGGCAATTATCAAGAGAATGTGATTGATGGAGACAAGCAATTGGGAATAATTAGGTCAAAGGTCCCTCTGTTTCCTGGAGCACCAGTTGGCCATGGTCGAGTTTCTGCCAGAATCACCTGGAGCTCTGTAGGCCCCACAGTGTGGGAGGAGTGAACTGGGGTGGGGGAGGTCCCCCTAGACCCACTTGGCCCAGGCTAGAGCTTGCACATATATTTGTTCAAGGAATAAATAATAAGGAATAAATGAATGAATAATGTGTCTAACACACACAATCTGCTTGGTTGGTAAGATTTGGCTAACTGGGAAATTAATTGTTTTCATGAGCACTCTGGCGAATGTCTGGGTTCCTCACCTTCTTCCTGGCCAATAGAATCTCCATTCTGTTTCAGTGTTGGGCAAGCCCAGGGGAGGGTCTTCTCTAGCCCCAGGGGATGAATCACAGCAGGGGGATCCTGGGCCTCCTTGCCAGTCATTGGTCTAGTGGTGAGGATATGACCTAGTTCTGGATCAACAGACCAAGGAGAACATGCTGGAATTTCTGGGGAAGATGTTCTTCCCTAACAAAAGGTGGCCATAGGGTAACCAACTTGTCCCAGTTAACTTGGGACTTTCTAGTAACCCCTCAGCCTTGGGCAAAGGGAGTTGGCTCGTCACCCTATGTGTTCCTGTTTGAAATGTTGTTGCATCTACAGCTTTAGAGACATCTTCTGATCATGAGGTCATGAGTTTAAAGATGAAAATCTAACTTACTGTGACTAGCCAAGCAGAAAAAGCTCCTTCCATGACATCACTGAGCCACACGACAGCAACCCTGGAATTTTCTGACTGTTGTTATGTGACTATAATGATAATTAAGTCATTGTCTTCACTGCTTAAGCCACTCTTAGTTGGGTTTGCCATTATTTGCAGCTGAAAGTAATCCTGATAGAATCAATAAAATGCCAGGGGAAAATATGCAGGGAAAAGTAAATGGAATAAGACCAGTTGAGTACAAGTCATGCAGAAAGCAAGATTTTGAGCACTCCAAGTTCTATATATAGTACACACTGGCCAACCATGGAAGACACTGGGATCCGGGTCTCAGGGTGGAAACTGTTGGGCACCTTCCTGTGCTGCCCCACATACCATCTGTTCAAATATTGTCAAACAGAAAAATCCTGTGTTGAAAAAACTCTATCACAATTCAACTGTAAGTTTTACCTGCTGCAACAGGCAGAGCCATTATTTGAGAATTTCCACAAAACAAATAAGCTTTCACATTTGATTTGGTGAGCCACGTGGGTGACTCGCATGAAAAGCCGTGTCACTTGCATGATTGTGTCTTGTTGATGCGCAAATTTTTCATGCCCCAATAGAGGTGTGTGTGGTTTGGCTCAGTTAAAAAATTCTCCACCCTTCTCTGTAAGCTTAGAAACAAAAGTGCTCTCTTTCCACATCTCTCATCGGCCTTTCATCTGGAGCCTTCCTGTGAGTTGGATTGACTGAGTGCTTGGAATTTAAAAGGGAGGTCTCCCTTCGGACTGGCTCCCAGAAATGCACCGGACCTCCAGGCACCCCTTTACTGTCATTTGCTGTGGGAGTCTTGTGCCTTTTGTCTCCATTCCAAGTTAGAAGTCCCCTCTAGCCCTTCATTTCCCTCTGGCGGTGTGGGTGACCAACCTGGGCAGGCAAGAATTGCTGATGTCGAATCACAAGTTAAATAAAATAGAACTACCTTCTACAAGACACTTTATAATACATTCAGGGCACAGTTCTCAACCTTGGCATTATTGACATTTGGGGCTGGATCACTTTTTCTTGTGAGCGGTTGTCCTGTGCATTGTCGGATGTTTATCCCTGGCTTCTCCCCACTAAATTCTAGGAGCACTCCTCCCTCCCATTGTGTAATTAAAAATGTTTCCAGATGTTGCCAAATGTCCCCTGGAGGGAAAATTGCCCCTGGTTAAGTACCAGAGCTTTCAGGGAACATAGATGTTATTACATGGAAGTTATGAGGTTCATTGAAGCTCACTGGCTCACATACCAGAATGGAGACACTCATTTGGGAGGGGTTGCCATTAGTGAGTGAGATGGCCAGGACCTCCAATCAGTTCAATGTTTTGGTGAATGTAGGAGAAAGGTGGAGAAAAGGAAAGGTGAGTCCGTAAGTTCTCCAGCATTTGATGAAAATGTTCCCATGAGTCCCAACCCATTGAGTTTGCATTTGATATTCAAAACGCTTTTTTGAGCCAATAGTGCATGCAATTGTTGGGACAGAGGATTCGGACACCAGGAGTGGTGTGGTTGCAGCTGGCTGAAGCCTCTCCATAGACCAGCCTGGGAGCCACACAAGAGTCAAAGTGTCAACAGTATTGGAACCACATGGGCAGGCTGGGAGGGGACAGTGGAGGCCTGGCCTGGCCGTTCAAAGGGAATGGATTCCTGTGGGGTAGATGGCACTGGAATGCACCTGCTGCCTGATAATGTCATCAACCAACAGATGCACACTGAGCTCTGCCCCAGTGTGACGTGACGTTGAGTGCTGGGGCCTAAAGTCCCCCCGGGAGTCCTCAGGCTGGCTGGGGAGTCAGGTACAGAAATGAGGGGAAGCCGATGCCCTCCAGACACAATTAGGGGGTGCAGACCATTGGTGCTGGAGGAGCTCGGAGGGGAGGAGGCAGGCGTGGGTCCCCTGGAGGCCAGAGAGAGCCCTGCATCCACAGGGGGACACCGGCCCCGGCAAAGATCAGGCCAAGGGCTGAGGTGCTCGTTCTCAGGGTCACCTTCAGAAATAATGAGCAGGGAAGCAGTTTGGGGGAATAGCGTGAGGTGAGGTGGGAGGTGTGGAGCTAGGGGAGTGTGGAGGATCCCTGGATGCTGGGCCCAGGAGGCCAGGGCCCTGAGATGGACGTCAGAAAGGGAACCACGGATGGGTTTCTGCACAGAATCAAGGGTTTGCAAACACCAGTGACCATGTAAGTGGGATCTGGGCCCAGATGGTGGGGACTCCCCCGGGGCCAGGCCCACGCTCAGCTTACATCAGCCCAGGCCTCTCCCTGAGGAGCCAGCCCTTGT
This sequence comes from Homo sapiens, assembly GCF_000001405.40. NCBI lineage: Eukaryota > Metazoa > Chordata > Mammalia > Primates > Hominidae > Homo > Homo sapiens. The sequence goes on along the minus strand of NC_000021.9, from coordinate 36,606,471 downwards.
CCCTCCCACGGCCCTGCACGCTCCCTGGTCGTGCTCTCTGAATTTTAATGGCAGTAAACAAAACACTCCTCCACAAAGGCCACAGTGTGCGGAAAGCGAGGGCCTGCATGTTTCTCAGCGCCACACCCCATTTATCCCACGCGAATGCAGCCCCCTGAGAAACACACCCCCCACCCCAAAGTGGGGAGTTGGGCAATTACCAAGAGAGTGTGATCGATGGAGACAAGCAATTGGGAATAATTAGGTCAAAAGCCCCTCTGTTTCCTTGAGCTCCAGTTTGCTGAGGTTGAGTTTCTGCCGGAATCACCTGGACCTCTGCAAGCCCCGAAGCACTGGGGAGTGAGAGGAGGGTGAAGGGATCCCCCCAGACCCACCCAGCCCCTCCTGGCTCTGGGGAGGCGAAGGAGCCTCTCAGGGCATCCTGCAGGGTGGAGGGTTGGGCTGTGGCCCTGAGGGCAGGCTCCCGCATCCAGGCATCATCTTGGAGGCACATTTGGAAGCTGCCCCCGGGGTTTCCCCAGGACCCTCATGTGCTAAGGTGACGGGAGCCAGGCTGGGTCCCTCCTCTGACCCTTGAAGTTATCCCAAGATAAGTGGTAACATGTGCCTCTTGCCCACATTGGCACAGAGCCCCAGGGAGCAACTCTGTGAGTTTTCCTACAGCCCCTCGCTCTGGGGGCTTAGAATGAGGACAGACCCCCAGGATCCCTGTTTCCTCTGGCGCCCAGCACCGGACATTGGATCAGGAATGCATGGAACCTGACTCCCCGGGACAAGAGGCTTCTTTCTACAGAAGACTCGGGTCCCTCCTACTCCCCTCCACCAGCTCTCCAGCTGCAATCTAAGCAGCCTGGCTCCAGCTGGGGCCACTGACCTCACAGTAGCTCAGCCTCCATCTCCGGAACTGGTTGACTCCTTCACAACACTATCTGGGGACTCCCTGCTTGGGGATGGGGGCCATGGCGTCTTGGGGTTGTAACGCTGCTGTCCTGTGAGCAAATGGGCCATCTCATGACACTCTTCTCCTTCAGAACACAGTTTTTAGGGTCCATGAGCCAGATGATATCCTAAAGGTTGGGACAGGGAGACAATTGGGACACAGTCCTATTCCTCCCTGAGCACAGAGAGAGCAGGAGACAGACAGGCAGACTGACAAGAAGCAACGCATGTCAGTGAGTGCTTCATGACGCAACAGGGCATCGGCCACCTAAGAAGTCAGAGCTGCTGGCACCCCAAGAAGGCAAACTGCGGCTGCATCAGGTTGGGGGGGGGCACTTCTGCCCAGAGAAGTGGGGGCATTCTCAGAGGAGGGGCCCAGACTTGCCTGTGGGTGGGAAAAGGACGGTGAGTGACTGAAACGTGTGGGGTGGGTGGAAGGCGAGGGACAAGGAGAAGGGACCGTTTTCCATCTTCAAGTCCCAGCACTCAAAATTCAAATTTCCAAGACAGAGACCCTGTGGTCCAGCTTGGTTCCCTCCTGGTCCAGCAATTGGTGTAGTAACAGGGCTTCCATCAGTAGCCAAATCCATGTGCAAAGGCAGAGAGGTGGGTACCTGGGAGAAACAGTCCAGGGTGCTGTTGGCAAAGGGAGGGGGCACTTGGCCTGCCAGTCATCGGTGTGAAGGGGAGAGGGAGGGAATTTGTCCCCCCATGCTGGGATGGCCTGGGAGTGAGAGGAGGTGGAGTGAGCTGGCCAGCCATTGACCACACAGGCCCTGGACGGACTAGTGAGGCAGGAGACCTTGGAGGGGCCTTTGAGGGCCTGCTCCTTCCTTCGGGGGCTTCCCTCCCAGGGCAGCCATCGCCGTTTGCATTGATTGCTAATGAACTACTTTACGAAGGGAGCTCTAATACATGTGCTCATGTGTTCACCACCCTGCAAAGTAGGTGAACTTTCCTCACTTTACGTGCGAGCAAGCTGAGGCTCGGACTCCCTGAGTTCCTCGCCTGAGTCTGCACCACCAGGATGCGGTGGAGTCCAGACTCTGAACTGGGTTCTGAGACTCCCCGTCACTCACCTGTCACTGCCGATACCTCTAGTTGCTGTGGCACTCTCCCAGCCTCTAGGTGTGCTATGTAAGCCATTTAAAAAATAAGTCAGAAGACTCAAATGTTTCCGAAAATATCGTGAGAGCCCCCACAGTAACTGGAGGTCCAGGCAGTGTCTCAGAACCAGGGTGAGCACCCACCTCATCTGCTGGGGGCACCAGTCCCCACTATGGCACCCCTCAAGGGCTGTGGGGATTGTCAGGACTGGAGCCTCCTTGGCCAGGGCAAAGGAGGAAGGAAGATCAAGTACACGGCCAAGTGACCCAGCTGAGTGGGAAATTTTGCCAAGTTCTAAGAGATGAATAAATGACATAATTTTATTCTATTTTAAAATTAAATTTAAAAAAAGTTTGCCCAGGTACTGTGTTCAAAAATCAAAAGAGGTCCCCTGGGTGTGGTGGCTCATGCCTGTAATCTCAGCACTGTGGGGGGCTGAGATGGACAGATCGCTCGAGCCCAGGAGTTTGAGACCAGCTTGGGCAACAAGAAGAAACATGAAGAAACCCTGTCTCTACCCAAACAAAAAAAATGTGTGTTTGTGTGTGTGTGTATCTATATGCATATATATGTATAGATAGATATGTGAGTATATATATACATATTTATATGTATATACATGTATATATACATATTTATATGTATATACATACATAAATTTATATATACACATTATATATATTGTATCTACACACACACACACACACACACACAAATTAGCCGGGTGTGGGGTGGTGACGCATGCCTGTAGTCCCAGCTACTTGGGAGGCTGAGGTGGAAGGATCACTTGAGCCCAAGAGGTCAAGGCTGCAGTGAGCCAAGATTGCAACACTGCACCAGGCTAGGTGACAGAGGAAGACCCTGTCTCAAAAAAAAAAAATCCAAAAGAACACAAGATGGGGACGCAAACTCTTGCCTCGCTGCAGCCTCAGCTTCCTGTCCTCTCCCCACTCTCCTCCCCTCCTTTCTTATGTGTCTTTAGAAAGCATCCTTCACAGACTTTTCATGTTTGCCTTCAAGACTCAGGAAACCCAGCCTGTTTAGTGAATGTTTCATCTGCTCTTCACCTCAGAGAAAGGTCTCTCTCAGCCACTTGCAGGCACTTTCAAATCCTGTTCTGAAGAAACCTTGCTGTGAGGGAAAAACAACTTCATACCTTGTTCATTGGATAAACTAAAGGGAGACCTAAACTCATTCTTCAAAACATAGTCTATCATCTAGGAAGAGGCCTCATGTTTCTTTGACTCCAAAACACTGCTGTTTTATCTAACAGCCAGAAAATACATTAATAAAACCTGAGGGGCCCTTTTCGTTTGGAATCGCCTGTGTCATAACAAGATTCTGGATGCCCAGTTTCCTTCCCATCTGAAAGGGGATGGAGGCTTTGGTGAGTGGCGTTAGCCATGGAATGGTCCTATTCGTGCCACTGAAGAATGTACCAGAATGCAGGAGGACACCAGAGTCATCGGGCAAGAGATGGTTCTTCTCCGTGAAGCAAAATGAACAGAACTTCCCCTCTCTTCATCTTCAGAGGGTTGGCATTTGCCCAGCAAAAGGTAGTCATAAAATATTCTCAGAACCGGTGCCAGTTGCTGAGAGCTGTGTAAACGGCACATCAGAAAGGAACAAATTTCCAGGGAGGGATTCTGGAGTTTTAATGAGCAGCAGTGTGCTCCAAGGCACTAGAAGGGAATGGAGGCCAGCCAGTCTCACCCGCATTTAAGACTTGGAGGCCACAGTGACCTGCAAGTCAGAAAAGCCAGCTGCCTTCCTTGGGGCACGGGCTTTAGGAAGCGCCCAGGCAAGCTGATGGGGAAAATGGAAGGGGAGCCCTGTGGCTTTTCAGGGACCCCCAATATAAAGCTTTTTTATTATTATTTTTTGAGACAGAATCTCTCTCTGTTGCCCAGGCCGGAGTGCACTGGTGCGATCGTGGCTCACTGCAACCTCTGCCTCCCAGGTTCAAACAATTCTCCTGCCTCAGCCTCCCAAGTAGCTGAGACTACAGGCGTGTGCCACCATGCCTGGCTAATTTTTGTATTTTCAGTAGAGAAGGGGTTTCACCGTGTTGGTCAGGCTGGTCTTGAACTCCTGACCTCATGATCCACCCGCCTCCGCCTCCCAAAGTGCTGGGATTACAGGCGTGAGATTCTTTAGCCTCACAGGCTAGGAGCTGGCAAACCATGACCAGTAGGTCAAATCCAGCCCACCACCCATTTGCAAAAAGTTTTATTTTTTGATTTGTTTTTTAGAGATGATTATTTGTATTTATTTGTTTATTTTTAATTTTTGTAGAGATAGGGTCTCTCTTGACCAGGCTGGTCTTGAATTCCTGGCCTCAAGCAATCCTCCTGCCTTCGGCTCGCAAAATGCTGAGATTATAGGGATGAGCCACCTCACCTGGTTTAAAGATGATTATTGACAATATTTGGAAGGACATCTCTCTAGGCATGTCTATGCATTTCATATTGAGCCAAACAGTTGTAAGCACATACTTTTTACATATCACATGTATGTATTTACTATACGTGCTATTCTGAAACTTGCTTTTTATCACTCCTTACCATGTTCTGAACATATAAAATATTTTGTTGATCCTAAATTTTTAAAAAATTTCAATACCTTTTGGGGTACGAGTGTTTTTTTTTTTTGTTACATGGATGGATTATATCATAAGTACGTTATAATATAATTTGCTCTATTATAACAAAATGGTGATTCTGAGATTTTGGGGTACCCATCACCTGAGTAGTGTACATTGTACCTAATGTGTAGTTTTTTATCCCTGGCCTCCCTCCCCTTCCTGGGTCTCTAAAGTCCATGACATCAGTCTGTATTGCATGGAGTTGTGTTGGAATCTAGCCACACCCTTTCATTTATGTGTTCTCCCGGCCCCTTTTGCAATCCAATTGGGGTTGAGCAGTGGCAACAGAGATCAAATGGCTCTCAAAGCCGAAAAGATTTCCCATCTGGCCCTTTCTAGAAAAAGTTTGCCAACCCCTGTTGTAGGCAATAAAGAAGGACATCTCCCATAATGGAAAGACATGAGGGATTCTCCCAGCCTTCCAAGTTACCTGGGAGCACAAGACAGAGAGAAACAGGACAGGTCATTTCCCACGGAAACAGAGAGAAGGGAAGCTGAAAACAGACCTCCCGGGACTCGCCAGCCGTGCTGTTGGGAGGAAGCCCCCGCCCTGAGGCCAGCGCTGGGGGCTGACTTTGCCTGGACATGCAGGGATGGAGCTGGGAATTATCAGAAGAAGGGCATCAGGGCTGCCAGGGGACACCCTGGCATCAGAGAGTCCTCAGAGTTATGTCTCCTGCAAGAAATTTTACAGATGTGTGGCCCTTTAATCCCAGCCACCTGGGGTTCCTCAGCAAACGGGACTCTTGGGTGCCACCTCCCAGGCAAAGTCAGTCATAAACTATCCCAAAACAAGCTTCTCTTCACCCTACAGTGGACTTCAGGTCTGTGGGCCAGGTCTGTGGGCATCTCTGCGGGTTTTACCCTCTGCCTGGGAAAGGAGGAGATAACCCTGTAGGCAAAGAGAGAGTTGCAGGGGTAGGCCAGCCCTCCTTAGGGAGGTGGGAGACACGTTGCTGAGTCGGTGACCCTCCAAGGCTGGGCCCAGAAACCATGAATAGCACCTTAAGCTGGTGTTAAACTCCAGTCTCATGCTCTCCTACTTGGGTGGTTACAGACCTACTTTAATTTCTTTTTCTTTTAGAAGATTACCTATATATTTATGTAATTAACTCTTATGCATAGCATTATTACTATGTGCCATGCACCATTCTGAATGTTACAAAATCCTTTAGTCCTACCAACAAGCCTATGAGGTAGGTGCTACTAATAGCCTTACTCTGTGGAACAAAGGAAGCACAGAGGGGTTAAACAACTTGCCCAAGATCACCAGAGCTGGTAAGCAGCAGAGCTAAGATTTCAACTCAGGTGTTCTGGCCTCAGAGTCTGTGTTCTCATGCTGCCTACCTGATGCTTTTAAAAAAATAAAAATAGACCGGGTGCAGTGGTTCACACCTGTAATTCCACACTCTGAGAGGCTGAGGCAGGAGGATTGCTTGAGCCCAGGAGTTCAAGACTAGCCTGGGCAACACAGCAAAACCCTGTCTCTATAAGAAATTTAAAAATTAGCCACGTGTAGTGGCACACACCTGTAGTCCTAGCTACTTGGAAGGCTGAGGTGGGAGGATCGCTTAAGCTTCGGAGGCAGAGGCTGCAGTGAGCTGAGATTGCACCATTGTGCTCCAGCCTGGGTAACAGAGTGAGACCCTGTCTCAAATAAATGAACAAAAATACAAATAGTATGTTCACAAGGCAAAAAATAAATCCAATCTCACAAATGTTTAACTGGGATTTTCTTTTTATTGGGCTCGTGAGTTGGCTCCACAATTTCCAGTATCTTGTCTTATCCATTCTTTTGATTTTATCTTCATTTGGCTGAAGAGTATCCTTGAGTAACTTTTTCAGAGATACTCTATGAAAGGAAAAGTTTCTGACCACTTGAATGCCTGGAGATGTTTTAACAGTCAATTCTTATTTGTGGATTCCATATTTGCAAATTCTCCTACTCACTAAAACTTATTTGTAACCTGAAAATCAGTGTCTGCACACTTTTGAGGTCATTCTTGGACATGCAGAGAGAGGTGCAACATCTGAGCTGCCCAACATGAATGTTCCCAGTTGACATTGAACAAGGTGATGCTCTCCCTTCTTGTTTAGCTCTCATACTATAAATAGTCCTTCCTGTGGTCTGTTTACTGCCATGTTGCTCACATTTTTGTTTTTTATTGATGATTCTGCTGTTTAAAATGGCCTCCAATTGTAGTGCTATCTAGTGTTCCTAATCACAAGAAGGCAGTCATATGCCTTATGGAGAAAATATGTGTGTCAGAAAAGCTCTGTGTAAGTATGAATTACAGTGCTGTTGGTCACCAGCTCAGTGTTAAAGAGTCAACAGTATTTATTAAATAAGGTGTCTTCAAACAGAAGCACACATAAAGCAGGGTTATGTGTTGACAGGTTGACATAGGCTCCCGGGAGCCTAACCCTGTGTTTCCTCTAAGAGGAGTGGTTCAGGATTTGGCTATGTTTGTGGCAACTTTATAGAATGTACCTACCATGAGTAGCAAGAATTGGCTGCATTTTGTGCTCATAATTGGTAGCTTTGCTAACTATCAAATTTCACCTTGAAAAGTATTTCCCCTCCAAACTCAGAAGGTGTCATTTCATTGTCTTTTAGCACCCACTATTGCTGATGCCAGCCTAACCCTCATTCTTAGGCAGGAGGCTTGCAATCTCTCTCTGGACATTTTAAAGATCTTTTTATTCCTGGTGTTCTGAAGTTTCATGGAGATCTGCCTAAGGGTGTGTTTCCTCCTTTCTACTGCGAGACCCATCTGAAGACTCATGTCCTTTTTATAGCTCTAGGAATGTTTTTCTATTATTTCTTTGAAATCATCCCTCTTCCCCTCAATTTTCTCTGGCTGTGTCTCTTAGGACTCATGTTAACCACCCCTTGGACCTGCTGGATTGATCGGCTACATCTCTAGTTTTTTCTTTGACCCTTCAAAATCTTTGAGCTGTTTTCTTTTTCCCGCTGGCATATTTCTTTGACTTAAATTTTCGGGGTTTTTTCTGATTTCTTTTGGCAATGACACTTTTACTGCTTAAGAGTTCTTTCTGGCTGGGCACAGTGACTCACGCCTGTAATCCCAGCACTTTGGGAGGCCAAGGCAGGCAGATCACTTGAGGTCAGAAGTTCGAGACCAGCCTGGCCAACATGGCGAAACCCCGTCTCCACTAAAAAAAAACAAAAATTAGCCGGGAGTGGTGGTGGGCACCTGTAATCTCGTCTACTCTGGAGACAGAGGAAGGAAAATCGCTTGAACCTGGGAGGCGGAGGTTTCAGTGAGCCAAGATTGCACCACTACACTCCAGCTTGGGCAACAAAGCAAGACTCTGTCTCAAAAAAAAAAAAAGTTCTTTCTTATTCTTCAATTGGCTTTTATGGCATCTTTTTCTGGTTCAGAATGCGACATTTTCTCAAATCTTTCAGCCTGCTGTTGAGAGTGTTTCCCATCCCCTTCTGCATTCTTTCTGTTTCCTCCATGAGAAATAGTACTGTCTGTTTAGCTTTGTTTTTCACTCCATACGTTTTGCGACCTTATTTGTCTATCGTACCTAAGAATGAGAGGGTAGGCTGGGCACAGTGGCTCATGCCTGTAATCCCAGCACTTTGGGAGGCCGAGGCGGGCAGATCATGAGGTCAGGAGATTGAGACCATCCTGGCTAATACAGTGAAACCCCGTCTCTACTAAAAAATACAACAAATTAGCCAGGCATGGTGGCCGGCGCCTGTAGTCCCAGCTACTTGGGAGGCTGAGGCAGGAGAATGGCGTGAACCTGGGAGGCGGAGGTTGCAGTGAGCCGAGATCATGCCACTGCACTCCAGCCTGGGTGACAGAGTGAGACTCCGTCTCAAAAAAAAAAAAAAAAAAACATTGACAGGGTAGGATGACTTTTCTAGGATCTCATTGGCACAGGTGTAGTTGCACATCTAAATCTGTCTTATGGTTAGGCCTCTTCCATGAGCAGGAAAGCCGATGGGACCTCCACATACAGGAGTGTGGCTGGCCAGCTTCCCATGAGAGCAGTGGACAGGGACCTGAGTGTTTTGACTTGGTGGCCATCAAATGCCACACAGGGGTGGATTTTGTTAGGTGCAATCACCTACCATGGGTTTCACTCAGGCAGTTTCTTCAGTTTTTCTAAAGAAGAATCATCTGCTCTTCTTCCTCATCCTCTCTTTCCTCCTCTTCTTCCTCCTCCTCTTCCTCTTTCCTTTACTTCTGATTCTCAGTTGCAAATGATCTGAACCAAAGGGCTTTGTTCTCTATAACTTTTGAAAGAGTCTGGGATGATTCAGTGGTGGAGTGGAAGTGATGGCATTTTAACATTTGGGCATGCCAGTTACCAGCATCTCCCATGATGATGAAAGTCCAATATGGTCACTTTGGTGGGACACCTCACCATCACAAAGAAAGAAACTCAGGCACCTGACGCACGTGGCAGCAGTGGGGTGCATGGAGTCACCCATGTGATCATAGAAGTGGCAAAGCAGGACTACAGGTGCTCATGGAATATGGCTGTGGTTGGAGAAAGCTACTGTCATTAAGGCCGACCCCAGGAAGAATCACTACAGCAAATGTCTGGCCCTGGAAAAGGTGAGCTGACAGGTGCTATCAAAAAGCACCTTGTTCAGAAAAAAAAATACTAAAAAATCTTGAAATTTCGGACTAGGAGGGACTTAGAGACCATCTAGTCCAACAGTGTCACTCAGAATAAACTGAGCCCAGAGAGGTGAAGCCATCACCTGTGGTATCCGCGTGCCCACCCTCCACCCCCGCTGCCTGCCACCGCCCTCCAGCTCTTTGAGTTGGTGGATGGATGGATTGGTGCTTTCATAGTTTCTTTGTTAGAATTCCACTGCCTAAAGGGTAGCACCTTGAACTGTTTTCAGCCACGGATTGCTGCAAATTACTTAAATTAATGCTTTTCTTTATCTTGCCTCCCCTGCCCTTAAGAGAATGAGACATGAGATAGATATGTTTGTTCAAGAGAAAGGAGGAAGCATGTATGAGACCATTCCATCCAAGTAAAGTCTTTACATGACCTCATCTGTATGCACATTTATAAGGGCATCCCTTACCACAGCCACCTGTGAACTGGAATATTCATCCTACTTCTTAGACTATAGCAGCTTCTTAGACTATACTCAGAGACATGAAGTGATGTGTCTGCCTGAAAGTTGGGGCTACCTGACCCCAAACCCCATCTCTCAACCACTATGTACTCTACCCAAACAGGACACAAGACGGAAAACACAAATACTAAAGGACAAGGATCACCTGATCCTTCTGGATGAAGACTCTCTTACCAAGGTTGATCCCAAGGTCATCTGATACATACGGGGTGGGAGAGTGGGATTTGCAGTAAGACTTGTTTGGTTAGTTGGGTTGTTTAGATACAATGATGTCATGGCATCCTTGAGGTGCAGCAGGTGGACAGGCAGACAGGTGCCTGGTGCATGATGAGGAAGAATCTGTGTGTGATGGGGGTGGGGAGGGGGGTTGTGGAAACAGCCCCAAGGAAAGCTCTAGATTTGAAGGTAAAGAGACAGGAGGCACAGAATTAGATTTCAAACTCACAGAATTAGATTTTTGAGAGGCAGAAGAAATCCAGAACCTGGAGGAAACTGCCTTCTGGAATGCTGCAGTTGGCACTAGAAGCTTCAATGATAGGAAATGAAGCACAGGACCAGGTTGCAAAATGTTGATACTCTTTCAATTGTGATCTTCATATTTTTTATGTAACAACACATTTTAGAAAAGATGTTTTTCAACCTGAATTAGTTATTAACTGTGTGTGAACACTAGTAACAGCAATGTAACTGTTACTAGTAGCCTAAATGAATTAGGTGCTTCTTTGCACATGTGAAAGAAGCTAGGAGGGAGGCAGTGCAGGGCTTGTATGGTAGCTCCATCTAGGATTTAGGTTTCTCAGTTTTTCTGCTTGGCTATCCTTATTAGCTTCTCTCCTCAAGGTGGGCTTGTTGTCCCAAAATGGCTGCTGGCACTCCAGCTAGCACATCTACATTCCAGATATGGAGCCAGCAAAGGGCAAAAGGCTTTATTTGAAGAGTTCTGTTTAGATGTTATTGGTTTCTTTCATATGCAAGAGAGGGAGGGAAATGCAGTCTTTTAGTTTGAGCACATTGCAGCCTATACAGAATCCAGTTGTATTAGTAAGGAAAGAAGAAGATAGATTGAGAAGCTAGCTAGAAGCCCCAGATCAGGCCAGCTGGAGGCGGTGAATGCCATGGATGCTATTCTGCTGGTTTGGGTTGAGTGAACTCTTTGATAATTGATTTAATATATTCTGTATTTTCTTCTTTATTAAGCAGTTGGAACCAAACTAAGACACTCAGGATAACGTTTTTGTAGATTTAACATTTCACTACTGACATAGCAGAAAGCTGTGCAACATTGAATGTTTCATGAAAGAGATTTAGATCCTTCAACAAAAGCCCAGCAAAAATTAAAGGCAATTAAAAAATGTATCTACCCTTGGCAGGGCGCGATGGCTCACGCCTGTAATCCCAGGACTTCGGGAGGCTGAGGCGGGCGGATCATGAGGTCAGGAGATCGAGACCATCCTGGCTAACACAGTGAAACCCTGTCTCTACTAAAAATACAAAAAAAAAAAAAAAAAAAAAAAAAATTAGCTGGGCATGATGGTGCATGCCTGTAGTCCCAGCTACTCAGGAGGCTGAGGCAGGAGAATCGCTTGAATCTGGGAGGCGGAGGTTGCAGTGAGCCGAGATTGCACCACTGCACTCCAGCCTGGGTGACAGAGCAAGACTCCGTCTCAAAAAAAAGTATCTATCCTTGCAGACCTCCATGTTGCCACTAACAAAAACATGTGTTTGAGAGTTTTCTGGGGGAGAGAGTGTCTTTATTTATTCTCCAGATTAGACACCTATAGTAGTCTTTAAAATTTGCTAAGCTTTCTCCTGTCTATCTGAGACCTGGAAATGGAAAATGACTTTTAAGTCTAGTCTGATCACTCAAGTCAAATTGTTAGAAAATTTAATTCCATTCATTCCAACAACTAAATAAAAGAGGTCTGAATATGTCCATCTAAATGAAGTATTAGGATTCTATGTCAGTCATGTTAGAGATTTGTCTCAAACTGGATGAGGCCAAGGGGATGCAGAGAGTCACCCAGAGTCTAAGGCCACAGGTGCTTCCTAGGACAGAAGAGCTGGAAGATGCAGACAAGCTCTCTCTCTCTCTCTCCCCCCGTCTTTTCCTCTCTCCCCATCACTCTCTTCTTCTGCAGATGAACCCTGTCCACCAGGCAAGGCTCTTGGCCCCCAGAAAGACAGAACCAATAAGATGACCAAAGATGGGTAGGAAGGAAAGAAAGAAGAAAGAAAGAAAGAAAGAAAGAGAAAGAGAAAGAGAAAGAGAGAGAAAGAAAGAAAGAGAAAGAAAAGAGAGAGAGAAAGAAGAGAGAAAAAGCTGGGTATGGTGGCTCATGTCTATAATCCCAGCACTTTGGGAGACCGAGGCAGGTGGATCACCTGAGGTCAGGAGTTTGAGACCAGCCTGGCCAACATGGTGAAACCCCGTCACTACTAAAAAACAAACAAAGCAAAACAAAACAAAAAGCAACAACAACAAAAAAAACAACTAGCCGGGCATAGTGGTGCACATCTGTAATCCCAGCTATTCAGGAGGCTGAGGCAGGAGAATTGTTTGAGCCCAGGAGGCAGAGATTGCAGCGAGCTGAGATTGTGCCACTGCTCTCCAGCCTGGGTGATGAGCAAGGCAAAGAAAGAAAGAAGGAAGGAAGGGAGGAAGGAAGGAAAGAAAGAAAAGAAAAGAAAAGGAAAAGAAGACGGGAAGGGAAGGGAAGGGAAGGGTCTCTGTCTGTCTCTATCTATATAGAGAGATTTTAAGGAATTGGTTCACGTGATTATGGGAGCTGGCAAGTCCGAAACCCGCCTGGCAGGCTGGCAGCCTGGAAAGTTCGACAAGAGTTGATGTTGTAGTCGTGACTATGAAGCCTGGAAACTCTGGAAGAATTTCTATGTCGCAGTCAGGAAGCAAAATTTCTTCATTCTGGAGGGCATCAGCCTTTCCTCTTAAGGCCTTCAACTGATTGACGAGGCCAACCCACATTGTGGAGAATAATCTGTTTTACTTGAAGTCTACTGATGTAAATGTTAATCACATCTAAAAACACCTTCACAGAAACATCTGCACTGGTGTTTTGCCAAACGACTGGGTACCATGGCCTGGCCAACTTGATGCATAAAATGAACCATTATGGCACCCATTTCCTCTGCTCTCCTCTGCACCCTCCTCCTCTCCCACTGGGGCATGCCTCGGGCTGGAGAGCTGGGAGGTCATGAGCACGGTCAAGGCTAGCTTCCTAGAGCAGAATGCTGCGGACCTCACCTGCGCAGCCCGGCTCAGTCTAAGTCACAGAGAGCTTCTTGCTGAGCTTCCAGCACTTCCCCAGAGGCATGGAGCCTTCCCTGGGAGGCTCTTGTCAGGGCCCCGGGGGCAGAGGGCTCTCCAGGGCCTGGAGTGTTGTTACCAGGCCTTGTTTTGTGACTTCAGCTCCCAGCCTTGTCCCACCAATGTGAAGGAGTGGAGTGAATGGAGGCTTGCTGGGCACTGGGTCCTTGCTATTGATGGTGACTCACCCCGGCTGGATCTGCAAGCGATGTGGGCTGTGAGGCCTGGTGGGCAGGTGCACCTGGCAGCCAGGAGAGAGAGATTCCAGAGATCCCAGCAGGGAGAGGTGCACAGAAGACCCAGGCAGCCGGGCTTATGCATGGAGGGGAGGAGCGTAATCTTTAGGATGGGCAGGGGTTGGCTGTGGTAACAAATAGCCCCCAGTCTCAGTGGCTCAGTGTGACAAAGTCCGCTGCAGAGTGAGTAGGGGCTCTCCACTCTTCCAGCACATGCCTCTAAGCTTGCCCTCAGGCAGTGGGCAAGGTGGCCAGGGCTGCACAGGGCTTTCCAGGTGGGCCTGGAGTAGCATTTGTCCCTCTAGCTGCAAGGGAGGCCGGGACATGCCACCTTCCAGCGACGGGAAGTCACTGGTGAGAATAGGGCACTGTTTCTGCCATGAGAAAGGGGGAAGGAAAGGGAGACAAAGAGGACAATGAGAAAGAGAGGGTGAGAGGTGAAGGGGAACAGAGATGGGAAAGTCAGAGGAGCAAAGAGGTTTAAAGTAAAGGGGGAAAGACATGCTGCTTCCCCATGAAGGGCAGCCGTCAGTGTCCCTCTCTCCCTGCAGAATGGACACATTCAACGTCCCACTCATAGGCAGGTGACAATGTTGTTAGGTGACGAGGAATCCTGGGATAACATGGAGAGAAGCAGGGAGTAGGGGAGAGAGAGCAGGAGGGAGAGGAAGAGAGAGAAAGAGGGAGGAAGACCAAACAGAAGAGAGGAAAGGAAGAGGGCGAGAGAGAAGGAGAGAAGGAGAAGAGAAGGGGAGAGAGAGAGAGAGGGCCAGGAGAGGGGGGAGCAAGCTCACCTAAGACAGGAGCAACAGGACCACCGTTCTGGCCTTGGGCCCAGAGACCAAGTTGTATTTCATGCTGTCTAGGAAATTTCAATGTTTTTCAATGTATTTCAACGTAATTCAATATATTTTAATGTATTTCAATGTTGTCCAGGAAATAAGTTATCTGTCTTTAAAATCATCCCCTTTTTCCTCCTTTTCTCCTTTTCCAAATGTTAAGCATTTCCCATCCCACTGTCTAACAGCAGCTGAGCAGTAACGGTTTGCTCACCTGCTTTAATTCCCTGCAGATGAGCGGAATCTTCCTCGCAGCTCAGATGTGTAAGGAGGCACCCTGGGATGACAGTGGCCCCCCAGTTCTACTGTCTGACCTTGAATCCTTCAGGGCAGATGGGAGAACTTGTGAATTATGTGTCTGTTTGGTGCCTGACACGGAGCCAGGAATGGAGGAGAGCTTCACGAATTCTGAAGTGTGTACACGTGCATTCTCCTCCCACCCCCTTTTTTTGCTGTTGGTGACTCACCCCGGCTGGATCTGTAGTGATGCGGGCTGTGAGGCCTGGTGGGCAGGTGCACCTGACAGCCAGGAGAGAGAGATTCCAGAGATCCCAGTTGGGAGACGTGCACAGAAGACCCGGGCAGCCGGGCTTATGCTAAATAAAATTAGTTCACATTCAAGGCCTCCCTTATTCTGCAGAGGACGTGGCCCAGGTGTGCAGGTGGATTTGGAGGGAGAAGTGAGGGAAGCAGCCCACCGACAGTGAGAAGTGAGGGGTAGGGGCCGGGGTCTGGGGGCTGGCAGGGGAGCCAGGTGGGCGATGGGCCTCAGCCAGTGCAGAGGGGTGTGACCCGCCGAGGCCCCTCTGCCTTCATTTAGACTTTCTAAGGCCAGGCCACCTGCCATACGACCTGGGGTTTGAGCCTGCGTCTGGCTACCCCAAAGGACAAGCAACCAAGGGCTGGAGATAGGAGTGGAAGCAGCAGCCCGGCTCCCCGTTTCTGCTGCTGGGAAGTGGATGGAGCTCTCAGGTGCTTGCACCTTCCCGTAGGCAAGCTCTCCTGAGGAGGAACTCCACACAAAGCAGGACTAGCCGGCAGGCTGGAAGAGAAACCCTTGGATCCACCTCTTGGGTGGCTCTCAACCTGAAGTCAGGACTTGGTGACTCCTCTCGCTTAAAAGGATAATTTTTTTAAGAAGGAGATCATTTTCTTTGCAGGGAAATGGATGGAGCTGGACGCCGTTATCCTTAGCAAACTAACACAGGAACGGAAAACCAAATACCGCATGTTCTCATTTATAAGTGGGATCTAAATGATGAGAACTCAGGAGCACAGAGAAGGGAACAACACACACTGGGGCTGACTTGAGGGGGAGGGTGGGAGGAGGGAGAGGAGCAGAAAAGATAATTACTGGGTACGGGGCTTAATACCTGGGTGGTGAAATAATCTGTGCAATAAACCCGTGATGCTAATTTAACTATATAACCAGCCTGCACACGTACTCCCGAAACTAAAATAAAAGTTAAAAATAAATAAATTAACAGGGCTGGGTACGGTGGCTCAAGCCTATAATCTCAGCACTTTGGGAGGCCGAGGCAGGTGGATCTACTTGAGGTCAGAAGTTCGAGACCAACCTAGCCAACATAGGAAAACCTTGTCTCTACTAAAAATACAAAAATTAGCCAGGCATGGTGGCGGGGGCCTGTAATCCCAGCTACTTGGGAGGCTGAGGCAGGGGAATTGCTTGAACCCGGGAGGCGGAGGTTGCAGTGAGCTGAGATCATGTCTGCACTCCAGCCTGGGCAACAGAGCAAGACTCTGTCTCACATAAATAAATAAATAAGCACCAAAAAAATCTTTTTTTAAATATTGAAATCATGCTCGATGCAAGAGAAGCTGCCAAGATAATCAAAGAGCTCCTGTGTATCTTTTCCTCAGTTTACCCTGATGGCTCCATCTTCTGTAACAGTGGTCCAGTAGCAAAATGAGAAACTTGGCATTGGCACAATGTGTATGCAATCGTTCTAAGTCTTTTTATCACATGTTAAAATTCATGTAACCGCCACTATGATCAAGACACAGAACTGTTCTAGGGGTGACCCCTTTCATAACAAATCTTTTATAACAGCCTTTTTACCATCCTGAAACAAAAACCACAGACGATAGTGCAGATTCCTGTTACATATACCTATCACGACACAGAATCTGAAATGAGAGACATGCATTAAGTACACATAATATATTAAGTGCAATATGAAGGAAATACAAGGAAAGTGGAGGGTTGTAATAAAGTAAAATATATTCAATGCCTAATGTGCTTGAGCACTCACTCTATCTACACTAGAAGACACAATGAAGCCATCAGAAAGAGGCAATTGAAGGAATCCACAGCCACAAAGAGGGGCTGATGCAGGTGTAATATACCGAGGCCTCAAAACCACAGATGCAATTTGTCATGAGACTAAAACAAAGTACAGTAGTTGCATTCCTGGAAATACAGCACAAAATCCACTTTATGTTCCTATGGAGTGAGTTTCCAGGCTCAGACGGTCCTAAGCGGGTTTGTCATTTACCTGAATGGTGTGTGGGGTAAAGGACAACTCTCTACAGAGAGGACAATTCTGGCAGGTCCTGGAGCACCCCTGGCTCCTGTCCCCTCAAGGCCAGGAAGTCCCCCACTGTAATCCTGCCAATCACAAAGGCTTCCTCGAATTTCCAAAATAGCCCCTAGGGGGCAGTCCTGACCCTGCTGAGAACCGCCGGCCTATTGGATACTGAGGCCATGTGCCCGGCAGTGTGCCAGGCTGGGGAGGGAGGAGGGAGGGTCGGGGAGCACAGATGAAACACACATGGTGTCCAGCCCTGTGAAACGTGCCCTCTCATTAGATTCAGGTCACTAGATATAGCAAATGAAAATATTGCACGGGACATGTTTATACTCAATATTATTTGTTGTTTATCTGAAATTTAAATTTAACTGGGTGTCTTGTGTTTCGTCTGGCAGCCCTACTGATAACACAAAGGCCATGGAGACAGGATGGCTGGTGCTGTCCTTGGGGACCAAGGGGACTCGGAGGAGGGGTCTGTAGAAGGAGACGTGGAGACTGTTTCTGGCATGGGAGTGGCCTCTGCCTTTTGCAGGGTTTTACACACTCAGTAGCTCCTGAATGCCCACGCTGATTCAGGAGGTGACATTATTATCCCTAGCTTGCCAGTGAGGCAATTGAGGTGTCAAGAGGCCACATGACTCCCCCAAGACGCATCTCACAGGGGCAGGAGGCAGGTGCCGATAGAACTCTCCCCGTGATGGTCAGTGGAGCCTCCACACTGGGGTGGCAGGGTGTGCTGGGAAAAGCAGTGGCGGGAGGGCAGGCACGGAAAAGCAGTGGCGGGAACCTCTGCCATCTCCGGACAAGGCATCCTCGCAGGAACAACTGAGGTCAGAGGGCTTGGTTTAGGATGTGGGGATGGTCAGCAAATGCAGGCTTAGAAAGTGGTGAAGGTCTGTGTGGCTGCAGAAGCCAGAAACTATCAGGAACGTGGAAAGAAACCTGTTTTATGATTTTTGGGTTTTTCGTTTTGTTTTGTTTTTAGACAGGAGTCTAGCTCTGTTGCCCAGGCTGGAATGCAATGGCTTGATCTCGGCTCACTGCAACCTCTGCCTCCTGGGTTCAGGCGATTCTCCTGCCTCAGCTTCCCGAGTAACTGGGATTACAGGCATGCACCACCACGCCTGGCTAATTTTTGTATTTTTAGTAGAGATGGGGTTTCGCCATGTTGGCCAGGCTGGTCTCAAACTCCTGACCTCAGGTGATTCACCCGCCTCAGCCTCCCAAAGTGCTGGGATTACAGGCATGAGCCATTGCGCCCTGCCAATAAACCTGTTTTAAATCGCAGCACTTTGGGAGGCCGAGGGGGGCAGATCACCTGAGGTCGGGAGTTTGAGACCAGCCTGACCAACATGGAGAAACCCGTCTCTACTAAAAATACAAAATTAGTTGGGCGTGGTGGCACATGCCTGTAATCCCAGCTACTTGGGAGACTGAGACGGGAGAATCACTGGAACCCAGGAGGCAGAGGTTGCAGTGAGCCGAGATCACGCCACTGCTCTCCAGCCTGGGTGACAAGAGCGAAACTCCATCTCAAAAAAAAAAAAAAAAAAAAAAAAAAAAGAGCTGCTTTGCACCAAGGAGCCCGGCCCACCAGGAAGAGAAGGGGATAAGACGCGTGCCCTTGTTCTTAAGAAACATGTGCTGGCCTCCCCTCAGCAGATGCCTCCAGATAAGCCCAGCACCCACAGTCCTGCACACTTGCCTTCCCGGCCCTTCACCACCCACAGGGATGGGAGCAAGGCAAAGACATCATCAGAAGATGCTGTGATAATGAGCCCGACCGTGAGGACCAATGGAGAAGCCCCTGGACCTGGTGAAAGGTTGCCTCCCTCAGGGCTCTTGTCTTCTGCGTTTATAGCTGATTTCTCCCAGACAGGGGTACTCTTCCAGCCATGGGGTGGCAGGGGGCATGGGTCCCCCAGGCACGGAGTAGAAGCCCAAGCTCACGCTCTGAGACACAGGAAGAGCCCAGAGAAGATGCTGGAATCCACCAGCCTGGTTTTAGCTCAGGCGTGTTCTTATTTGTACAGGGCTTACCTGGACTGGCTTTCACTGAAACTCAGATTTAATATCTTTGGGAGATGAGTCCACAATGAGTCATGGAATATTCTTTCAACTAGCAGTAGGAGAGACACTGGCCTAGGAACCAGTGTTTGGTAACTGTTTCCATGCCTATGGGAGCCGAAAGCTGAGTTCTCCCGCTAAGAGCAGGGTGGGACACTCAGGAGACCGTGTTCTGTTCGGTGGGGACCTCGCAGCTTCAGAGTGGGGTGGAGAGCTCAGGAGGAGGTTATCTTCAAATCGCTGGGGAGAGTCAGTAAAAAGTCCTAAAAGGAAAGCTTAGCTGGATCACTTTTCCTTGCTGTCTTGGGAAAATTTAAAAGAGAAGCCAAACCAAATTCATGAAAAGTCTGGGTGCGGAAAGAGATGCAATTGACTTGGGTTAAAAAAAAAGTCAATTTTTCTGATTATAAAAGCATTAAAAATATATGGGACAGGACTACAGCATTAAGCTTGTTGAAGAAGATTTAGAAGAAATATGGAAGAGTAAATCACCATAATCTTGCTACCTAGAACAACTTTTCTGAAAAATGGAAACAAGCTCTCACTATGTTATCCAGGCTGGACTCAAAATCCTGGGCTTAAGCAATCCTCCTGCCTCAGCCTCCTGAGTAGCTGGGACTACAGGAACATGCCACTGCAACTGGCTAGAATAACTTTATTTTTAATTAAGAATAAGTTAAAATAACCACTAACTAAACATTGCCAGTTCAGTTGACCCTCTCTTAGTATATAGATCAGAATGGTTTGTTATTAATATATACATGGTTTATATACAAACAGAGAGAAAGCTGGTCTCTAAAGTTTCTTGAGGACGTTGATGTCTCCTTTCTAGTTTGGCTTACCTATGAATTTCCTTGTTAAACCCTTTTTAAAAATAAATGATATTATGGTAAACTTTATTTTGGTTATTGTTAAGGTAATGCAAAAGTAAGCTGAATGCAATGCACCTATGTCCCAGTTATTCGGGAGGCTGAGGCAGGAGGATCGCCGGAGGCCAGGAGTTCAAGACCAGCCTGAGCAACACAGTAGGACTGCCCCCCCATCTCTCTTTTTTTTTTCCTTTTAAAGTAATGAGGCTTTGGTATATGGCCTATACTGCTAATATAGTTGCAATATTTCAAATAAGGTGCTTATAAGGTGCAGTATTTCCAGAAGAGATCCAAAGTTGCACATAATTGTTGGGGGGAAGGTCTAGGGGAAGAGAAAGAACCCAACTAATAGTCATTCTCCAGCTCGGTCATCTGTTAACCAACAGAGAGAACATTTAAACTTTTGAACTTCAGCTTCCCTTTCTGTAACATGGAAGGGTGGGACACAGCAGTGGTTCTCACCCAGGGAGTCCATTAGAATTGCACTGGAGAGCTTTTGAAAATATGCATGATGGCCAGGCATGGTGGCTCACGCCTGTAATCCCAGCACTTTGGGAAGCCGAGGCAGGTGGATCACCTGAGATCAGGAGTTCGAGACCAGCCTGGCCAACATGGTGAAACCCTGTCTCTACTAAAAATACAAAAAATTAGCGGGACATGGTGGCGCACCTGTCATCCCAGCTACTCGAGAGGCTAAGGCAGGAGAAACGATTGAACCCAGGAGGTGGAGGTTGCAGTGAGCCAAGATCACACCACTGCACTCCAGCCTGGGCAACAAGAGCGAAACTGCGAGAAAAAAAAGAAAAAGAAAGAGAGAGAAAGAGAGAGGGAGGGAGGAAGGAAGGAAGGAAGGAAGGAAGGAAGGAAGGAAGGAAGGAAGGAAGGAAGGAAAAGAAAATATGCACATGTGGTCGCCTCTGGGGCATTTTGTCCCAATGGGCCTCCCGCAATTGAGGTAGGGAAAGGAAGATCTTTGTTACTTTGAAAACGCTCCCCAGACCATGGTAGGTTGAAGGAGACTTGCCCCAGCTTGAGCCAATTGTAAAATTTGCCGGAATTTTGTGAGCTGGTAGCTAAAAGAGTCACTATTTAAAAATTTAAAATCATAAGCTTACAATTAAATAAATTATATTACCACAAAAGTAATAAATACTCAAAACTCATCACTTCCTAGTTGTTTTAATACATTCAACTTCCTAATTGTTTTAGCATTTTTTACTTCCTGATTGTGTTAGTACATTTTACTGGTACCTATGCTCTAGAAGTTGTTTGCACCTATTGTATCTGGAGGGTGGAAATACTATACAATGGTGTGGTGTTTCACATCTCTGCCAATGCTGGCAGCTTGAAATCAGCTACTGTGGGAGTATTTACACCACAGAAATGGGCAGATGCTAGGAATCAGGAGATTTTTCCCTTCTGGTGATCCAGTTTGTGGTTAAACATTCCTCAACATGTTACTGTCCCCGATGTGATGTAGGCTTAATTCAGAAGTGTGATCCTGGGCTCCTTTTAAATAACTTTGATCTGAAGATGAGGCTTCTATGCTTTCACTTGCTGAGATGCTAGCGCCTCCTGGTGTGACTGGTTTTGTGGCTGCAAAGTCTCTTTCTCCAGTTTCTTTTAAAGGAGAGCCATGTTTGCTCTGTTCTTCCTGGCACTGAAGTAGCAGGTGTGTTTGTGCAGGTCTTTAAGGTACCCTTAAAGTAAACAGCCTTGATAAAATCTTTTTTTCCTCTTTTCTTCATTCTTCTGTTACTTGTATTGATCCAGGTCTTTCTACAGGCACAGAGTATGCTGGCTGTGTTTGTACATTTTTGCAAATAGATAATCGTGGAAGTCTATTCTATAGAAACAGCCTTTATGACTATGAACTGTAACCAAGGGGGTGGCAAGCAACTTCCTCTCCTTTGAGATTTTGGTGTATGGAAGGTTTCCACTTAAACTCCTTTCTACAGCGTGGCCTTCTCTTTTGTTGCTGTATTTGGAATGCATACCAGCTGTCACAGGGCAATAATCCCGGAGATGAAATCAATTCTCTTAATGGCCTTTTATGGAAAGTTCAAGCTTGCCTTGGGTTGGTATATTTTTAGCTTCAGGTATATTTTTTGGCGTATTAAGGGAATAAGGCTCCCATGCATGGATTGTGTGTGAACTGTTGAGAAGTTAATTGGTGTTCAAAGTGAGCCCTGTGTGTTGCCAAGGTATTGGGGGTGTCTGGTAAATGGCACACTCTTCCTGCCCAAATTCTGAACCAAATGAAAGGTGAAAAAAGGCATGAGGCCAATGGAGTCGCAAAGACCGTTTTTGTTGTTGTTGTTGTTTTTGAGATGGAGTCTGGCTCTGTCGCCCAGGCTGGAGTGCAGTGGTGTGATCCTGGCTCACTGCAACCTCCGCCTCCCGAATTCAAGCAATTCTCCTGCCTCAGCCTCCTGAGTAGCTGGGATTACAAGTGCCCACCACCATACCTGGCTAATTTTTGTATTTTTAGTAGAAACGGGATTTCACCATGTTGGCCAGGCTGGTCTTGAACTCCTGACCTCAGGAGATCCATCCGCCTTGGCCTCCCAAAGTGCTGGGATTACAGATGTGAACCACTGTGCCTGGCCCAAAGACTGCCTTTATTCCAGCCCAAAGACTACGTTTATAACTGACAGTCTAGGTTGGAGAATGTGGCTTATATCTTTGGGCAAATAAGCTCCCTAATACAGAAGTCCAATTTTGGCGTGGGGGGTGGGTGGGGTGGGCGTGGGGGGTGGGTGGGGTGGGCGTGGGGGGTGGGTGGGGTGGGTGTGGCGGAACTGGACAGACCCCTACTCCACCCCACAGGGATGAGCCCATCCTTGGAGGAGCCCAGCCCTGGAAGTGCCAGTCACTCCTGAGAGTAAATCGAGATGCAGGACCTCTTACTGCCCATGACCCAGGTCTCCTTTCAAACCTACCAATCAGGATGCTAGACGTGCATGATGGGCAGAGCAAGCCAGGGGTTATGCTAATGAGCTCCCTCCCCTGGATGGGATCCTGTGGGTTTCCTTCTTCCCATGGGCACCCCCAACCTGGCCTGGCCAACAGACACTGCAAACAGGCGCCCTTACCTGCAGCAGCTCAGGAAAACTCCTCTATTTGAAAGCTGAGCTCTGTCTGTATTAGACTAAGTTTATGGAATGGAAAAGGGTAGATGGTCATTTCAGAGTGACTTTGGGGGGAAAAAACTCAGGATATTGTAATTAAAGTTGGTTATACCAAGAAAGTCAAAAGTTCTGGCCTTCATTACCCTTAAGTGATGACGCTTGTGTGAATTGCATCCCCCCCACCTCAAAATTCATGCCCACCTGGGACCTCAGAATGTGACTTCATTTGGAAATAGGGTATTTCTTTATGGATGTAGTCAGGTTAAGATAATGTCATACTGGGTTAGAGGGGGCCCTAAATCCAGTATGACTGTATCCTTATAACAAGAGGAAAATTTGGACATGGAGACACAGACATGGAGGATACCGTGTGATGATGAAGGCAGAGATTAGAATTATGTTGCCATGAGCCAAGGAACAGCAAGGATTCCCAACAAACACCAGGAGCTGGAAGAGGCAGGAAAGGCTTATTTCCTAGAGACTTCAGAATGGTCCAGCAGTTGGCCACCCATGTGGACCCCTTGAGGAAGGAAGAGGGAGATTTTCTTTGGGAGGAGAGATGATGGAGGAATGGGCAAAATCCAGGTGGCACTGGGGATGTTGCTGGATTGTGTGGGTGATGGCAGAGGTGGGATATCTTATGGTTCCATCTCTACTGAGGCTCTGAGCCTCCTGGACACTTGCAGCCCTCCCAGCCCATCACCTGCATCCTTCATTTTGCAGTGAAAGTACCAGAATCCACATGGTTGCTGTGGAGGGTCATCAGGCAGGCCCCCAAAGGTTATTCGGGGCCCAGGAAGCCACTCTGTCTCCACACTCAAGTCCAGCACCCCTCCCCTCCACTCTCTTCCCAAGCTTAGTCTTTAGCAGGAAGGAAAAATGGATGAGACTCAGTTTAACCACACATTACAGAAGGGCTGGGAAAGGGTTGTGGGGGAATGGGGCAGGTTTTTTATGATAGTCATTCTAGGGTGCTCTTGCATCCTTCCAGATGCTTCTGTATAGCCAACAGCTCATTCGAGGCCTTGGACAGGTGCTCTGCCATTGCTCTTAGCATTGTGGAGGGCTGGGGACAGGAAGCCTGAGTTGCAGGTCTTGCTGTGTCATTGCCAGTTTTCATACTGAAGGTAACAGAATGCACTGTCAAGAGAAGTTTCTGTTCTTGGAGATTTGAGACCATTTCCTGACAGCTGGTTTGTTGGAGATAGAACTTGTGTCAAATAGGGTCTGAGGCAAGGTGGTCCACGTTGGGTGAACAATCGGTGGAAGTCAACTGTACACATGTGGGCGCAGGCGCTGCCTCATGGAACGAGTCCTTGTGCAGGGGCCAGGCAGACATTAGCAGACTGAATTTGACCTTGGGCATTCGAATTCTCTGTCCCCAGTCCCAGGCTTATTCTCTCTCTACCTTATTTTTTCTGCTCAGAAAATCTATGTCAGCCTTTGATATCTGTTCTCCATCCTTTCCTGACCACTGAGATCCAAGCCATTTATTAAGTTTCCCCTAAAATGCCTGATTGTATTGCTGAAAAATTGCCATGGCTGTTCTCAAGCACAATCTATTTCCTCTGCGAACTCTTGCCTCTTTTGGTTAAAAAGGAAACGTTGCATTTTTCTATCTAATCCTGTCGTGAGACTTTTTTCATTCATTCAATGTGTGCATTCAAATAACACCTCTCGGCTTTCCCATTTCTCACTACTAATCTTTACTTCTCTTTTCTGAGATTTACAACTTACACATGTGCCTGTCCCTCTCTTTCAGTGGATAGCATGCCTCGCTCTCCACCCTATCCCTTTCCTCTGCATCCTCCTGCAGTAGTGAGTCCTGGGGGGACCCCACAAATACCCAAAGCGGTTCTCCTTGCTCTCCTTCCCTTGGCCCGGTACATTCCATTTTCTTTTTCTTTCTATTGTCTTTTGAGTCAGGTTCTCACTCTATCACCTAGGCTGAAGAGTGTAGTGGTGTTATCATACTCATTGCAGCCTCGACCTCCCAGGCTGAAGTGATCCTCCCACTTCAGCCTCTAAGTAGGTGGGAGTACAGACATGAGCCACCATGCCCGGCTAATTTTTGTATTTTTTGTAGAGACAGGGTCTTGCCATGTTGCCCAGGCTGATCTCCAATTCCTTGTCTCAAGCAATCCACCCACCAAAGTGCTGAGATTATAGGTGTGACACACCGCACCCAGTCACATTCCATTTTTACAATCAAAATGTGTCTCCTTCTAAAATGTCTTTACTCAAAGATGATGTTCATTTTTCCATTCACAACTTCTAGCATCCATGGAAAACAAAACAGATCCTAACCTTCATGAGATAAAAACCACCAGCTTTCGCTTGGCCTCTAATCAAGTACTTATTTGCAACAACAAACACACAAAATAGAAAGGATCTTTGTAGAAAGTCTTTTTTAAAGTACTAGGAAGATCAGCAGTTTCACCATCATAGCTCTCACGGCATCTGCAATACATGTTCACTCTTTTAAGACCATTCAATTCTGCTGGAGAAAATAAGAGAAATGAATGACAAAGATAGATGGGACCATATGTGCTCTGCTCAAGAAATGCAAACAAAGCCCACAGCCACTCCGCAGGTCAGCTGGCGAGCCCCAGATACTGGCCAGGTGATCGTGCTCTTGTGTTTCTTTGGTAGGACAAGGATGTGCAGTTTCTGGGCAGCTTCCATCTGCTAAGCCTCCTTGTTTGACTATTTGACTGGTCCTGGTAACCACACTGTTAGCAGGGGAGACTGATGGGCAGACAGAGACGGATTGTGAACATTGCATAGCCCAGGACCCAGGGCTGTGGTCCTTCCACCCTGAAGGCACCAGATCCTGCAGTGTCAACCAACTGCAGATCTCTCCCTTTGTTTCTTGCTGTGTGTTTGGAACTGATGTACTAAATGATGGGATTCAAGCAACTGAACGTGGTTCGTCAGCCCTACTGTTCTGTGACAGCCTGTCTGGGGGGTGCTTGTAGGCTGGCCCAGCATCAGCGACAGGATCTTTCATCTGGAGCCTACAGACCTTAGACTCATGCTCCCCAGCTGTTCTGTAGATTCTTTTGGAAGATGCATTAGTCAGGATTCACTGGAGAAACAGAACCAATAGAGTGTGTGAATACCGATGCTATGAACATGTGTGTACACATGTCTTTTTGAGTCCCGGCTTTCAACATTGGGGGGGTATACACCTAGAAGTGGAATTGCTGGATTATATGGTAACTCTGCGTTTAATTTTTTGAGGACCCTCAACCATTTTCTATAGTAGCTGCATCGTTTTACATTTCCACCAGCAATGCACAAGGGCTCCAGTTTCCCCACATTCTCACCAGCATTACTTTCTGTTCTTTTGATAACAGCCATCCAGATAGATGTGAGGTGTGCTGTTATTTTTAGTGCCTTATGGCTTCTCCTGCCCCACACCAGCAGCTCTCACCAACTGCCCATCTCTGCACTTCCTCTGAGAGAGCAGGAATTTGATTGGCCAAATGCATCTTATGCCAGGCCATAGGTCACTGTCATTGGCCAACCCATAGGTGGACAGCTCCTGGGTCAGTTGATGATCAGCTAAGACCAGAAAGAGGTGAGTCACTTGTAGAAGCATGATGTGGTTATCTGCAGATGACCTCTCAAAATTATCTTCCCTTAGGATAGGCCGTGGGAGCAAACCACCAAAAAAATGTCCAACACAAGAGGGGAAAGATGCTGTGGAGCTAAGCTGTGTCTCCCCTAAAATGTAATACAGGAAGCTTGCCCTTGGCACACGCCATCACTTATCTGGAAGCTTCTCTCTTGCCCTTTGTCCATGGGGTCTTCGACAGGCCGTGCTCATGTAATTCTCTCCTTCACAGGCACTCAACTGTGGTGCTGCGTTTTAATGGGAAACTCTCCATAATAAAAACCCCTTTAATGTCCAAAGAAACAGAGCCATTCTAGGGGAAAGATTGGTGGAGAGATTGATAGCCACCCTGTCTGGTGGCTACTCCATCATTTAATAAGGCTGGAGAGAAATTGCATCAATACTTCATTCTCCTCCACTTTGTATCATTGGTCAATGCTTGAGACGGGATGTCAGAGACATCTTTTGAAACTTACCATTGTTTCTGCTATAAGAGAAACATTGAAGATATCACTGCCTCACAAAATTTTTTTTTTTTAAATGAGAATGCTTGTGGAAACCTGTCTGGGCTGAGTGCTAGCTATTAGGTAGTTCTGTTTTTCATGAGTTTATGGAGATGAACTTGTGTATCTGTCTAGGTTTCCCTTTGGGTGTTGGCTGTGGAAAGCGTAGAGCAAATAGATTTCCCACAATTTGGGACTGAATTGCATCTCCTCTGTAAAATCCATCTGTTGAAGCCCTAACCCCCAGTGTCACAGAATGTGACTGTATTTGGAGACGGGCACTTTAAATAGGGAATTAAGTTAAATGGGGTCATTAGAGTCTTAATCCTATATGACAGGTGTCCTTATAAGAAGAGGAGATTAGGGCAAAGACACACACATAGAGATGACCATATGAAGACAGGAAGAAGACAGCTGTCTACAAGCCAGGGAGAGAGGCCTCGGAAGAACCAATTCTGCTTATACTTTGGTCTTGGACTTCCAGCCTCCAGAACGCTAAAACAACAAATGTCTATTGTTGAAGCCACCCAGTTGGTGGTACTTTGTTATGATAGTCCTAGCAAGGTAATATACCTGCCTGCAGCCACCATATACATATTTGTTTGCTTTTGTTTTTTGCCCCATGCTTAGTTTCATTTGATGTCTCCCACACTTGCATTTATTTCCTGTACACCTATTTTTTGCAGTTACTTGATTGTATTTTAGTATCCTTTTATACTTCCTGGATTCAGGTACAATAAAAATAAAAATTTTTAATTCTTAAAGTGATTTCTCCTGGGCACCTCTAGTGTATAAGACTGTTATGGGCACCAGGAGATGCAGCTTAGAAGACCAGCACATGCCTAGCAGAGTGCCTGGCGTTAAAGGTCTCAATAAGTGTTGGCCATTATGACCAGCTCTTAGTTACTATACCAGTTAGCATTTGCTACAAAAGCCAAAGACCTCCAAACTGAATGACTTAAAATAATAAACATCTATTGCATCTCATGATTCTGTGAGCTAGGTAATCAATTCGGGTCTAAGTCAGCTCTGTTAGGGCTGGGTGGTCTAGGATGGCCTCTCTTTAATGTCTGGAACTCAGGTGGAAGTCTGGATGGTTGGAGCCTCTCTCCACATGGTCTCTCATCCCCCAGGAAGCTAGCTTTCACTTGTTCCATGGTGTGTAAAGGATTCTTAGCTGCAGGAGAAGGCAAGCCCCAGTGCCTGCACCATTCAGATCCCTGCTTGTGTCACATTTTCTAATGTCTCATTGGCCAAAGTAAGTCATATGGTCAAGCCCAGATCAGATGGAGCATTAGCCCTGCCTTCTGATGGGAGGTCTGCCATGTCACATTGCAAGGGCATGGATGCAGGAAACAGGGGGCATTGGGGGCATTTATAATCAGTGAGTGAAGAGTGCTGTGCTAGGTACTTAACACCTCTTCTACTACTTGATTCTGCCAGTATTCCTAACCGCAATTTAATAATCAAAACAAAAACTCAGAGAGCATGTGGTGCTCATCCAAGACTACACAAGTAGTAAGTAACAGAGCTGAGACTCAAACCCTGGCTCAATAAAAACAGCAACAACAAATAACCCCAGCCCGCCCATCTCCAAGTCTGGTTTGCTTCCTGGTTCACCATGCTGAATTGCCCTGGTGCTTAGGACAGAGGCTGAGACACCAGAAGCCCCAGTACATATGATATTGTTGATTAAACTTGAATCAGAAGATAGACTTTGCCAGGGAAGAACAAACAATGAACAAGGGTGAGCACGGGGTGCTTTAGGTCCAGCTCTAGAATAATGTGGGCTCCTCCAGTGAGCAAGACAGCTAACCTGTCCATTCCCCAGGCCCCTGTGGGGAAATGGAGGCGGACAAGCTTAGAAAAATTACAGGGGCAGAAAACACACAGAGGGAAGACATTTCTTTTTCCTTCACCTTTCCTACACAACAAAACAGTTTCAGTCCTCCTCTTCAAGTTCCACTATCTCACTTTCTTTTTAAAGAATATTCTTGTCTTTCCTTGGACTTCCCCTTTGCTTAATAAGTCATTTCCTGTGTGTCTCTCTTTCTTTTTTTTCTTTTCTTTTTTTTTTTTAAGGCAAAGTCTCCCTCTGTCGCCAGGCTGGAGTGCAGTGGCATGATCTCGGCTCACTGGAACCTCCATCTCCCAGGCTCAATCAATTCTCCACCCTCAGCCTCTCTAGTAGCTGGGATTACAGGCGTGCACCACCACGCCCAGCTAATTTTTTGTATTTTCAGTAGGGATGGGGTTCGTCATGTTGGCCAGGCTGGTCTTGAACTCCTGACCTCAAGTGATCTGCCCGCCTCGGCCTCCCAAAGTGCAGGGATTACAGGCGTGAGCCACCACACCCACCATCTGTGTATATCTCTCTTGGCCGCCTGGGTGGATTCACCCATCATTCACCACTTCCCTGTTCTTTTCTGTCCAACTGGGGCGTGCAACTGGGGCCTCCACACTGACCCTCCTGCCATGCATGTCTCTTCCATGGGCCCCTCTTCAAGCCCTTGCTTTCCCTCTAGAGATTTTCCTGTCTCCTAATGCCACTCTCAGTCCGGGCTTTCTTCTGAATTTGAACACCAAGAGGCACCAGCAGTCGCCAGCAACAATGAGGCCTAAGAAAACCGGTCATTTGAGCTGGGCTAGACGTCAGTGAAACCATCTTGGTATTTGATTGGCCTTTTGTTGAGAGAATAGGGACTCTGTGAGTGGAGACCGAGAGAGACACTGGTCCCTTTTCAGAGTGGACAGAGTAGGAATGGCACGTACTGAGAGGGCAGTGTTGATAGCTGAAACTAGGTGTGCCACAGGCCTGGGATCTGGGGAAGGCCTGAGAGATATCTGATGCAGGCGCGGGCTGGGCACCCGCCGGGAGTCCAGGAAGGACGAGCACCCTGAGGCCCAGCTAAAGCAGGGGGTCTGATTGGTGGGGAGGGCAAGCTGGGAAAAGCTGAGAGAGGCAGGCAGCCCAGCCAGGCAGAAGTCACGAGCCAGGCACCTGCCAAGAGAGGGAGTAAGATGTTCAAGAGGAGCTCCGGAAGAACTTTCAGATATAGCACTGGACTTGGCTGAGGACACAGCAGCACGGTGAGTGGCACTCACAACTTGTAAATTACATCTCGGCTTAGTTTTATTTCAAGGCTTGAGTTTCTGCCAACCATGGAAGGTTAAATAATTAGAGCAGGCAGGTGAGTTAGGTGTAGGGTGGGCAAGGAGTTCAAGGAAAGAAAGAAAGATGGAAGTAAGGAAAGAGAGAGAAACTTCTATGTGTTGTAATGAGTAGATTGGGTGTCAATGATTAGTTCACCAGCTTGTTTTAAGTGACCCTGACTGCCTAGAATCTAGGCAGGTTTATATATCTGGGCTTGAGAGAATGTCAGCAAAACATACTTCTATTCTTACCTCACTTTGTTAAGAGGGGATGGTTGGTTGGTTTTTAATTACTGAGTACATGGAAATGGGATAATTTTGGGTTACACAGACTTTGCCTTCAAGTAGATTAATAGCAAGATCGATTTCCAAAGAAAAGATAAAATTCAATGCGTTTCTGGATGGTGCGAGGGTCTTCGGGAGTCACTGCAGAAATGTCGTTACAGTCTCCATTAACAAACTCTAAAGAGGTCGTATACAGGGTCTATGAGCTCATCTCCCTGGAAGGCGGGTGATGCTCTTATTTATGCCCCAAAAGCAAGAAGGCTTCTTCCTCTAGGTAGTTCAGTGAAACCAGGTATAAATCCAGAGGAATGACATCAACAGCTGCAATGTAATAAAATTCAACACCATAAGCTTCTATGAAATCAGAACTACATTTGTGAGTGCCTACTTATGCTGATAAACATTGTCCATGTTTCATGCGAGCACTGTACCTATTGCCAAGACTGTCTTCATTATCAGACACAGTGCACAGCAGTGGCACTTGCTTGTGGTTTTTTTTGTTCCCTTTGGCTAAAGCATTAGTGAGGTTGCATGACATTGCGACAAAGACATGGATTCTGAGATAAGCTATCTAGAGTCAAAACCCTAACCCTGACACATACTCGATAGAAGTTACTTCACCCTCCTGTGCCTCTGTTTCCTCATCTGTAAAATGGGAATAATGATGGTCCTACCTCTTAGGAGAATTGTGGAGATACAATTCAGCTAATATAAGTAAATGATATAGGATAGAACCTGGCATGTAGGAAGGGCTCAATTCATGTTATTAGCTATCATTTGCTGAGTATCACAGTTTGGCACCCCTAAGCCTCAGGGTAAGTTAGAGCCGATAGAACCAAGAGAGAAGCCAGGAGTAAACCAAGGGGTCCTGCACACTGCATGACGGCAGATGAGACAGCAAACAGCATGACCGGCGTTGGTAATCAGGATTCATTTGCAAAAGTAGAAACTTCAATTCCATAAAAAGAGAATAGAGGAGAATTCTTTAAGAAGATAATGCAGTGAGGTGGCTCTATCCATTTTTATTCTTAGGGAGAGACAAGTGTGTCTGTTTTTCAGTTTGATTTTTACTGCTAAATGCAATTTTGTTTCTTAAAATCATCTCTGCCAGTATCTAAAGATGCAGGGGACAGGGTGGGGTGGAGGGAAGGAAGCATTGGAAACTGGTTTGATAGCTTTAAGGACTTTCATGGCCTGGATCCTAGAGAAATGTAACAGGGATGTAAAATAATTCAATCAAAGCTTTGTCATTTAGGATAAATGGAAAAGATGGTTCTCTGTGGTGGGAAATTATTCTACCACATTTCCTCCTCTAAGGAATTTTTATTTCTTACTTAAAAAAATTAATTTAGGTATAAGTAACATAAATAAAATACACAGCTACCGGGGGTTCAGTTCAACAATCTTTCAGAATTGTATCTACTTTGGTAACCACCAATCAAAACAAGATATAAAACATTTTTGAACACACCAGAAAGTTCCCTTGAGCCCTTGATAGTCAATTTCCTCTCCCCCATCACTTTCTGATTTATGTAGATATTTATACATATAGATTAGTATTGTCTTATTTGAATTTTCTATGAATTGATCAAACTATGCCTTCTTCGGAGTTTGGCTTCTTTTGCTTACTGTGTTGTATTTGAGATTCATCTGTGTTGTTGGCTGTATCTGCAGTTTATAGTTTTTTATTTCTGTATAGTATTCCATTGTATGAATAAGGCATACCTAGTTCTAGCAAAATTTATTACAAAAACTTTCCTTTCTCCATTGAATTACTTTGACATCTTTGTGGAATATCAGTTGACTGTGTTTGTTGGTCTATTGAGCAACTCTTTAGTTAATTCAGTTGATTTGCATGTCCGTCTTTATGCCAGTACCCTACTATCTTGACTACTGTAGCTTTATCATATGTGAACTCATATTATTTAAGTCTTCCAAATCTGTGGGGTTTTTTCAAAATAATTTCAGATATTCTAGATCCTTCATGTTTCCATATATCATTTAGAATCAGCTCATTTATTTCTTTAAAAGAAACTTGCTGTAATTTATATATATATTGTATAGAACCAATGAATAAGTTTAAGACATCTTAACAATATTAAGTCTTCCAATCAATGAACATGGTATATCCCTTTATTTATTTAGGCCTCTTCCATTTTCCTCAGAAATGTCTTATAGTTTTTATGTAGATGTCTTATACATATTTTATTAGATTTATCCCTAGGTATTTGAAGTTTTAATGTCATTGTAAATGGTACTGATTTTTGAAATTTCACTTCAAAGTGTTTGTTACTGGCATATAGAAATATAACTGAGTTTTGTATAGTGACTTTGTATATTATAGCCTTGTTAAATCCACATAATTCTAGTGATAGTTTTGTAGATTCATAGATTTTTCTTGATATAAAATAAATAATTTAAGACTAATTAGATAGTAAATAAATTAAGAAACTGAAGTGTTGTAGTTTTCACCATGTATTAATAGGTCTTTGCTTCTAAAAGTTTTATAGTAGTGGTGTTGATAGTTTTGATGAGGATAATTTATAGAGAGAAAAGTTAATGAAATAAATATTTCATATCAATTGCAAAATTTCACAACCACCTGGTTAAGCTTCTACATAATACCCAGACTTAAATGGGCCCCAGAACTTTGTAACTACTTATAATTCACACCCTTTTCTATATACTTTTTGAGTTGCAGTAACTGTAGTCTTAATACCTAGTATTGTAATTTTCCCTCCAATTCTTTTTTTTTTTTTTTTGAGACAGAGTCTTGCTCTGTCACCCAGGCTGGAGTGCATTGGCATGATCTCTGCTCACTGCAAGCTCCGCCTCCCGGGTTCACACCATTCACCTGCCTCAGCCTCCCGAGTAGCTGGGACTACAGGCGCCCACCACCACGCCTGGCTAATTTTTTGTATTTTTAGTAGAGACGGAGTTTCACCATGTTAGCCAGGATGGTCTCGATCTCCTGACCTCGTGATCCACCTGCCTCGGCCTTCCAAAGTGCTGGGATTACAGGCGTGAGCCACCACGCCCGGCCTCCCCTCCAATTCTTACAGTGTATTTCCTATACGTACATAGAAGACACTGTTTTGAAATAACCCTGCGATTGTCATTTGGTAAATCACATTTTCAGTTTTGGCAGGGAGCAGGGAAGCGCAAGATTGGAAATAGTAATAGCTATTATTTAGGAGGCATCTACTATATACCAGGAACTGAGCTAAGCAATTTGCATGCACCATCTCATCAATAGACCTATTTTACAAACAAGGAAACTAAAGCTTAGTTTAAGTCACATGTCAGGTCCCAAAGTTAATAAGCAGTAGAGTCAAGGTTTAAATCAAAGTTTCAGACTCCAGAGCCCACAATTTTGACCAGGGTCTTCCAAAGCATCCGTTTAAAAAACAAATGTGATTTTCTACACCCTCTGATTATAGAAAAAGGAATTTAGCCAGAGTTCAAAATTCTTAGACTGATAAGAAATGATGCCAACTTCCATTTATTACCATGTAATGGGTTAAGGGATGGCAGTAAATCTTTCATGTCAGCTGGCTAAGTGTGGTGCTACAAAGACCAAGTTTTCCTCTTCAATCTTGGGCCAGCATGCAGACCTGGGTGGAGGGTAGAGGTTGGTGGCTGGAGAAACAGCCCCACACCTGGACTCCGCAGAGGGAAGGTCACCCAGAGCACCAAGCACAAAGGGTCACATTACTCTCATGACAGAAGGCTGCATGGTACACCCTTGGGGTCTTCCTGTTTGGGGAGCACGCGCAGTTCACACACACACACAACCCACACAAGCCCCCTGCACAGATTCAGGTTACGCCAGGGCTGGAATTACATAGCGACCCCTAAACAAAACAAACCAAACCAAACTACAGGCAGTAAAAGCCTTGGATAACAAGCCCAGAGAGCATCGGCACCAAAATTGCAAAAAGGTTCCCCTGTACGCTACAGATTACAGAATCATAAAGAACACACTTATAAAATAAAGCCTGTTGTGTTTCAGTGAGACTTTGAGTTGGCAATTCCGTTGCTAGATCTTATTTCACGGAGTGGGGAGGGAGTCCTTAAGAAACGGGCTTGCAATGACTCAGTTGAACTCTATCCTTTTTGGATTTTTCT
Organism: Homo sapiens; assembly: GCF_000001405.40. NCBI lineage: Eukaryota > Metazoa > Chordata > Mammalia > Primates > Hominidae > Homo > Homo sapiens. The sequence goes on along the minus strand of NC_000021.9, from coordinate 36,571,934 downwards.
TAGTTAAATCCACTGCCATGCTTTTAGTGATAATTTAAATTTTCTATACGCTGACCTTTACCTTTCATACCTTAGAAACGTAGGGGTTGGGGAAGTACTTTATAACCCCTGGTGACTTTCCAAGAAAATGTCACTTACCGGTACCAGCACTATCCTGGAATTTCCAGCCGAGAGAATGGAATTTGGCAGGGCTTGTCTCCATCAATCCGGGCACTTGGAGGTAACGGTATGTTCTTAGTTGCAAAAGGCGCTACGTTCCAAGAGCGTCCATCTTTTCAGTTTATGGGTGGGTTTGAAGTTCACTCCTTCACACGCACCACCCCCTTCATCTCACTGGAAACCTTCCAACTCTAAGAACTGCTCTGAAACCTGGGGTTTGCAACCTTAGATGTGAAGGTAAGAGTGTTTCTAAGCATTGAAGGGCACGTTCGCTTGGGATTTCGTAAGTCACTCTGAACACCACTGACCATGATGTGGACAAAGAATAGAAATAACAGCTAGCAAACCTCCACATGACATTGTATGAGCTCTGCATTACAAGAGAGGTAGGAGCAGGTTTTAAAAGCACCTTCATTGCACAACCTTACATACTGTTAACCACACATGACATAACTACTTTTATTAATGCACTGCAGCAGGGTGTTGGGAGGAATGTCCTATGCATTTCTGTGCTCTAACCGGCTTATTTTTCCAACTTCAGTTGTTTCTAATCTAAGCCAGTAATATCACAAAACCTCCAAGAACATTCAGCTTTCTACACAGTGTCATTAGAATGTTTGGTAAAAAGGAGATGCAGGCTGGGCACGGCGGCTCACGCCTGTAATCCCAGCACTTTCGGAGGCTGAGGCAGGCAGATCATGAGGTCAGGAGTTCGAGACCAGCCTGACCAACATGGTGAAACCCTGTCTCTACTAAAAATACAAAAATCAGCCGGGCGTGGTGGCGAGTGCCTGTAATCCCAGCTACTCAGGAGGCTGAGGCAGGAGAATTGCTGGAACCGGGGAGGCAGAGGTTGCAGTGAGCTAAGATCACGCCACTGCACTCCAGCCTGGGCAACAGAGCGAGACTCCATCTCAAAAAATTTTAAAAAGGGGATGTATTCTTTTAGAAGTTTTCATTTTAAAATATTCTTCTTACAGCATCCTCCTGTTTTTATTTTACATTGTAAAAAAATTTAAACACACAGAAGAGAAGAGCACATAGCATGAGAAACACTCATGTACTCACCAACCAGATTAAATAATTATTTGTAGTTTTCTATATTTATGCCAATCTATTGTTTGTTTTAATTTATTATATATGTCCATAATATATATATGTCCATAATTCTAAAAAATAAGAATACATTCATTTACAGCCATGCATTTTGTTTGCCGTCCTTGTTCCTCCCTGTACATTGGAAGTTAGATCTTAAGATTGACTTGTAAACCAAAAACGAAAGTTTAAGTACCCCTCAACCATCTGAATGGAACCCTCCTCTCAGGCAAGGGCATCCCAAAGTCAACCTAAAAAACTAGTTCAGGTCATGATGGGAAGAGGGAGTCGGACATGCCTCATCATACCCTCCTCCCTTTTGGAATTCAGGAAAAGCTGACCAGCATTAGCATCAACACAGACCTTAAGTCTGATAAGAAACTTTTTACAGTTGATTCCCTCTGAAGCCTGCTACCTGGAGACTTCATCTGCATGACAAACTTTGGTCTCCACAATCCCTTATCATCATAACCTAGACATTCTGTTCTATTGATTCCAGGTTTTTAAATAATAACTCTTTCATCCAATTGCCAATAAGGAAATTTTTAAATCTACCTATAACCTGAAAGCCATCCCCGGAGTTGTCCCACCTTTTGAGATCAAATCAGTGTACGTCTTACTGGTATTAATAGATGTCTCGTGTCTCCATAAAAAGTGTAAGAGCAAGCTGTACCCTGACCGCCGTGGGCACATGTCATCAGGACCTCCTGAGGCTCTGTCACAGGTGTGTCCTTAAACTTGACAAAATAAACTTTCTAAATGGATTGAGACCTGTCTCAGATACTTTTGCGTTCACAGATTAAATTCAGGTTAAACACTTTTTGCCAAGAAGCCTTCACTGCTGAAGTTGTACATTTTGTATTGTATCACATCAGTGCCAGGCTACCCACACTCAGTGATTCCAAGATTGATGCTTGGGTTGGGAGGCTGCCCATGGCTCTCTCTCCCTATTACAAAGGCATCTTCCCACCCTCATGACCAGCAGATGATTTGTGAGACAGGACCTTGGTTCTGCGGGTTATTAGGTTCTCCGTCAGCTCTTCCCTGAATACTTGTAACATCCGTTAATGATCCTGGACCGAATCAGTTAATTCATTCAAGGTTACAAAATGGTGGTTTTCTAATTTGATAATTCATTTGACATCTGTTAGTTAGCGATCATATTTTTTCAGAATGAAGAGTGTTCCCTCAAAGTCAAGCCTCTTTTGTAATGCTGATATATAGCCTAACACTTTCGCTTTATTTACTTAATTTTTTTTTTTTTTGAGACGGAGTCTCACTCTGTTGCCCAGGCTGGACTATAGTGGTGCGATTTCAGCTCACTGCAACCTTTGCCTCCCGGGTTCAAGCGATTCTTCTGCCTCAGCTTCCTGAGTAGCTGGAACTACAGACATGCACCACCATGCCTGGCTAATTTTTGTATTTTTAGTAGAGATGGGGTTTCACCATATTGGGCAGGCTGGTCTCGAACTCCTGACCTTGTGATCTGCCTGCCTCAGCCTCCCAAAGTGCTGGGATCACTGGCGTGAGCCACGCCCCCACCCCGAGACTATTTACTAATTTTTAGAGTAAGACATTGACTTCATTATCTGGGGGTTTTGAAATAAAATAATTCACTGTCCTTATATTGTAAATGCCATATTATTTGTAGTTTACTGGTGGAAATGGCTTTACCACACTCATGTAACTTTAGGGCTATAAGACAGCAGAGCATAGTAAATCCAGTAGAACCACTCAATTCAGAAATGAATAATAAAAAAGTCAAACTGGTTAATCAAATAAGTTGATGGGTTATTGGATTCAAAGGACAGTCAATGCCATACAAATGGCCTGTTCAGTGGCATCATACTGACAGCCCCAGTCTGAACTGTTAAAGGAATGAAAGGCATATGTGGCGTGTCTGTGAGAAGAGGAAAGAGGGTGTAGAAAAATGAATATTTCCCTTCTTTTTTTCTTGGGACAGGGTCTCACTCTGTGGCCCAGGCTGGAGTGCAGTGGCATGATCATGGCTCACTGTAGCTTCAACCTCCTGGGCTCAAGCGATCCTCCCACATCAGCCTCCCAAGTAACTGTGACTTCAGGCCTGAGCCATGGTGCCCAGCCTAGGCTTTTAACATCTTGCTTTGTCATCAGCCAAAAGCATGTTTGCAGTTACTTTGTCGGAACTGTCCCCCACTGCCCCATCCCCATGCCAGGGGCTCTAGGGAAAGACAGAGGGCTCCAGAGCAAAGACTGCCCATAGAAGATGCCGCACTGGTGGCATTTTTTTCCTAGCTGGGACTTCGTGCCTCCTTATTGCTCAGGGGTTGGCTGGGGCAATGCTGAAATCAGCATGACCTTGGCTCAAAAGCTCAGGTGGACCCTAAAGTGGGGCAAGGAAGGCTTTCTTGAAGGAAGTTCTGAGCAGGGCATCCCATGTAGGTCACACAGGTCAAGTAGAACCCTTTGTCCACCTTAGCAGCTCCGTTTCCACCACCCATGCTCCATCCAGCCCAGGTGACCTGCAATTCCTCGGTAAACCAAGTTTCTGCCTGGTCAAGCTGGCTTACCCCATCCACTCTGTAACCTCCCACTTGTCCTTTAATATTCAGCTCTAGGGCCCTCTCATCCCAGAGCGCTTCTCCGAACCATTCCCGGTTGCCTTTCTCTAGACCTCTTGCTCTTCCATAATTATTGATTTTCTTGTCTGTCTTCCCTACTAGACTGTGAGCTCATGAGAAAAGGAAACATCTTTATTTGTGAATCTCATATAGTAGGTTAAACGTCCACATAGTAGGTACTAAATAAATGGTACTAAATAAAAGCCCTTTGATTGAAACAAATGTATGAAAAAAAAAATGAATGACTTTGGCTTATCCTAGGAAATGCATTGATTTCCCTCCTTCCCCCTTCCATAAACTAAATGGCCAGGGTAATTTTGCTCAGACCCCTGGGATTTGAGGTGAATGGAGCCTGGACAGTTTCAAATGTTTTGCATATGAAGAACAGCCAAAGTGGATGTATATGGGTCTAGAGACGAGAGCAACCCAGGGCACTAAATGGAAACTGTTCTCAGTTTACAAAAATGCTTTCACCAAGAGCATTGTAATAAAGAGCTAGGTTATTAAAGCTCAATCAAATAAACAGACTCTTTCACCCCCAGCCCCCTAAATGAAAGTGGTCATGTAATCGTGCTGTAATTAAGGAAGGCCCCTGAGTTAAAGCCTTCAGAATATGTGAATAGACATAAATCAGCCAGTTCCCGTCTTGGAAGGCAGCATTCTTCAGCATCCATTAATCTGCGGTTGGCTCCCCTTGGAGCTCTTGGGCCCCTCTGGGCTTCTCTATCTCTTAATTGAAGCGATGTGCCTTGGAGATTTATTGCTATTCTACATCAACTTTCCCTTCCAAGGGCAGATTGCAAAACAAATACAGGAAAAAGAAACTGGATTCAATTTCTAGGCAAGAGCCTTCTCTGAGTTCATCTATGTGAATGTGCATGCCCTCAAAGCTCCAACGTGAGGCAGGGTAGGCTTCTGCCTCCAAGCCGCCTAATAGTTGGTGAGTCCTGAATGTCAGCCTGTCTTTTCTCGCTGACTTTGAGGTATTACGTACTTGATGCAATCCAGGGCCACAGATCAATTCACGATGGGATGAAGATATGCCCTGGAAAATGTAGCTCCAGCATCTTTCATGTTTGCCTTTTCCTTTTATCCCAAACTTGACACTCCCAGGAGCTTACGAGTTTGTAATCAGCCCAGTGGCCGCAAGCACCTCCTTCTTCCCGATGGCAGACGGATGTCTTCCGGCCTCCTCACCCATCAACGTGAGCCCCCTGATTTATGGTCCTGAACCCAGCAATCAGGGCCTGCTGAGGCTGAGCTCTCACCTGGCCTTTGGGGTGAATTTGGAGGGAAAGTGGGGCTAGAAGTGAATGGGCCACCTCATTTAGGTTTTGGAGATTTGGTTCTCTGTTTTGTCTTGATGTGCACATAAGAAAACGCTTTTGCACATGGCAGCCTGCTGGTGCCCACATTTGGAAGGGATCAAGCCAAGGCCATCTAAATCATTCCGAGGGAGCAGCTGCAAGAAGCATCTCATAAATTGTAAGAGCAAGCACTTGTGCAGAGGGGCTGCAGTGACCGTGAGGCCCCAGGGCCTCAACTCAGAGGACAGAGTCATTGCATGGGTCCAGTTCGACTGAGAAGTCACCAAAAAGAAAAAAAGCTTCTGTGAAAACCGGAAGGGAGAAGTGATCTAGTGATGCTGAGATTTGCATTCATAGGGCTGGGTGATATTTGACTAAGTCTCCTCCTAAGTCAGAGATCTAAGTTCTCAATTTTAAGAAGTCATATTTACTGGTTTCTATTTCTTTAACAAACTCTTACTGTTGACTGAGTGCTTTACAAATATTAATTCACTTAATCTTTCTAACAATCCTATAAAATATGCCTTGTTATCATCAAATTAGTGGTTATATTATTACATTCATATGCTATCTCCTATATGTGTGTTAAGATTCCTCCAACAAACTGGTTTAAGTATTTCATACTGAATTACTAACAGGTAGATCCTGGTATAGGCAGTGGTAGAAGTGGGATTTACTAACTTCCTTCTGTATGATAGATATAAAATTAGACATGCTAATATGATAAAAAATAAGACTGATGGCTTCAAGTTTCAATGGTTTTCAAACTAGACTTATGTCTGGAAACAAACTAGACTAAAAAATAACTGTAAAAAGGACAAAAGATTTATAGAAAGTACCATCTGGAGTTAAAACTGGCTCTGACCACTGGTTCCCAATGTCTGTAATCAACTTATGACAGCTTGTGACTCTGCTCCTTGGCTCTTCTGAATTTCCATGGATCTTGAGCAGCTGTGGCAAGGGGGATGAGAGAACTTTTTTATAGCACCAGCTGTAGAGCAAAGCACAACTGCTTTGGAAGACTCCACAGCACTATTTATGGTAGGGGCCAATTTGCTCTCAGGGTACTGGGCTTTCTGAAGGCTCAGGGGCATGGCACATAAACAGCCCTCTCCCCGATGTTCAGAGTTGGCTGGAGCCCACCCTGTGCAGACTGTGGACATCTCTTGCCAACTCCGCATTCAGCAACCTTAAGCTGGTAGCTTGACATTTGCCATGATGGAAATAGGCAAATGCTATATACAGCACTCTGCCACTTTTAGAACCAGTTTACCAGCACAACACCAGGAAAGGAAATCTTAAGCTTTATGAATCTTTCCAACAAGGCAGAGTTGCATATTTAAAAAAAAAAAGATTTGGGAAAAAGGGAAACCATAGTGCTGCAATACAATTGCAGGGTTGGTTCTGAAGGACCAATGGCTCTGGTGTTTGAGACAGCAATCTTTCAACAGAGCCAGGGAGAGAGGATGGTGACCTCATGCCCATTCTCACAGCAGCAGCAAGGGCTGGGCTGAGAGACAAACTGACCCCCTGCACCTCAAATTCACATGAGGGGTGCAGCCAACCTCTGTTCTCAACCTGACATGCCATGAGGTGAATGATTCTGAGGACAGCAAAATTTGTGCTTGTGTAACTTGTGTCAATCAGAGGAAAACATTGAGGAACTGTGTTAGCTTCCCGTGGCCGCTGTAACAAGTGACCACAACCAAGTGGCTTAAAACTACACAAATGTTATTATCCTACAGTTCTAGAGGTCAGAAATGAGGCTCACTGGGTTGTGATCAAGGTATTGGCAGGGCTATGTTCCTTTCTGGAGGCCCTGGGGGAATCAACTTGCTTGTCTTTTCCAGCTTCTAAAGGCCACCTGCATTCCTTGGCTTGTGGCCCCTTTCTCCACCTTCAAAGTGAGCAACAGGTGGTCAAGTCTTTCTCACTCACATCACACTGGCTCTGACTTTCTGCCTCTCTCCTTCACATTTAAGAACCCTTGGTACTACATTGGGCTCACCTGATAATCTCCTTATTCTGAAGTCACCTGGTTAGCAACCTTAATTCCCTCTGCAACCTTCACTGCCCTTGCATGTAACATAACATACTCATGGGTTCTGGAGATGAGGGCATGGGCGTCTTTGGTGGGAAATTATTTTACAACCACAGCCATACACATCACCTGAGGTCTCTGGTGAAACGCCCTGGAATTGACTCTAGAATTACATCTAGGAGGTTGCTCACCAAAGAGACTCAATCCCAGCCCCTTCTCTCAGTGTCAGCCAAGGCTGTCCTCCAGGGGCGAAACCACACCTGTTCTAGATACTGGAAATGGGTTTTACTGGTGGTTCTGTCATCTTAAGGATCCAAATCAGAGGTGTTAATGGAAGGCAACTCCATCCCAACTCTTCACACTTTTCATCCCTAATTGATGGCTTTTGTTGGCTTAGCGATAGCTGGTAGTTTTCTCTGGTGCCTACACCCTTGCACATAAATTTAAGTAGGGCACCTGGTGATTACACCTAAGTTAGGAAAACAGGCATCCTTCTTGACACATATTCTTGACACATGCCAGATTTCTATGGAAAATTTATATAACACTGCAAGAAAAGGCTAATTTTGCTGACAAACACTGAGCCGAGCTCCTGGTTTGATGTCAGGTTTAGCTCTCAGGGAGCCACATTTGCCACCTGCCTCATCTTCGGCATTTCTCAGAACTCCACAGAACGAGGGTGCAGCCCAGGACTGGGGAGTAGGGCGGCCAGATTTAAGGCATGTGAACTTTCAGGTCATCGAATACACTTTCCCATTAGGGAAGGGGCACGTTTCCTTAAGAGTTTGGGGGATCAGAACTGAATCCACGTCTGTCTTTTTGATAACATAATTCAAATATGGCGTAATGGCGCCTGGGGGAGAGGGAGTGAATTTGAGGATTATTAGTTTCACTGCTCTGGAATAGGTCCCAGAGGAGACCACGCAGAGACCTTGCCCAACAAATTGCTGGACCTCTTTTTGCTGAGCCCTGTCTGCCAAAAGGCTCCACGTGTCTTTCGCATCTCCACTATCCCCACCATGAGGTCTCTTCCCACAGTCTCCGAACCTCCATGGGAGCCAACATTTTCTAATAATCGTTTCCTACATAAAATCAACAAGGGGAAAAATTCCTCTTTAAGCACATGTCTAGATGATTCCATTTCTCTTTGACAGAGAATTATCAGTGACGGCCCTATGGCTCATAAGACTGTAAGGATTGTAAACCTCTGATTAATGGAGTAAGACAGATTGTTGTTATTCACGGAATTCAATATCCTAACCTCAGACCCATGTTTACAGCACATTGACTTGCAACTTTGAAAAAAGCCCTGCTTTTTTTTTTTCTCCAACATGTTTAGTTATTAACAGAGAGCGCTACGGTAAGGAAACCAGGCCAACATATCCAGTTGGGTAGCCTAAACCAGAATATGCACTGTATGTAGTGATTTAGGATTTAAAACCCCAATAATGCACGGAGATGCTATGACTCCAATCTTTTTCCCATATTACCTGCAACTTGTTCTAGATGAAACCCTTCAAAGCCCTCCGTGATTAACTTTTCAAAACAGTGTCATGCATTTTCTTGTTCTCTAAGCAGCAGAGAATGTAGCCCATGCATCTCAGGCTGCTATCATTAATTTTTTTCCTTTCCTTCTTTTACTTTTAAGTTAGTGATTAAAACACAGAGGTCTTCATGAAATATGACTCCCCTGAAGAATGATAACATTTCATTCTGCATTTTTGCAGCACCCAAGTTCATGTTTAGATGAAGGTGACCACTTTCATTTCCATCATCTTGTTATGGCTTCGAAATCATGCCATATTATTATTTGCCCCATTTTGCAGAGGAGCCAGATGAAGAACAGAATGAATAACTTACCCCAAATTACCCATGAAGCCAGGGTTATTAGAATTCCCAGGCCAGTGGGCTCACCACAAAACTACACCGCTTGACTGTGCTGAGAACCAGCCAAGTCTCCATCCCAGATGATCACTGCCTATTCCCCAGGCGGGAAAGAGGCCAGATGTAATTTGCTCATGAAAAAAAAAAAAAAGCACAGAATGGATAGGGGATCCTTTGAATATTTTAAAGATAAGGGTGAACGCATTTCTTTAGAGATTATTAAAAATTAATTTTTAAAGCAAAACTGATGGGAAAATCATAAACACAAGATGACACATGGGTTGGAAGCGATCAACTCTGGAGACTTGGTGGGGCTTTTCCTTAGAGAAGAAAATAGGTCCTTTTCCTCAGGAATATTTCAGAAGAGGTCTTGTTATGGTTTAAGAGCCAGAAAATGGGAATAAGCTTAGTACTTAGCTGAAGAATGAGCTGGGTGCAGAATTACAAAGTGGATGTCCCATGTGTTTCCTGTTTCCTCTTGGTGCCCATCTCTTGGCTGTAGCCTACTTCCTGCCCTTGGGTCCCTCCTGGTGACTCAAATCTGCCAAAGAGGGTCTGAGATGCAGGCTCATGAAGCCCCATAGAAAGCCATACCCTGCCAGATTTCCCACCCTCTTTCAACAGTACCCATCCTAGTCCTCTTCTTCAGGGTATCTGTTTCCCTGTGTGACAATGGTGCTGATGGATTAATCAGAGACATTACCCCTATGAATACACATTAGCTAGAGGATCTATCATCCCTCAGAGATGATTGTAATAATAGCCTTCTTTGCTGCATTTTCATGCACCAAGGATCTTAGGAATATTGCAGAAGGAATGCAGAGAAAAGGAAAAATTCATTTTCAACTTCTGTTATGCAAAACAGGATTTTTTTGCAGCAAAACAAGAGTCTTGAAAGTCAAGTCTTTTTGAGAGAAAGGGTTCCTTCAATCTTTGTCTATCCCACTGGCATACCAAGAGCCAGGCTTGAAGGACCAAACCATAGAGGTTTGTATCCAGAAAAAAAGGAGGGAGTAGTGCCTGCTCCTTCCAGCCCTAGAAGACTGTGGGACATAAGTAGTCTACAGAAGGAGGAGTCAGCCATGAGATGTGTGGGTCTTAATACACCTCTCCTGGCTGAGACTCAGGGAGAGGGAGGTGCATTTGCTACATTGAAGTGAGTAGAGAAGACAGAGGGTTCACATCATGCTTTCTACTGGGGCAACATTACTTTGCTGGATGGTTCCTCACCAACACAGAGGACCTCTGAGAAACCAAGAGAGTGGAAGAGCTGCGTGTGGCAGAGAGGGTCTAGTGGCTCTAAACTGTGGCCACTAGATAGCTAAGCTGAGGGGCAGCGGGGCAGCCAAGTGGCCCACTATGGCGGGAACCAAGTGACCTGTGTCTGATGGTGTCCAGAGGCAGATGGAGGCTGTGGCAGAATCCCAAAGGGTTTCCTGTCCTCCCCCAAGTCAAGAGAGGTAGCCCGTTGGTCCTAACAGGTCAAGAAAAAATTTCCCTTGGTTCCATCAGCCATGGACATCATGTGGCTGCCCACCCCAGTGGGGAACAGCCAGCACCACCCACAGACCTGCAACAAGACCAGGTCTCTTCTCCCTGTCCCTGAGCATGGAAACTCTCCTCTTTCCTCCACAGGCCCAGACACTGCTTAACCGATAGGTCTAGTTAAGCCCTTGGAGTCTGTTTAAACCACTCAGAGTGGGTCTGAGGATTGCGACACATCCACAAACTGTTGCCGGCATGGGATGAAAAAGGTACAAAAATTGAGGGTAGGTGTTGAGAAGTTCTTGTAGCAGAATAATTTCATGCTTATTGAAACCAATCATAAAAAATATAAGATTATGTTTTGTATGCTTTTAGAACTTTTATTTCCCAGTAATTCATTTCTCTTGGATTTTATGAAAGTATCTGCAACTGGTTAGAAATTAAAAACAAACAACAACAAAAAAGAATTTCTTACCACAGATACTTTGAGATGCACTGTGTTATGGATGGGACTAGGCTTATAATACACTTTTTTCTCTTCTAGTGGATAGGGACTTGTTAAGGAAGATCAGATCCATTTTGGAAAAAATAAAGAGCAACATTTTCTGCACATCTGAATTGTAGTAACAACAAATATTTTCACATTTTCTATGCCCACTATTAGAGAGTTTTCAACTAAAAAATTACTCAGAAACAAGGAAGAATTAAAAAGGATCATACACCATGACTAAGTGACACCATCACTACCCATTTACCAAAGACAAGTGAAGTATATCCTTGGGAAATCCAGGACGGTTCAACATGCAAAAATCTATTCATGTAAAATAGCACATTCACAGAATAAAAGATAAAAATCACATGATATGCACTTATCTCAGATATTTGCACCTCCGATCCGCCCCCATCTCTCGAAAGTTAGAACACTGCCAACTAATCTGTTATATAGGTCCTTTAGAAACACATAATTCACACTTAAGGTTGGATGCCACTAATTCTTTGCAAAAATCCAAATATAGTTAAGGGACCAGGAAGATGCCACTACCCCTTGATTTTTCATCTAAAAATATAGATATTTATGTAAACAAATCTTTCCATATTCATAGCGACAAGAGCGAAAATCTGTCTCAAAAAAAAAAAAAACCTCTCAACAAACTAGGAATAGAAAGAAATGACTAACGTAAAATGTGTATAAGTATTTGAGCCTAAAGATTTTGATCTCACATTTTTATACCTGTTTAAATTGTTCACAATTATTACATACACATCAGCCATCAACTAAAGTTGTACTTTAAAAATTTGCTACACTATGTACATTTCTAAGTCAAACACTTGTGACTTTTGCTTTAATTCCATGAACGTTCCTGCCTCCTTGATATTTGTATTTATTCTTTTTTTCTCTAGAGTGGAGGTATAATGGTATGATATTTCAGAAATGAAATACAGATAAATGATTCAAAAAGTCACCATTAAGGAGAATAATGTTCCTTTGATCATGAAAAACTGATTAGTAATTATTGCCTATATTTTCCTGATAGCATATGACAAATGTTTCTAGGGTAACAAGATGAGAACAGATTAAAGATTGTGTGGTGTTTTGGATTTGGAGAGAAATATTTTAGTTTTTAAATGCAGTTACAAATTATAATGTATTCATATTTGTACTTTCTGTTAAAATGCACAATTGCAGAATTGTTTAGATTTTATGTTTATCCTTGATGAAAAGCTTTGTTTGTTCTTGTTTTTAAGTTTGCACTCAAATCTTAAGAAATGAATTCATCCATGTTATCAAAAAAAATCACATGATAATCTCAATAGGTGCAGAAAGGACAGTTGACAGGTTTTTGTAACCCTCATGATAAAAACTCTCAGCCAGCCTGGGTGGCTCAGGCCTGTAATCCCAGCACTTTGTGGGGCCAAGGTGGGCGGGTCACCTGAGGTCAGGAGTTCAAGACCAACCTGGCCAACATGGCGAAACCCCGTCTCTACTAAAAATACAAAAATTAGCTGGGCGTGGTGGCGGGTGCCTATAATCCCAGCTACCTGGGAGGCTGAGGCAGGAGAATCACTTGAACCCAGGAGGCGGAGGTTACAGTGAGCTGAAATCATTGCACTCCAGCCTGGGCGACAAGAGCGAAACTTAGTCTCAAACTAAAAAATAAAATAAAATAAAATAAAATAAAATAAAATAAAACTCTCAACAAACTAGGAATAGGAAAAAATGACCTAAACATAAAGGCCATATATGAAAAGCTTACAGCTAACATACTCAACAGTAAAAAACTGAAAGCTTTTCTTCTAAGATAAGGAACAAGGTAAGGATGCCCATTCTCACCACTTCTATTCAACACAGTACAGGAAGTCCTTGTAAGAGCAGTAAGGCAAAGATTTTTAAAGTCATTTAAATTTTTGTTAAGTATACTCCCTTGGCACAAATCTTTAAAATATATAAACATTACATATAAATAAAATGTCTTCATGGCATCAAAATATAACTCCAGACAAGGACAAGCATCTAAATTGAAAAGAAAGAAGTAAAATTATCTGTTTGCAGATGACATGATCTCATATGTAGAAAACCCTCACAATTCCACAAAAAAAAAACCCCACCTTGTTAGAAGTAATAAATGAATTCAGTAAAGGCACAGGATACAAAATCAACATCAAAAATGAGTTGCAATTTATACACCAACAGTAAACTATCTGAAAAGGAAATTTAAAAATAATTTCCTTTATAATAGCACCAAAAAAATAAAAAACAGGAATAATAGGCTGCTCTGCCTACAGAGTAGCCATTCTTTATTCCTTTCCTGTCTTTATAAACTGGCTTTCACACACACACAAAGGAATAAACTTAACTAAGGAAGTAAAAGTCTTGTATGCTGAAAACTACAAAATATTGATGAAATAAATTGGAGAAGACACAAATAAATAGAAAAGTATCCCATGTTCATGGATTAGAAGACTTAATATTGTTTAAAAAGATTCATACTACCCAAAGCAATTTACAAGTTCATTGTAATCTCTATCAAAATTCCAATGGCATTTTTCAAAGAAACAGAAAAAAAATCCTAAAATTCATATGAAACCAGAAAGGACCCCAAATTACCAAAACAATCTTAAGAAAGGACAAAGCTGGAGGCATCACATGTTCTAATTTAAAAATATATTACAATCTACAGTAAATAAAACAGTATGGTGCTGGCATAAAGGCAGACATATAGGCCAAAGGAACAGGAACAGAATAAAGAACCCAGAAATAAACCCACAGATATACAATCAACTGATTTTTGACAAGGGTGACAGTAATACCGGTACACCAGAGAAAGGACAGTCTCTTCAACAAATGGTGCTGGGAAAACTACATATCCACAAGCAAAAGAATGAAATTGGACCATTATCTTGAACCATACACACAAATCAACTCAAAATAGATTAAAGATTAACCTAAGACCTGAAACCTCTAGAGGAAAGCATTAAGGAAAAACTTCATGACATTGGTCTTGGCAATGATTTTTTGGATATGACAACCAAAGTGTAAGCCACAAAAGCAAAAATAGGCAAATGGGATTACATCAAACTAAAAAATCTTCTGCATAGCCAAGGAAAACAACCCACAGAGTAAAAAGATAACGTAGAGAATGGGAGGAAATATTTGCAAATAATGTATCTGATGGGGGTAATCTCCAAAATATATAAGAGAACTCTTTCAACCCAATAGCAGAAAACCAAATAACCCAATTTAGGAATTGAGCAAAAGACCTGAGTAGATATTTCTGTAAAGAAGATTTACAAATGGCCAACAGGTATTTGAAAAGATGGTCAACGTCACTAATCATCAAGGAAATGCGAATCAAAACCACAATGAGATATTACCTCACATCTACTAGGATGGCATTTTTTTTTTAAGATAAGAGTTGGCAAGGATGTGGAGAAGTTGGAACGCTTGTTCACTCTTGGTGGAAATGTAAAATGTTTTAGCAACTATGGAAAACAGCATGGAGTTTCCTCAAAAAAGTTAAAATAGAATTATCATGTTTTCCAGCAATCCCACATGTGAATATTATTTATCCAAAATAATGCAATCAGGATCTTAAACAGATATTATCATTCTCATGTTCATTACAGCATTATTCACAATAATCAAGATGTGCCAACAACCTAAAATGTCCACTGACAGATGAATGGATAAAGACAATGTATATACATACAATGGAATATTATTCAGCCCTAAAAAAGTAAGAAATTCTACAATATGAGACAACATAGATAAATTTGGAGGCCATTATGCTAAATAAAGTAAGCCAGTCACAGAAAGGCAAATACTGTTTGAGCCCACCTATATGAGGAGCAAAAATAGTGAAACTCACAGAAGCAGAGAGTAGATGGTGGTTGTCAGGAACTAGAGGGAGGGAGAAATGGGCAGTTGCTTTTCACCTGGTATGAAGTTACAATTATGCAAGATGATTAAGTTCTAGAGATGCTGTACAATTTTGTGCCTATAATTAACAGTGCTGTACTGCACGCTCATACAATTTAAGAGGCTGGATCTCATGTTAAATATTCTTACCACCAAAAGATAGAGAGAGAGAAGAGAATCCACCAAAATCAGGGACCATCAACAAACAACAGGAAATGCAATTCCATTGGTTGAGACTTTTCAAGAAGACAGCTGTGGACACGGAGAATTCACGGGAGCTGGTACCTTTTATTTCCAAGATGCTGTTCTAAGTGTTTTTATATCGGTCATCCTGGCTGATGTTACCAGCCTCCCACTGAGGATGCATTGTTTTCTTCGTAGAGGAAAGAAGCGACATAGTCAGGGAGTTAGAAAATTTGCCAAAACTCATACACAAGGCAGAGGCAGAGCCAGACCTCCACCCCAAACCTGTTGGACTCAAAAGCTGTGGTCTTCCTACCACCCCCATAAAGAGATCCCAAAAAAGGGCTTTGGTGGAGTGGACTATAGGGTCCAAGCACAAAAAGGTCCAGGGCCACCATGGGCAGCACTCCACCTGATTCTTCATCCATCGCTGTGTAGGCTTCTGACTTAGGTCACCTCTGGCCCTGGGTGAATCTGCTATAATTAGAAGACATTCCCACCTCTAATATAAGCCAGTTTAACTAGAAAGTACTGGAGGACACACTGATCAATTGAGGACCCAAGAGAAGCAAATGGCAAGTCCCTAAGTCCCTTTGCTCTACAAACTGCAAACTGGAAGAAGAAAGGGTCCCCGAGGTGAGCTGTGGGGCAGCTCTCAGCACCAGGCAGTGAAGTGCTGAAATTAGTCACCGACCACCAATAGCTTGGGCCCCTGAGTGAAACACTGTGACTGGGAGCTGATGTTTGCAGGAGTGATATCTTTGGGGATAAAACTGATATGTGGGATGGGAAATGATCAAAGTGAGAATTCTTAAAATTCCTTATTCTAGAGAAGTGCGGCCAAAATCAGATTCACTGTGCAAAAAGTGTCCCTATGCTGTGCGTGCACACACACACACACTCTCTCTCTCTCACACACACACACACACACACACACACACACACACACACACACACTGACCTATAGAAAATCGGGAGTAGAAAATTGGGAGATGCCTGGCTGTGTGTGTTCACATTTGCAGTCTCAGGAGCTTCTGGTAAAGCTAAAAATGGAGGGTGGGACCTAGACATCTTTGGGCAATGTCCCACATACCACCTGACCAGCCTTAGGAACGAGAAAACGTCTGGAGCCCATGGGGTCATAATGAGCTGGCTTTCAAGGCAGCCTGGAAAAATTCCTCACCAACTCCACATCCATCCATCACCCCAGCAAAGCCCCGTGGGCTCCTGCACTCTTTGGTTTTACAAAACATTGGAAACATTTGAACGTTGAGAAAACTTACGACCTTGGAACACGCTGCCTGTTTTCTTACAACTTAATGAGACTAAATCGTTGATAAGTCCTGTTTTGAAGCATAACAGCGCACCCCGTGCAGGGCACGGGAGCCGAACCACCTTCTCCACAGGACAATTCCCGTGCTGAGTACGGGTCACCCAGACCCAAGACCTCCTCTTTTGGCTTGTGTTTTCCAGGGATTTCTGGCAAAACCAAGGCGGTTTTAGCCTGCTATATCTTGGCAATTCGCTTGAAACCCCTCCTCATGCACTCCAAATACTAGAAAAGCAACACTCAGAGTGAAGCATGGTTATAGGCATTCTAGAACAGCAAGCCTCTTCAAAGCCTCTGAGTTAGACGGAGTTATAGGTATCCATTCACTCGTTCATTTGACAAATCCCTGCGGATGGCTTGCCATGTGCCAGGCCTCTGGTTAGCCCAGGGGCATTTCAGGAATGCCAGGGAGGCTGGGGCTGGCTGTTGCTCTCAGGGGACCCTGCAGTGTGTTGAAGATGCTCAATGATTGAGGAAGCAATTCTATAAATATGGAAGAATTTGGGGAATGGCATGTGTCAGGGGAGCTTTTAGAATTGGAGGGTCATGGGGAGACCATCAGACTTTGCAGACCCTTCCCAGGCCTGTCAGTGCTGCAGAGGCAGGGGCGGGAGGTAATCAGTACTTACCAAGTGCCTCCTTGATGATAACACATCCCGTGGCATCCTCCTCTGCCCTCAGGGAACTTTAACTATCAACGGGTGGTGGGGCGGTAAGACATCTATAGGCCTGTACTGCTGGCAACCCTTCAATCTAGTGGCTCAAAAATCAGAATGCCGACTCTGACCTCAGAATCCTAGCTGTGTGACTCTGGGCAAGCTTCTTAACCTCTCTGTGCCTTGCCTTCCCCATATGTAAAACGGCAGTAATTATAGTATCCATCTTGCACGAATGTTGTGGGGAATAAGTGAATGAAACACTCCCAACAAGGCGGGCCTGACCCGACTAAGCTTCTCTTGTGTGGCCGTTTATCTCCTGTGATGGCTGTTACGCACCTGCCTCTGCTTTCCTCACGGGGCACCTGTAACCCTGTGTTGTGGTTGTACCTGGACAAGCCCTTCTTTTGAGACTGGGTCTGTGTTCCTGGAGCGCCAGGGACCAGGCCTGCAGCAGGAAACAATCAAAGTTCCTTGAAGGAATGAATGAGCAGGAGCTGCTTCCTTGTGGGAATTACTGCAGGAGGCACCGCCGAGCCCAGGGCCTGGGGGGGTTGGGATGCTGTCTCATGAAAGGGCCATATATCCAAAGTGGCCTCCAAATGTCAAAACAGCAGAGAAACCAGAGAACAAGGCAGACACATCCAGTTTGTCAGTAAAGGGTGGCTTACTGGGGAACTTACAGACAGAGGCATGGACTTGGGCAGGGGCAAGGCACGTAGATGTCCCACTGTTACCCCCAGACCCGGGCTTATATACCATAGGGAAAGGGGGTACATGCTCTCTAGAGACAATTGAAGGCCACCTCCAGGACTGTCGAGGACGCTATATTCGCCATAGCCAATGATATGCACGATGACATCAACATTCTCAGGGCGGTGGCTAAACAGAGTCAACATGGCGATTAGCATCCAAGATGGAGTCACTTTTGTCTCCACAGATGGAATGATGTGGGCCGGCCATGCCTCATCCCTCATCTCACACACAGTTGTCCTCACCATAAAGGGGAGTAAGAATATCTTCTTGGCAGGTGCTGCTGACTGTAGCAGGTCCTGCTGACTGTAGCAGGTCCTTCTAGGGGCTAGCAGTGAGACCGCCAATGTCAGAAGTTTAGCTGTCTTCTGCTTGGCTGTGGTAGGGGAGGGCTGGCTGACCACGAAGTGTGGGGCATCCCACCCAACCACCTCCCTTCCTAAGGAGTCTCCAAAGTGGGCCAAGATGGGGTGCGGGGAAAGGAGTGGCAAGAAATGGGCGGGCAGGGCCTTGGATGCTGGTGTTGGCCATTTCTAGCATTGGCTCAGAAGGAGGCATCAAAGGGACAGTCACCGGAAGGCGTATACTGCAAGAGCTTGCCAGCAGAGTCTGGACCAGAGACCACCAGGGGCCTGTTCCTCAGGTGGGCATCACTGCCTTGCTGAGCAGCTGGCCCCCTCCTGTGTTGAAATCTACCCCCTTCCCAAATCCACCTTCCCCTTCCTCTCGCCTTTTGCACCTCCTACTTCAGGAAACCAAGGGTCCACTGAAGGCAGAGGTAAGACTATAGCAGACGCCATCAGTGCCCTTGGTCAGCTCGAGGGGAGTCCTTCCAACAGACGGGGGCCTCGAGGCTGCAGCTACCTTCACGTGTAATGCCTTGGTCCTAGCTCAACAGCCTCATAGAAGAGCTGGTGACGCCCAGCCAATGCTTTAGCTCCCATCTGTTGCGCACTCTCCTGTTGAGGCCCAAGGCCAAGGGATTTGGTGTGCGTCAGCTGGGCCCTAGGTGGCGGGAAACCTGGGTTATCCCACTTAGAGGTGAGGTTGAGGAGGGGCCTCTGCACCCCCAAGTCTCAGGCAGGTTAAAACACATGTCCAAGGGAGTAGTCCAGAAAGTGCCAGAAACAGAAATCCCAAAGCAAGAGACATTCAAGCTCAGAGCAAGAAAAGGGGTGGTGATCAAAGCTTCCTCCCAGCAGCGAGGCCAAGGTTTCAAAGCCGAGACCCGTGCTGTTCTGAGAATGGCCTGACATTCCTATGCATTCATTCTAGAAAATAGAGAGTTTTTTTTTCCAATTCAGGAAGATTTTTTGTTTTGTTTTGTTTTGTTTTGTTTTTGTCTTGTTTTATCATAGGGATTCAAGTTTCATTTACTTCACAGGTCAGTAAAAACCAGTTTGGCCATAAATCAGGTTTATTTTTCTGGCTCAGTTATGAGCCTTAATTCAACCCAACCATGGCCATCTCTAGAGGGTCAAACTGAAAGCATTCTGGGCAAAATTTCCAGCAAATGTCATTAGTGACCCTTTTAGGATAATGAGTCCTGTAACAGATCAACTTAACTTGGCCATAAATATAACATAAACCCCTAAGTGTCCTTAAGTGTGCCCGCTCAACATGGCCATCAGCTCCCTTTCACATGGGGCATCTTATACTGAGCACAGGACTCAGAAAGCCCACTTGTCTGTTAAGATAGGCAGCAAAAGTGCATGCGTCTTTGCAGTTGCCAGAACCATTCTCATTTTATTTCCATTTTTTTAAAGTATCGCTGGATATTTTGCCGCTGAGAAAAGCAACTACTGGTCTCCATATCTTTTTTATTACTTGGGAGAATGTTTCTTCTGAACGTGTTTCAGAGGTACTTTCTAGTTTTCCTGCCTTTGGCTCATGCCAGCAAACTGCTTACAAGAATACCTCATGACTCAGTGCCAATTCTGAGGAACATAATCAGTTGCAAATGTTTCGGGGTGGATGACTGATGAATGTAGTAACTTTATCACTTCTCCCATTTTTTACTGTTAGCAAACTGTAGAAATCTCACATGAAACCACCTCCTTTCCTACTTCCTCCCACCCTCAACAGTCCTTTAAAAAATGATGAAAACAGCAGCCAAGAAGGATGGCTTGTCTGCGGCTGGGAGCAGCAGGGCTGTTGGGTCATGCTGCACTCTCCTCTCGACCGACAGGACAGGAGCAGTTGCAATGAGTTGCTGTCTGCTTCATTGATCTCTGTCAGTGAGTGAGCATTTTGCTTGATGTGATTGTTCTTTTCACGTGAAAATTTGTCCCCCTGCTGTGATCCTACAGCACAGCTAACCTAGAGATGGCACTTGGAGCATCTGGGATCTTCAGGAGGAGCTGTTGCAACAGGGCTGGCTCAGGGTCATCCCTCTACCCACCACCCAAGGCGGCATCTCAGATCCAGATCACAAGACCAGCATGCCCAGCTGTTAGACCCATCTCTTCCCTAAACAAGGGGCTGGCTACACTCCAACAGTTATTTGTGGTACCCCTACCCTGTGCCAGCCACCCTGCCCAAAGCCATGGACAAAATGATGCTCAGACCTCAAGGAGTTTGTGGGCTGAAGAGGGAAGAGAGGCAAGAAAAGGAGGCAGTGGGAGGTAGTGCCAAGTTTGGACTGGGTCTGCCCGCCAGCTTACGGGAGGCAGAGGCTCCAGGAATAAATCCTGTCCGCAGGGAACAGTGCATCTGCTCGGAGATCTCACTGGGGTCCTCCCTCCCAGCGCAGAGGCCAAGGGGAGGGGGCCAAGCCATCGTGGTCTCTCTGGATTTGTTTGCTAAGGACAGTTGTAACAAAGTACAAGAGATTTATTGTCTCACAGGTCTGGGAACAGGAAGTCCGAAATTGCGGGGTAGGAAGGGCTGGTTCCTTCTGGAGGCTCCAAGGGGAGTCTGTTCCGTGCCCCCTCCCCACTCTGGTGGCTGCCGGCTGGCCACACCATTCCTTGGCCTTGGCTCACAGCTGTGTCACTGCAGTCTCTGCCTCCCTCTTCACGTGGCCTTCCCCTGGTGCCTGCTTCTAAGGACAACAGTCATTTTGGAGTAGGGCCCATCTTGCTCCAGGGTGACCTCATCCTCACCATCTGCAACAATCCTATTTCCAAATAAGGCCACATTCTGAGGTTCTGGGTGAGCATGAATTTGGGAAGGACTCTCCTCAACCTGCTACCATCTCTGTAGGGACCGTGGCTGGTGCCCCCAGAGCCTCTTGCCTTGCACTGTGACTGTTGCCGGCATTAGACAGTGAGCAGATAGAGAATTTGTGGGATATGAGCAGAGTTGGATGGAGCAGGGACCTCTTGACAGGTCTCCAAGAACTAGAGAAGGCCAGGAGGAGTTCCCGGACCTAAGATGGGAACTGGGAGGGGACTGGGAGCATGTGATCCAGGCCTGTGGTGGGGACCAGGTTAGAAACCGGGCTGATGCCATGGGCCCAACTTTCCAGACAGCACCTGAGAAACCCTGGCGATGAGCAGGATTTGGCACTGCCCTTTGACTTCTCTTGAAAGGGTGGCTCTTAGCAAACCAACTTACTTTAGGGCCCCTCCAATTCTCCCTCCACATATAGCTACTAAAACTGCCCTGAGCTCTATTTCCACACCAATGAAGGTAAAGAGCTTATTCGACTTTTGGGGTCAGGGGGAGAGGAGCCAAGTTGGTATCATGGTGACAATGGCCAAGCCTCCCAAGACCCGCTGCATGTCTGGGCTATCTCAGGGTAGCCCTGAGAAAGTTCAGTGAATTTAATTTAATGCAGCGAACTTAAAGCAACTTTCTTTTGGAAATGCACTGGGTGTTTTTAAATTTAAACGTAGGTTGTGTCCTCCTAGTACTCTGGGGCATTTAGAAAGACAATATCTTGAAAAGAATCTGAATACAGGGTAGTCACCATTCTAAAAGGCAGCCTTCAACGACTCCAATTCATTCATTCTTTCAACCATGCAATAAATACCAATGTCATGCTATGTGCCAGGCAGTGTTGTAGCTGCTGGGGACAGAGCAGGGGACAGTGCAGGTGCAGTGTCTATCCTCATTCCAGCTGCAATCACAGGAGAAAGATGTTGAGAATCAGTAACATGAATGGGCTTTCAAGCGTCATCCGTGCTCAGGGGAAAAATCAGGCATGACAGGGGTGGGAAAGTGTGCAGGCCACAAGGCCAGGGGACGATTGCGAGTAGGAATGTGGCCAGGGGAGGGTCCCCAGGGAGGTGACACTTGAGTGAAGACCTGAAGGAAGAGAGGAAGTTCACCGATGTCCACCCTTGTCTCACTGTCTTTACCTGGGGCAGGTGAGTTCCTCCAGGGCCGTTGTGTGCTGACAAGTGGCTATGCTGGCCAACCGTGATCTTTCTGACAGCAGCTGCTGCTCTCTGGCTGAGCCTGTGGCTGGTCAACCCCCAGAAGTAATTCTCGCCCCACCGGCCCTTCCTCTGGGAAATGTTTTAGAGGTGATTTGTTCTCCACAGAAAGCAAGCAAAGGAATAATGCCTTCCAGGGCCTCTGTGGGGTGCCCTGAGAAAGCTGCACACCTGCCAGTTGGGAGGGCAGCTCCCCTTACCCGGGGGCCACACGCTCCTTCTCCTCATCAATTTCCTTTTCAACACCAAATACATCTTTCTCATTTTGCAGCATTTTCTTACATGTCTACCACTTTTGGCTTCAGCGAGGACTCTCAGTAGCCGGAGGGGGGCAGGGGTGGGGAGGAGAGAGAGAGAGAGAGAGAGTGTGTGTGTAATGCACACATGAAGGAATATAAAAGTCTTGCTTGAAGCCAACAGCCCTGTCTTTCAATCTCCATTTCTGCTCATGCTGACAGAAATCGTAGCAAGATGGACAAGTTAAAAAAAAAAAAAAACACCAGCTATGAATCGTCTGTGTCATGCCCCATAGCAATGATAAGCTCATTCTGTAGAAGGTTGTTGGGTACCTTAATAATTGGGCCATTGTGCATGGTTTGAGTATTAAGAAAAAATATTCCACAGTCCTTACCCTCAGGGAGCTCACAGCCTAGCTGGCCACCAAACATCTAGAAAGAGCATCATCGTGAACTATGCAGCAACTGGAATGTGCCCAGGGTGTGGTGGGAGCCTGGAGAAGGGGCAGCCACTGGGGTCACTGCAGTCAGGGAAGGCCTTGCTTTGGAGAGAGGAAGACATTTCCCCTTTCTCATGGGTCAGTGTGGAAGGGGCTTCCTCATTCTCCCCAGATCACCCTGGAGGAGCTCTTAGCTCTTCCACCCTTGGCCTCCCCACATCAACTGACCAATCCCAGGGGGTCATCGATGCCTTTGGCACCAAGGAAGTCAGCCTTACTCCATTGGGGACCATGCGGGAGAGGGGAGAAGCAGGAGATACCGTGGGGCAGTCAGGGTAACCATCCACGCAACCCTCTAACCTGCCACAGACTTGGTCTCCACCCTGGAGAAGCCGTGGAAGCTTCCAGGCTGCCCAGACCCCATTCCCCCACATCTTGGAGACCCTTCTGCTCCCCTGAGCTTGGCTGCTCTTCCAGGATTCCCTCGATGAGCTGCGTATTGATGCCTGCCTCTGGGGCGGGGCTGTTTGTGTTCTTCATTAGGTCTCTTGGTCAATGAACATTTAGTGAGTCCCAGTGAATATGGGCCTGATGCAGCTCTGGGACGGGCAAACCAACTGGACTTAGATGCTGCTTCCAGAGCTCATGGCCCAGCCGGGAGATTGGCATTTATCACATGATGGCACAGATGGTGAAGATGCAGCTCTCCAGGAGCTGGGAGGAAAAGGACCCAGGTTTTGGATGGCCTGTCATGAGGGGGGTTGACTTACTAGGGGAGTGGAGGAAGGGGGGCTTCCTGGAGGAGGTAACAAGGAAAAGAGGAGACAGAGGGTGTGCCTGGTGGAAGGAACGGCATCTGCAGGGGCCCTGCAGTGGAGGGGAGTGCAGTGAATCCAAGGGACTGACAAAAAGCCCGGGAGCCAGAGTTGAGAGGCAGAGGACGCGAGGAGAAAGAGGGGGACCAAGGTCAGCCAAAAGCCACTGGGGTTTTAAGAATGGAAGTGACACCGCCAGGTAATGTTTCCAAAGATGTGTTCGCTGGGCCTTTCTTTTCAAAAGAAGCAAGGGGTTTGCCTCACTTCTGTCACCATTTACAGCTCAACGTAGCTGTGTCCTTTGGAGGATCAGCGGGTGAGTGACCATCTTTGGAGGATCAGAGGGTGGTGCAGATGGCCACCAGCTGATGGAGGCAGGAGTGGACCTTATCCTGTGGCCAGCTCCGGCCAGGCTGCAGGCGGCTCCCAGCCCTCCTGTCTGCTGCCCAGAAGCCACGTCACTGCCTGGCCCTGGGAGACCTGCTTCCTGGAGTTGAGGGCTCATTAGTGTCAGAGGCTTGGCACAGGGACCCTCGCATTTAACTTCGCTCTCGAACAATTGATCCATCATGCCGGGAGCAGCGGCCGCCTCTCCACGTGTTTCTGATTCCCTTAATGGCCCGGGCGCTGCTGAGCCACACTAGGTGTCTGACAGGCTCACAGTACTCTGGAAAGCTCTGTCGGAAGGTTCTTTTTGGTCTCTTTACACAACCATTTCAAAAGCTTTCTTTAAAATAAAAACTTTATTTTCAGATCCTTTGAAAACATCCACGTACTCCATGTTATTCAAATGTATTTCAAGTAGGTAAGACCTGCATGCATTATAAAATATAAAAGACACAAATGGGGATAGAGGAAAAAGTAAGTCTTTATCCTGCCCTGCCACCAAGTTCTCCCCAGAGACAACCACCGTCAACTAGTTTCTTACTGATATTCCAGCGTGTATACCATGAATACCCTATAAACCACCAAACCTATGATATTTAGAACATTTGTCAACTTGAAAACACAAGTTGTGCTTTAAAGTCAATTTCCTAGGAATAGTCTAACTTGAAAAATACTCATTTTAATTTAGTGCACAACCTCAGCACCATGGCCATTTGAGGCTGATCGTTCTTTGTTTTGGGGATTGTCCTGTGCGTTGTAGGGCATTGAGCAGCATCGCTGACTCTACCCACTAGATGCCAAGAGCAACACTCCTCCCTGCCCAGTTGTGACAATGAAAAATGTCTCCAGACATTGCCAAATGTCCTCTTAGGGGTGGGGAGGCAACATCACTTTTAAATGTAAGAACTGCTGATTTGTTGTGGTTATTTATAATGTACTCTCTATCTCATTAGAAAAAGAATTTGGGAGACTTACGAAGATTCCAATAATCTTGGTAAGATTAAAAATAAATATTTAAAGGTTGGCTGTAAGTTGAAAATTATTGAAGTTTGGTGATGGATACATAAGAACTCATTATGTTTGCTCTTCTTGCCTATGTTTGAAATTTTTTGTAATAAAAAGGTAAGCGTTTACATTGTGTCTGACATTTTCCATAATAAAAAAGGTAAGTGCTTGAGGAAAGTTCAACAGAGGGGAAAGAAGGTAAAGGCAGTTGCTAGAAAATAAACAAAAATTACCTGTGCTGAGACCGTGCACATTTTTGCTAGGGGTGGATTTGAATCTGAGGTTCCTACAGTCAACCCAAAGAAATGACATGATTAGTTAGAAGTATCACAGTGTCTAGTGATAAAAAATAAGCCCATTGCTCAGAACAAGCACAGCTGTTTCTAGCCATGAACTCTCAAAGATATGTCACAGGGCAATCACCCTGACCACAGAGACGCTTTGACACTGACAGCTTTCCAGCGTGTTCCTGGAAATGCTGAATCAGGCTCTGGGATGAGGCCTGAGAATTTGTTTTCTTAACCAAATATTCTTTAGAAGTAGGTCAATAAGATAAGACTAACATGCAATTTAGTGAAAGTGATTCTGCAAAAAGTGAAAATAATGCATGCCCATATGCAGGTCTCTGAAGATCTGGATTAATCCAAGAATAAACTTCAAAGTAGCCAGAGGTTGAACAACCTCAGAAATATTATTTCTCTCCAAACTTTTAATAAGTCCCAGGTTACAGTCTCTGTTTCCTGAAAGGCAGCTGTTGGGCGGGAGGACCCATTGAGGCCACCACACTGGTTCTCGCTCTTGCTGGAGGGAGGGCTGAAGGGCTCTTGCAGGACCTTGGTGAAGTCCTGGGTCCAAGAAGAGGTTTCGTTGCCTCCTCCCGCCTGGGCAGACATCTCCTGGGGATGCTCCAGGAGAAGCAAACTTGGCCTTGAAGACTCTGAAATTCTGGGCCAGGATCATTTTAATTGGGAGGGGAAGAAAAGCTACACTGCTCATTGTAATTACAAAAACATCACAATAAAGTACACACAGAGCTGCCAGCTTTAATAAATGCAATTTCTCATTGAGATATAAATGGTCAAATACAGAGTGGGGGCAGATACTAACATATTTCAAAAAATAATAATTCAGCCTTTTTTATAAATATTTCAAGGAAAAAAAATGAGGCTTGAATGATCCAAATGTTTGCAGACTTAGGCAACTTAAGAGAAATATAGGCACAAAGAGCCCCTCTAGTAAGGGAAATTATGGTCCTTTGCATCCCATGACTTATTGAAGGTGACACATTTGATGGTTGTCTTTGATCTTCTGGAGGGCTAAGGGACTCCCTTGCCTCCAGAAATACTGCATTCACTCCCGATGCCTAGGCACTGATACCTAATTTCTGTGAAGGATTATGTGTAGCAAGCAGCCTGTGAAAGACTTGGGAACTCAGAGAACTTTTGAAGGCTCCTCACCCAACCCAAGAATGGAGTCCCTTGCTACCTCATTTCTACCCACTCCACCTTAAAACGCTTTAAGAATATTGCATTTGAATTTGTGTTTCTTAAAAATCAATTCTTAACCCTCCAAAATCTGAGTAATGCCCGTTGCTCTGGTTTAAGTGGAGAATGCAAAAAAGAGAGAGTCACAGAAAGGCAAGAGAGCCCTGCCTCCCTCTCTCCATGGGCTTCAGAAATGCCTCAAATCCCTATGGCCACCTGCATTGGTAGGAGGCTGAACAGCGGTTTATTTTTCAGTTACCAACAGAGATGCAACCTCTTTTCACTTAGTATCCACAAATGCTAGGGCACTGGCCTGATACTTACAATCCCTCCTGCAAGCAAACTTCAATTGGCACCCGCTGCAGTAGCCAGGATTAATAACAGAGAGCATTGTGGTTTTGTTATTAAGTTACTTTCAGCAATTAGTAAATTTGTCGTCCTAATTGTTTTCACATGGTTGCTCTGTGCACATGTCTTACTTCGCGGATGTCCTTGCAGTCTTGCCCCTGTCATCATATTTCAGCGTGATCGCTGCCCATCTCTCCAAGCTGTCCAATCCCATCAAAAGCTGATTTGCAGTCGGGTCAGCAGGAAGGAGGTGTAAAGAGTTCATTTCAAAGTCCACGGCATATTTGGATAAAATACAGAGAAATTTTGCTTAGCTCCCTGGGCGTCTGAGAGTGAGTGTGCTCTGGAGGAGGGGATGCCTGTGGTTAGTGCACAGGAAAATTCAAATTCTCCCCAGCCTCAAATTTGCCTCTCCTTCCTAAATCCCAACTCCATCCCCTCCTATGCAAACAGTCAATAGCTGCAGGCAGGGATGACTGTCTGAGGCCTGGGAGAACTTTGTTCTAGTCTTGGAGGATGAGCAAATGTAAGACACCCACAATCCAGCAGGCCTACCCTGTGATGGGGTCTGGATGTCAGACAGCCTCGGCTGCTCCCTCCTTCTGTACTGAGAGGCTTGGTTCCCTGGCACTCCTCAGCCAAGAAAAGGCCATTGTCCTTCCCACCACCTTTTTCAGGGAGAGGGATGGATGGCAGCAGAGGGGGCCCAGGGCAAGGACCTGCCCAAGGTGTAGTGTGATCCTGCCAAGCTGGCAGGCAGCACCATGGTAATGGAAACCTGGGTTGGAGGGAGCCAAGGGCTGGTGTGGCTTCTGGGTTCCTGGGTGTCACCCATTGGGTCCCCAAATTGAAACCCGGCTGCTAGCAATTCAGCCAGTGCAGGTGCGGCTCAGCACAGACGGTTGAATCCATGACACAGGCTTCCCTGGCTGCAGCCTTGGGGATCCTGAGCTGACTCAGTTTCTTTGCTAAGTAAACAGTCCCTATCATCATGCACGCTCTCTCCCACTTTAGGAATCAACTAGAACTGTAGGCAAGAACAGGAGAAATGCCACAGTATGGGGGTGGCTGTTTACGTGTCAGAAGCTCCTTATGCATATTTGCTTGCTTTTGGCCGTGTCCCACATTTGGAAACGAGGGGAAATGAATATATGTAAATTACAGTGCAGTATTTCAGAGTGGGGTCCTAGAACTAGATGCCTGGGTTCAAGTCGCAGCTCCGCCATTCTTCAGCTACTGGCCTCAGGACCCATTGCCTCAATTGTACTCTTTTGTAAAATGGGCACAATTAGAGATCCATGTCATTAGGTAGTTACAACGATTATGTAAAGCCAAAGTGCTAAAGCACTTATTATAGTGCCCAGAACATGAGAAGTGTTTGGTAAGTATTACTATCAAATGATAACATACTTATTAAGTTATAGGCAGAATCTAAGCACAGCAGGACAGAAAGGCCCTCCTGAACATCCTGAGAAACTTCCCTATCACTCTCTTTTGTTTGCCTCTCCCTGGTCGTTGCTCTTATCTTCATACGGGAACTATGTTATTTCTTTGAATCTTTTTCTAATTGTCTGTCTCCCCCAACTCAAAGAGCAGGGACATTTTTTGTTCACTGCTATAGACCCTACTGTCCCCCTTCACAGTGCTGGCACATAGTAGGTGTTCAATAAATATCTGTTGGAGGAAAAATGAATGAAAAAAGGAGAGAACGGAGAAGTTGGGTGCTCTCTGAGCCCTCACTTTGGAAACTGGGGGTCCCTCTACCCCAGAGGGCAGCCCCTGCCCCAGCAGTTGAGTCCCTCCGCGCACCTACTTGCGGTGTAGGGTGGGAGGCGGGTTGTTGAAATCTGCTGGGATTTTCACCCACCTCCGGCCAGGTGGAAGGGAGACCCTTGTGCTCCCCCCTGCCCCCGCCAGGTTGTGCTATTTAATCCTGTTTTATGCGCAGGCATTTAAACCTGAAACTGAGTATGCAAATGTGTTCCCAGCAAGGCTGCAAGGCATTTTGCACGTGCTGGTACTGGCGTCATTTCTGAAAAGAGCAGTAGTCCTTGGGGCAGAGGCAGGGACAGGGGCAGGGGCAGGTGCGGGCTGCGGGAGGGACTCGGAGCCCACAGAGGTAATTCCACTCTGCGCCTCAATTATTCATCGCGCTGGGGCTGTCTCTGCGTGGTCACCTGCGCGCTGCAGAGTCCCCCAGCGCTCCGGGGACTGCTCGGGGGCTGCTGGGGGGCCTCTGGGAGGCCTGTCGCTCGAGGGGAGGCCGGATCAAGGAGAGTCACGCGGCTCCCTGGGGAGAACGGGCGCCGGGCCCTCACAGACCCCAGAGCGGCCATGAGCTGGTGTGCAGCCGCCCAGGAGGGGTGAGTTTCCAGCCCCGGGGGGTTTCTTTCACTGCCAGCCTCGGGACTTTTAGCATGGAATCTGGCTCAGGCTGTAGCCTACAGACTGGTGCCATAGGGGCTCCCCGGCCGTCAGTCACAGGGGATCAGCTGATCAGAAAAAAAGGAGTTTGCATCTTCCTTTATCTTAAGTGTGACCTAAACAAGGTCTGCAACGTCTGCTATATGAGCCTTGCTCTCCCAAGGTGAGGGAAGTCAGAATTTTCCGGGCAGCGTGAGAAGGGGTGCGAAGTTTATTTAAATGTTTTAGAAAGTCTATTGCCGGCCAGGAGCGGTGGCTCACGCCTGTAATCCCAGCACTTTAGGAGGTCGAGGCGGGCGGATCATGAGGTCAGTAGTTCAAGACCAGCCTGACCAAGATGGTGAAACCCCGTCTCTACTAAAAATACAAAAATTAGCCGGACATGGTGGTGGTGCGTGAGTGCCTGTAATCACAGCTACTTGGGAGGCTGAGGCAGGAGAATCCCTTGAACCTGGGAAGCAAAGGATGCAGTGAGCGGAGATCACACCACTGCACTCCAGCCTGGGCGACAGAGGGAGACTCTGGCTGCAAAAGTAAAAGAAAGTCTACAGCCAACTCCAGTGGTTCACACACACCCACACATACATGCACACACATGATTGGGGGGGGGTAACAAAAGAAATTTACATTCTAAGACAAAAGAAACTGTAATTAAGTCAGTGGGTAGCAAGGTACTCGTCACAAAGACACTATTAAAACCTAAGACAGTAAGACACAAGCCAAAGTATTCCCTTGCTACAGACCTGTGCCCCTGGCCAGTGCCCTTGATAGTCCATTCTACCGGGCATTTGGGACACCAGTTTTTTAGGTTTTATACAGAAATCTTTTGTATTTTGTGTAAAATTGTTATTGACAATATAACAATTCCACTATATTGATCATTGGCCCTTACAGAAGGTAGGTAGTAAGAAAAATGCTTTCGAAGTTGAAAATAAGGGCGAAATTTTATTTCTCTGAGTAAGCCAGCATGCTTCTTTTTATTAGACAATCGGCTTTATAAAACTCAACTTTCCCTTTTTGCTTTGGTTCCTGGGGAACTCAGAGTTAAGGTTTTTTGCTTGTAGTTGCAGCAGTCTCTTTTAGGATTAGGACTTAGATATGATTCTTTTCATCCTTTTGTTACTTGGCTCTTGTTCTTTCACCTATGCACCTTTTCAGTAGTTTTCTTGTACCTGTGAGTTTTATTAGAAGTCATTTCAAATCATCTTTAAAAATATGTCAAGGTAAATGCACAGAGCTTAATACATGATAAGCCCTCAACAAGTACCCGATTGATAAACTGACTGACGGAAAGGTAGGAGGTATCCTGCAGAAGATGAAGAACTCTTACTGTTGACTTCCATGTTCTCCCCACCAGCCCGTCCACATCAAGTCCTCTCTCTGGAATTGGCACCACCACTGGCTTAAACCAGAAACCTGGAAGTTATCCTTGGTTTCTCCTCTTTTCTCAACTCTAACATCCAACCCATTAGCAAAGCCTGTCAATTCTACCTGCAAAGTGTATGTGGAATCAGTCCACTCCTCTCCCCCTCCACAGCCACTGTCCTTGTTTAAGGAACTGATATCTCACTTGGACTGTGAAAATACCTTCTACTCTTGCCCACCTCCAATCAGCTTGCTACAGAGTCACCATAGTGGCCTTTTAAAACCCAAGTCACCTCATGTCCATCCACTGCTTACAACAATTCTGTGGCCTCCTCTTCCCTTAGAATAAACATCTAACTATTTATCACCACCTGTAAGGTCTGGCTGATGTTGGCCTCTCTGCCCTCTCCTCACACCCTGAATTCACCACTCTTAGGTACCTCACAAGATGTCTCCACCTGGAGCCCTGCCCCCCAGTCCCTCCCTCCCCTCTCTCAGCACTTGACCTACAGCCACTTTCTCAAAGAGACACTCCTCAAACCCCCCTGGTCCTGGCAGGAACGAGTGGGATTTCAGAGGGCCATGCTGCCCAGCGTTCAATATCAGTAGGAGAGGTTAAGGCCACCATTCAACTGCACCCCATTGATTTCTTTTCTGGAACAAATCAGCTGGTAATTAGATATGTTCCTATGTGATGTACAGTTGGCTCTCCATACCCGCAGGTTCCACATTCATGAATCAAAAATATTTGGAAAAATTAATAACACAACAATAAAAAACAATACAAATAAAAACACAGTATAACAACTATTTACATAGCTTTACATTGTGTTGGGTATTATACGTCATCTAGGGATGATTTGCAGTGTATGAGAGGACGTACATTGGCCACATGCAAACACTACGCCATTTAATATCAGGGACTTGAACAGCCAAGGATTTTGGAATCCTCAGGGGTCCTGGAGCCAATCCCCTGTGAATACTGAGGGATGACTGTATAAACACACACACACCACACACCACACACACTCACTTCACACACGGACCACACCACACAACACACACTCACTCCACACACATACATACCACATACCACACACACACCACACCATACACATACCACACACATACATCACATACTACACACATATACCACATACTACACACATACATACTCCACATGCTACACATACACTCACTCCACACACACACTCCACAGACACACTCCAATCATACACTCCCTCTGCACAGACGCTCATCTGCAGACATACTGCACACACACACTCACTCTGCACACACACTCACTCTGCAGACATACTCCGCACACACTCATCTGCAGACATACTGCACACACACACTCACTCCACATACACACTCTGCAGACATACTCACTCCGCACACATACTCACTCCACACACACTAACACCGTACACTCACTCTGCACACACACTCACTCCACACATATTCACTACACACATACTCACTACACACACACTCCGCACACACTCACTCCACACACACTCCACATACATTCACTCCACACACACACTCACTCCACACAAACTGCACACACTCACTCCACACACACTCCACACACACTCCACATACACTCACTCTGCATACACTCACTCCACACACTCTGCACACACACACATTCCCCACACATTCACTCCACACACACTCACTCTGCACACACACTCATTCCACACACACACTCCACAGTCACTCCACACACACTCCACACACACTCACTCCACACACACTCACTCCGCACATACACTCACTCCACACACACTCACTCCACACACACTCCACACGCACTCACTCTGCACACACACCACACACGTATTTTTTGCTTATTTCATTGCCATGTCTCCCAGTAGACCTTAAACACCTTGAGTGTGGGGATCTTATCTGATTTGTTCACAAACTTATATTCCCGTCTGACACAGAGCCTGGCACAGAGAAGTTTCTCCATAAACATTTTTAAAATGAATGAATATGTGACTGAAAGCTCATTCTCGGCATCTCTTAAATTGGCGGGGGTTACAACAGAGACTTCCCAGCCATCATTCTGGAGTGGGGTCAGCGGATGCTGTCCAGCTCTGAATCCACATTTAGGGCCCTGCCCAGAGGAAGCTGCGCTGGCCGGGCCTAGTTGAGAAGCAAGCTCTGTGTGTGGGTGTGCCGGGCAGGGGCGCGACTGGGACTCCTGCAGCCTTGACCTGGTGCTGGGGGTCAGGTGACTCGTACAGGTCTCCCTATGCCGTTATGTCTGCCCATTCCTGAGTTGGGGTGATCTCTGAAGAGTTAGGAAGACTTGGTACTGGCCAGATGTCATACCTGCAGCAATCGGCCACTCCAACTGTGGAAAAAAAATGGTTTTCAATGGAGGTGACTTGAGGGAGCACTGCAGCATCCTGATTCTCATACATGGGCTTCTCTTACCGACTGCTGCTGGACGCTGGGCAGAGACTCCTTCTGAAATGCTGTCTCTTCTTTTTTTTCTCTCTCTTTTTTTCCTTTGAGACGATGTCTCGCTCTGTCACCTAGCTGGAGTGCAGTGGTGCGATCTCGGCTCACTGCAACCTCCATCTTCCGGGTTCAAGCGATTCTCTTGCCTCAGCCTCCCTTGTAGCTGGGATTAAAGGTGTGTGCCACCACACCCAGCTAATTTTTGTATTTTTAGTAGAGACGGGGTTTCACTATGTTGGCCAGGATGGTCTCGATCTCTTGACCTTGTGATCCGCTGTCTCTTCTTGCCACGCAGTTCTGCAACCCGTCCTACACAGAGTGACAGCAGCAAAACTGTGGTGGTGGTGGTGATTGTTTTCCTTTTTCTTGCTAAGTTTTATGACTGAAACCCATTAACATTGATCTCAACCATTTGAGTTGTTTGGGGGTACACTAGGGGTTCCAGAAAATGAGTTACCATCAGATTTCATCTATTTCTGGTTGATCTATAAGTGTTGGACTTTCATAGACCTCCATCCAACTGACTGAAAATTTTCAAACAGGCAGCAAAGATAGAAGCATAGTACAATGAACACCTGTAGACTGTCTCCCTGGCTCTAACCATTGTTTATATTTTGTCATATACAGTTTTCTCTCTCTCTCTCTGTACACACACACACACACACACACACACATTTTGTTTTGATTTTTTCTTAACCATTTGAAAGTAAATTGTAGGCTGAGTGTGGTGGCTCATGCCAGTAATCCCAGCACCTTGGGAGGCTGAAGCAGGCAGATCACTAGGTCAGGAGTTCGAGACCAGCTTGACCAACATGGTGAAACCCCGTCTTTACTAAAAATACAAAAATTAGTCAGGCGTGGAGGCACGCACCTGTAACGCCAGCTACTTGGGAGGCTGAGGCAGGGGAATTGCTTGAACCCAGGAAGTGGAGGTGGCAGTGAGCCAAGATCACACCATTGCACTCCAGCCTGGGTGACAGAGCGAGACTCCGTCTCAAAAAAAAAAAGAAAAGAAAAGAAAAACAAAGAAAAAAGAAGGTAAATTGTAAATTGTAAATGATCATGATACTTGACTATAAATATTTCATTAGATGTCTACCAAGGACATTCTCCTATGTATCTGCGACACCATTATCATACCTCATAACATTAATTTTTAAAAAAATTAACTCTAGCGTCATCTACTATCCAGTTCATATTCACGTTTTCCCAATTGCATCCAAAACATCTTTTATAGCTTTTTTAAAAAAATAAAAAATAAAGCAGGATCTAATCAAAGATCAGTATGTTCATTGTTACGTCTTTTTATCAACTTCAATCTAGAACAGTCTCCCAGACTTTTTGTTATGACTGACTTTCTGAAGGGCCTAGCTGAGTTGTCTTATAGACAACCCCACAGCCTGGATTTTTTTTTCTCTCTCTCTCTCTGCAGATTTGTTTTTGTGTGTTTTTTGTTTTTTGTTTGTTTGTTTGAGATGGAGTTTTGCTCTTGTTGCCTAGGCTGGAGTGCAATGGCGCCATCTCCGGCTCACTGCAACCTCCACCTCCCGGGTTCAAGCGATCCTCCTGCCTTAGCCTCACGAGTAGCTGAAATTACAGGCATGCGCCACCACACCCAGCTAATTTTGTATTTTTAGTAGAGACGAGGTCTCTCCATGTTGGTCAGGGTGGTCTTGAACTCCCAGCCTCAGGTGATCCACCTGCCTCGGCCTCCCAAAGTGCTGGGATTACAGGTGTGAGCCACCAAGCCTGGCCCAGGTTTTTTTAGTTGAGCAATGTTACTACCTTGTTGAAGGTAAGAAAGTGTGTCTCTGCCAATAGGCAATTTCCTCAAGATATGTTGCCATGCAGGTTTATTGACATCTTATCTACTCCTAAAAAGAATTTGAGGCAGTTTATAATAAAAGAGAAAGTCTGTTGAAAAAAAGAGAAAATATTTTCTTAACATGTAGAAGGATGGTGGGTGGGAGGAAGGAGGGGAATAGAGGTGCTATAAACACATTAGTGTCGTTCGTATAACTAAACGCAAAATTTCACTCTCAGCTTTCTACTGTCAATGAAAAAATAGTTTAAAGATCACCTTTAGGAAACATGATCTTTACTTGCACTAGGATTATGAAAATAATTTGTCCCATGGAGCTTTAGACAAATGATACCAACAAAATAATCAGCCACCTCTTTCACAGCTCACAGGTAATGTCGGAACATTTTCATTGAGCTGCTTCTTTAATACACAAGGTCAAAGCCAAGAATGCAACATTGACACAGAATGGAGTAAAGTCATTTTTAAAATGAGTTCAGTCGAGGTAACTTGATTTCTGCATCTAACACGAGGGAGAACTGAGGATGGGTGGGCTGCCTGGCTCCCACTCTTGTCCTCAGTCCCCTACTGTCTCCCTCGGCCTTCCCTGGGCAGGTCCTCAGGTACAGGCAGATGTCAGCTGGACCCCAGATGAGGAAACAGAGCAGGTGCAAGGCTGGACCTCAAGGATGAAGCTAAGCCTGAGTCAGGGGCTGTCCCAGACAGACAGCTCCTCATCCAACAACCTCCCCACAGAGCTGGGCTGCAGCTGAACTTGCATTTTATGATAATTGCTTTTTCAGTCTGCTTAAGTGCTGAACAGCACAGCAGGGCTGCGTTCTCCTCCCCTGGAGAACGTTTACAGATGGTGTTGCAGTGAGGATGGATTCCTGTACTTTCCGAGGGTGGGGGAGCACCGTGTTGTCCTTTCATGCCACTTTGCCTCCTGTCAGTCCCATGGGGTGGGTTTGCTCTAAGGTGTACCTGTGGCTAACCCGAAGGGTTTCATATGGCCATTTGAACTGCAGAAAGTGCTGCCAAAACATACAAAATTCATGTGCTTTGAGATAATAATTTTTCAGTTGCTTATACATGACGTTACAGAAATTGTTGGCCACAGAGAAAAAATTCCCCATGATCTCACCACTCCTGAAACCAACTAAGTCACCTGCTCAGAGCCACTCTCTGTGGACTCCCTTCTGCATTAAAGGAAATGCACCTGTTCATCTCCTTTCTAGAATAAAACATGACTATACATGTCATTTAGATGTGTATGTGTATGCATACCTATATATTTGTATTCTTTTGTGGTCTTTAAATGTATTTTTATAGTTATAATTCACATACCATTTTGTACAGTACTTTTTCTCACTTAATTTTATAGCTCATGCTTTTTTCCATTACCATGTGGTCTTTATAAATCATTTTTATTTGTATTTTATTTTTTACTTTTATTTATTTATGTATTTATTTTTGAGAGAGTCTCACTCTGTCACCTAGGCTGGAGTGCAGTGGTGCAATTTCAGCCCACCACAACCTCCACCTCCCAGGTTCAAGTGATTCTCGTGCCTCAGCCTCCCAAGTAGATGGGACTATAGGCACCTGCCACCACCCCCAGCTAATTTTTGTATTTTTAGTAGAGACAGCGTTTCGCCATGTTGTCCAGACTGGTCTCAAACTCCTGACCTCAGGTGATCCGCCCCCTCAGCCTCCCAAAGGGCTGGGATTACAGGCATGAGCCACCACACCCAGCCCACAAAGCATTTTTAAAAATGGATAAATGATTTTCTATTGAATCAATGCACTGTAATTTAACTCATCCCATTTTCAGGCAAAGTCTGTTGTTTCCACCTCTCCTTTTCATCCATTATCATTCACACTTCCCTAGCCATAATTACACAATAAGATCAATGGCTTGCCACA
The DNA here is from genome assembly GCF_000001405.40 of Homo sapiens. NCBI lineage: Eukaryota > Metazoa > Chordata > Mammalia > Primates > Hominidae > Homo > Homo sapiens. The sequence continues at coordinate 36,534,939 of NC_000021.9, read as the reverse complement.
ACCCTTCCTGGCTTGTGATGGTTAGATTACGCTGGCCTCAGGGAGGGAGATGGTTGCATTTCCTCTTGGTATGGCTGGGAAAGATGCAACCCACTCAATATTTAAATATAAGGGGCGGGGACACAGCCTCTTTACACAGCCTGAGACTGACACCTTGCCCAGGGGAATGAGCAAGAGCAGGATTGAACCCAGAGCTGGGTGGCATCGTGAAAATGGGACACTCAGGGTATCAGTGACAAATAATTTAGAGGCTGCTTGCCCCTGGAGTAGAATGTCTGGCACATAAGGCCAGGTGTGCGCCTCGCTGAGGAGTCTGTGCGTCATCTTGATGGGATGGTGCCATGGTGATTGTCAGCCAGCCTCTCCTTATTGCCCGCTCACCCCACACACAAGGCATGTTGATATGGAAGAGAGACTTGAAGGATTGCCAGGCATCGGCCACACAGAAGATGTGACGGGGAGTTGTCCTAAACCCATATGTTTTTATCATCCTGTACTTGTCAAAGAGCTTTGAAGTTCACGACCTTGCTCTGGTTCCCACGGGGGGATCGTCCTGGGCTTCCATCATCCCTTTTTCCTGTCAACCGTGTGTTGCATGCAGATGCCACCCCCATGCCTTGCCGGAGACTCCCCTAAAAAGCTGGGATTATGTCTTTGAAATTATTAATTTTCATGAATAGCATGAAAAAATTTTTTTGTAATCCCAGCTACTCGGGAGGCTGAGGCAGGAGAATCGCTTGAACCCGGGAGGCGGAGTTTGCAGTGAGCTGAGATCGCGCCATTGCCCTCCAGCCTGGGCAACAAGAGTGAAACTCTGTCTCAAAAAGAAAAAAAAAAATTTAAAGCCACTTCACTCCAGTGAACTAAGCTATTGCAATTTTTCTGTGTTCAGTTCTAGTCCTCAGCTGCACAGGCACGTCAGATCTTACCAATTTATTTAAGTTTTATTTTAAGTTCAGGGGTACATGTGCAGGTCGGTTATATAGGTAAACTTGTGCCGTGGAGGTTTATTGTATAGATTATTTCATCACCCAGGTATTAAGCCTAGTACACATTAGTTATTTTTCCTGATCCTCTCCCTCCTCCCACCCTTCACCCCCAGGTAGGCCCCAGTGTGTGTGGTTCCCCTCTATGTGTCCATGTGTTCTCATCATTTAGCTCCCACTTATAAGTGAGAACATGCAGTTTCTGGTTTTCTGTTCCTGCATTAGTTTGCTAAAGATAATGGCCTCCAGCTCCACCCACGTTCCTACAAAGGACATGATCTGGCTCTTTTTTATGGCTGCATAGTGTTCCAGGAGGTCTTACCAATTTATTACCATGGTGACGTTGCCACCCTGCATTCTGTTTGCTCATTTTCTCTAATGTGGTCTCATCATCAATATTTTCCCACGTGGTACAATGTCTACGTAATCACCATTTTAACAGCTCTGTGCCCATCCAGAGAATGGGCGCGCCCCACTTTAAACTCTCGATGCTGGACACAGAAACTGAGTTCACAATTGTAAGCCGGAAGCATCTTCAGGCACATGGAGTATTTGGCCTACAGAGGACATTAACAGATGGAGTTTAGTGGTTAACAGTTGGTCACACCCAATGTCACCAACCTGGCACCTAAGGGTGCACTGTGGGGAGCACCCTCCTGGCCATGTGTCCAGAGCATCCCCTGCCCGTGCAGACCATCCAGCCACTCTCTGCCTGGCTGGACCCTGGCATTCCCAGGTCCTCTTCCCACACTTGCGGAGGGAAGGCACAGCCAGATGTGCAGCCCCACCCGAGCTAAGCCCTGCTCCATTACCGACCGGCCCCACCGAATGTGTTTTCTGTGTAGTTCGTGGCTACGCTCTGGAATTTCAGACCACGCTGAATTTACTTGTTTTATGGCTAGGAATTTCAGGAGGAGCACCACAGATGTTAAACGCAGGAGTCTCTTGGTGCTAGTAAAATAAACCTTACTCAAACAGGGGTGTCGTGACTCAAAGGGTTAGATAGCCCATGATACAGGATGTCGGTCACCAATGCAGATGTTGTAAGTTGAGTCATTTGACAGCATGGTAACTTTATATGGCCAGAGAGCCAGCTGTGACTATTTAAAGGGATGGGGGGTCAGGGGGAATGCATTTTTATTTCTAGACAAATATATTTCTGATCGTAACTTAAATACTTTCTTTTAGTCAAAATACTGATTTTTCTTTCTCCCCGCATTCTCGAAAGAGAAGCCCTTCCTATCCTTTTGGCGTTCAACCCCACCAAACTGGCTTCACATTAGAGACCCTGCAAGGCTTAAATTAGAACCTCACTTTTGAAACCTGTTGGAAGGACTTTTTTTTTAATTTTATTATTATTATACTTTAAGTTTTAGGGTACATGTGCACAACATGCAGGTTTGTTACGTATCTATACATGTGCCATGTTGGTGTGCTGCACCCGTTAACTCGTCATTTAGCATTAGGTATATCTCCTAATGCTATCCCTCCCCACTCCCCCCACCCCACAACAGGCCCCGGTGTGTGATGTTCCCTGGAAGGACATTTTTTTTTTTAAACATTTATTTATTTATTTTTATTGACATGTAACAATTGTATATATTTTAAGGCTAGCATTCCAACCGCATGGGTGAAAGTCTTTCTCCATTGTTGTCAAGTTACAGTATTTCCGGAGGGCTTGGGAAATCCCTGGTGCTGCGATGAGGACGCTGAGGAGCCTGGTGACGGGCTCATGCCAAGGTCATGTGGTGGCTTCCGGGTGGAATTTAAGTCTCTTGACTCCCAGCCTAGTGCTCCTGCTAGCATGCCACACTCGGGTGTTGTTTGTCAGTGCGTATCCTCTTCGGAGGAAATACGTTTTGAGGTTGGTAAAATGAATTTTGTTGAAAAATAGCATCTTAACGTAGTTTTTCATAGTTATCTGGAGAACTTCAAGGCCACTGTGACTTTTCCATGAATTATTTCACGTACATCTTCCTGCACCTATCAACAAAAAGACCGTGAGAAACCCACGGTTCCCCATTTGTAAAATAAGGGAATTAAACTAGGCGAATCTAGACTTTCTGGGTCAGTATTTTGGCTTCTCCAGAATCCGCTTGACTTTGAAGTATCAAACCTAGATGTATTGGACATAACATAATAGCCTTAAGTGCCCTACGTTATAGTGAAAAGTAAATAGGTGATTTATTAGATTTTAAAACGTATTTTAATTACATAGATAATGAAGAATATATTTTCCTTAGTTAAAAAAAAAAAAAAAACAGACAAAGACTGAAGTCCACTCTGACACTCCTGCCCCATTCCACCAGGAGGGACATTCCCTCCTGTCCCACCCCAGAGGCTGTTATTGATTGAGGATATATAGAGGCCTTTTAAACATACATTTATAGGCCAGGCGCAGTGGCTCATGCCTGTAATCTTAGTACTCTGGGAGGCTGAGGCGTGTGGATCACCTGAGGTCAGGAGTTCGAGACCAGCCTGGCCAACAGGGTGAAACCCTGTCTGTACTAAAAATACAAAAATTTGAGCGTGGTGGTGCGTGCCTGTAATCCCAGCTACCTGGGAGGCTGGAACCCAGGAGGTGGAGGCTTCAGGAAGCCAAGATGGTGCCACTGCACTGCAGCTTGGGTGACAGAGTGAGACTGTCTCAAAAAAAAAAAAACATTTATAGCAAATATATATATATTTATTTCCCTAAAATTTCTATAACATTATTAATTTTTTTTCAAGACAGGGTCTCACTCTTCACCCAGGCTGGAGTGCAGTGGCATGATCTCGGCTCACCGCAACCTCCACCTCCGGGGTTCAAAGTATTCTCCTGCCTCGGCCTCCTGAGTAGCTGGGATTACAGGTGCCACCACCCATGGCTGATTTTTGTATTTTTTAGTAGAGACAGGGTTTCACCATGTTGGCCAGGCTGATCTCGAACTCCTGACCTCAAGTGATCTGCCCATCTGGGCTTCCCGAAGTGCTGGGATTACAGGCGTGAGCCACTTCACCTCGGTTAACATTATTTTAAATGTTGCTTTATTGAACATAATTTGTTTCCCAAACTTATGTTTTAATACAATCTGTTTTGCATCTTGTTGTTTCACTCAACAGGCTGTCTTAGAGCCTTCTTTCTTTTTGGGGGGCTGTTTGAAGGTTTGCTCCTCATTTCCCATCTCCCTCCCAAACTCCCCCGGGTACATCTGAAACACAACCTCCTCCCACTTTTTGAAATATCTCCCTTTTGCTACCTGTTTATTCTCCAAAGCCCTCTCTGCCCCTCTCCTTTGGTGGGAATCGGTCACTCCCTCCATGATCCCCTCAACCTATGCTTGTATCTGTTGTGGCTTGGGTTTCACTTACTGTCTTTGTTATCACATGGCCTCTGCCCTTTGTTAGATTTATTAGTTTCCACATCTGTCTCATCTACCAGACTATCTCTAGAAAGACAGAGACCTCCTTTATGCCTATTGGTCTGCCCTGCACATAGCAGGTGTTCAGTAAAAGCTGGTTGACCTGCCTGAGGTGGGGCATGTGAGCTGGTTTAAGGCAAGTGCTGCATGAAGGTGAGGCTAGAGAGAAGGCAGAGTCACTGCAGACCTGCATGTGGCCCGGATCTCTGTGCAGGGGGAGCTGCTCCCTCAGAGCCCACCCACCCCCCGCCACTGTCCCCATCCCCGACACACTCTTTTCATTAGGGAGAATCCAGGCTGTGTCTTCATTTGTACAGCACGGTCTGTGGCTGAAATGAAATCTGAAAAACAGCTTCCCACAATGCTTCTACCCTTGTTAAAAATAAACCAACTCTATCTACAAGGGTTTGTTTTTTTAAAAAATAAAGAAAATATCCACATCCCTTCCCGGCCCGCCTCGGAACTGAAATCCGATGCAAAGACTTAATCTTTAACTGAAAGGAAGGGTGAAGCATAAGCAAATCATGGAAACGCTCCTTTCTAATCGTCCTAACAAAGTCCATCCCCCAGCAGGTGCCCGCTCAGGTGTCTGTTATTCGGGGTCGATGAGCAGGATTGGAGGCTGGGGGCAGGAGTGCTAGCTCCGATATTAGCATAATATAAAAACTACACAGCACTACGTTGTTCTGCATAAAACAGTTGCTTTCATGACATTTATTTTATATGTCAGGTAACAATTAATTTTTAGACTAACAAATAAATATAAATAGGGAATAAGGAAAAGATTATGAGACAACGTCCATAGCTCATACTTCATGTGTCAGATAATGGTAAGTGTTTAGACTTACAAATCTAAATAAGGATTAAGGGAAATTATTACAGAAAAATTTCCATAGTGGTTCACTCCTTGGATCCTGAAGCAAGTTACTAAGGAAGAGACTGATTCAAAGGACACATATTAATCTATGGGTTTTTTGGCCAGGTGTGGGTGGCTCACACCTGTAATCCCAGCACTTTGGGAGGCCTCTGGCAGATCACTTGAGGTCAGGAGTTTGAGGCCAGCCTGGTGAAACCCTGTCTTTACTAAAATACAAAAATTAGCTGTGCGTAGTGGTGGGTGCCTGTAATCCCAGCTACTCGAGAGGCTGAGGCAGGAGAATCGCTTGAACTCGGGAGGTGGAGGTTGCAGTGAGTCAAGATGGTGCCACTGCACTCTAGCCTGGGCGACAGACAGAGCAAGACACCCTCTCAAAAAAAAAAGATGTGGTTTTTTTTACCTGCACAGGAGGTGGGTATGAAAGGACTAAACAAAATAAGCTACGTACTCTGTGTGCTAAAAACTACCATTAGATATAAGTTGAGATCGGGGAAAGCATTTTTAGATTAAGAAAACCCTTTGTACCAAAAGATACATCCTTTCAAACATAATTAACATGTCTTGCCTGTAGTTTTCTGCTCAAATTATTTGTAATTCTAGTGAGGAAGAAGTGTTTCTTTCTAGCCAAAACAGCCATCTGGATGAATACCAATGAGTGCATAAAAGCTTGAGTTACTAAGGGGGTAGTCTCCTGGGCAGGTGACCCCCTTGCTTGGAGTTCTGCTGCTGAATGCTGTCAGCCGCAGCCGAGCTCGCGTCCTCCTCAGGCTTGGTGGAGGGCCAGGCAGGGTTGCGGCTCACACTACAGCAGATGCTGCCTGTGGTGGAGAAGGGGGAGAGGAGGAGGGAGGAAGCTGTTTCCAGAACCTTCCACCACTTGTAGAATTTTCTGCAGCTTCAAGAACCTTCTGGTGCCTCCAACAAGCAGATTCTTTCACTGAGGAAAAGCAACTTGCGAGCAGCCAGCCTGCGGCCCAGGGTGCATCACTGTCTGCAGGAGAGGGACAGATGCCCCTTGCATGGACCGAAGACTCAGGGACCCACATACCCCAATATCTGTGGACGGGGGAAGAGACCCTAACCCAGTTCCTTATTGCTGCCTTCCTGTGAGGACACAGTGGGCAGAGACCTGAAGCCTGGTAGGAAGAGCAGAAACTGGGAAATAACAGGGCTGACTTCTCTCTGAGAAGGGAAAAAATGGAACATTCCAGAAAGAAGAGTTTCCTAACACTTGGCTTCCCCAGTGAACAGAGGTGAACAGCTTGGAATCAGGACTGTGGGTTCGAATCCTGCTCTGGCTGTAGGACGTGGACTGTCTCACTTTCCACATCTGGAAGATGATGATAATATTCCTGGCCTCTCAGAACTGCGGTGACAATAAATGGCTTAAAGCATGGAATACCCTAACCACACTGCCTGGCACATGTTAAGGGCTGAAAAACTGTTAGTGATAATTATTCATACCTTATTAATAATATTTTCATTTTTACTTACTTATCTTTAACAGTAATTCAAGAGTGACCAGCTAAAAGAATTTGCTGGAATCAAACAGAGAAGTTGAAAAACAAGGATGATCTGAGAGTAACCGACAGCTTTGTACCAAATATTGAAGAGAAATTACTAAGATTTTTAAAAGTAAAATTTGACAATGACTTTGAGAATTAATCATTTGAGTCTGTTCAGGAGATAAAGTTGGGCTTTTTGAAAACTAATACTTTTGTCCTCGCCTCAGCATCAAAATGGGTGCTTTTGGGAAGAGACATCTAGGGACTTGACCAAAACCAGGATTCTTCCTAAAAACCAGAGCTTAAATGTTTTAAACAACCAAAATAAGTTTCTTCCCCCTGAGATACAGAAGAACAAGCAACAAGAAAAAAAAAAGAAAGAAATTAGGACATTAGATTTCAATGTCCCAGTGAATGCCTTACCAATAACGATTCCCTTTTCCTGCCAAACACTGGTGACCTGTTGTTTCTCCTATTTTCTCCCTGGACAGTTGAGAAATTATTGCATGATTTATCTTTAGTGCAGGTACAACAAGGATATGGCCACATATTACCCCAAATGAGGGATTCGTATCACATTATTTTCCATTGGTGAGTAATCGACGGGAAATGGGAAATGTCACTTCAAGGCGGGCTGGCCATCTGGTGGAAGCATCTCCATGAACACAGCAGCTGATCTACATGGAAATATTAAAGCAACAAAGTCTGAAGCTGTTTTGCTTCTCCAGGGAACTTCAGTTCATGCATGGAAGGAAGGCAATAAAGTCCAATTATTCTGGACGCAGCTACACAAGGCATATGAAAATTATCTCATGGAGGGTAGCGCTAAGCTAAGTATTTTTTAAAATAGCCATCAGTCACTCCCGGCAACAAAATCAAATAAACCAATCAATCTCTAAGGAACTCCTCATTAATCAAAAGACGGTGGTGAGAAGTTGGCAATTTTTCATTATTCTACGTGTAATATTTTAAATCTGACATGCTGACAGGGTGGTCTGAACATGTGAAATTATCACGTCCGAGAGGAGGAACAGTTGAGCTTCACAGTGTTGGACCCCTCACGTGTTACCTATTTATTGTGAATCTTCAAGTTTGCCCTTTTAAGGTGTTTGCTTTCTTCTTATTTGGGGGGCATGATCTCTGTAGTTGAAAATGACAATAATAAAAGGCTCTTACTACTGAGTGTGGCCAAAACTTTGGGGAACCCAGTGCTTTGATGGTCCTCAGAGCTGAGATTTTGCCATTCAACATCCCCGTCTCGGGAGGTGGGCCTATCAGGCCCACCATACAGAAGTACATTTGTGCTAATGAGATTTCTCACAACCATACCTAGCAGCTGCCTTCAGTAATGAGATGGATTGAGCTATTTAGCAGGTATGGAAAAGCCTGGAGGGAAGATTAATGATAATTAAATAGGGGTGAGATTTGTCTCAGGTATTGCTGGGCCTACCTCAGGAGTGTGAAGTGCCCGTGGTTGCCTGGTGGGATTTAAAGTTTATTTGAATGAACACTCCATTTTTAAAAATTGCTGAAGTCCTTCATCTGTTTTTGTTTTCTCTACTCCATTGAAAACACAAACATCCCAGCAGGTTCTACTGGACTTTCCGATCTCTTGAGTCAATAAGATTCATGGTCTTTTCCAGGACCCCACTTTGCCAGGAGGAAGCAGCTGGTTGAATAGCATTTAAAAAGAGATTTGAAGATTGAGGAGCAGATGTTCTGAGTTCTGGTCTGGTCCTGGGAGCCATGCAGCCTTGGTCAAGTCAGTTCCATCTTCCTGAGGCTACACTTCAGCATCTGTAGGATGGGAGTGTTGAGCGCTAGATCTATGACTGGTGGGCCAAACCTGCCCTGCTGCCTGTTTTTGCAAATAAAGTTTTATTGGAACACAGCCATGCCCATTTCACTTATGTATTGTCTATGGCTGCTTTGGGACTACAATAGCAGAGTCGAGCAGGTGCAACAGAGACACTGTGGCCGGCAACACTGAAAATATTTACCGTCTGACCCTTTCCAGGAAAAGTTTTGCACCCTCTGGACTAAATGATCTTCAGCTAGACTCCTTGTGGATTCCAATCTGTGGTTCTCAGATAAGGAAAGAGCATGGGGCTCTGTAGGAACCTGGGTGAAGGGATATCTCTGAGCTGGAGAAAGTCAGAGCGCAGAGGCTGGACCCGCCAACAGAAACACTCTCATACCTTCATCGTGCCGCTTCCCTCTGGTCCAGGGGCCAGGCTTTTTGTGGGCAGGGACCATACGTTCCAAGCAATCCTCCCGCTCAGCCTCTCAAGTCTTTAAAACCCAGCCCCAGTTTTAAAGACTCCATGTAACCGGTTGGCAGCAGATAGTTGATGGTACCAAGGCTCCTTGGTACCGTTCCTGATGAGAGGGCAGCTGTATCGCTGGAGGAGTCAGAGTGTGGTTGGTGGTGCCTCGTGGTCAATGGCAGAGCCTCGGCTTCACCATGAGGGCATCTGCCCAGCACACCACACATGTGGCTGCCACACCCATCACCCGCCCTTTCCATCCTGCTGCTCACCAGCTTGGAAGTCACCATTCACACCTCTGCCAGGTTTCCAAAAGTTCCTTTGTCTGGCCTCCCTTTGACCTCATGCCGGCTCTTCTGTCATCTTTGGTGTCCCCTGTTGTGGCTGAGGGGCTCCTTGCCATCCTCCAACCCCCATCATCATCCCCTCTCTGACCACTGCCCTATTACCCTGGCCTCAGAACCTTTTCTTTCTCCTCGCTGCCAGCTTCAAGTCTTTATTTCTTTTTTTTTTCATTTAGCTTTGACTTGAAACTCACCTTCCATCCTCTTCATCCTTCAAGACTCAGCATGGCGTTCACCTTCTCCTTGAAGCTCACTGATCCCTCCTGCCCCAGAGTCCCCTAGTGCATGTCATCAGCCTGACACCCCCTCATTCTGTGCACTTGCGTTGGGCTGCACACGAGACCACGCATTCTTGATGTCAGGGTGTCCGTCTTATCCTTCTCTCGAGGTCACAGGGCTGGGCTGGGTAGGACATCAGTGTCTGGCTGCTTGTTGAGTGGTTTGGCCATGCTTGCTGAGGTGGGCCTTGGTGTTCACCCTCCGTGAGGGAGCCCTGACTGGCACATTCCACAGAGCACCTGGGGTGGGTGTCGGAGCAGCGCCCATGAGAAGCAGGTGATGGAGAAGGCTCTTGAGGGCCCAGAACTCCAAGGGCAGTCAAGGTGGCCCAGCAGCCAAGGGTGGGTGGAAGGGGAAAGTACCTGGCACCCATGCCTTGCATCCACAACATGGGCTAGAAGGAGCTGAGAAAAGATGGCACCCTGGGCTCTGATGTCACCTGGGTGCAGGGCCCGTCCCTCCGTGAGTCACAGCCCGGCAGAGCATACCAGGCAGGACACCTCCACATGGGTCCAGTTTCCCATTCTCACAAGTGCCCACCAGCCCTGCTGGGAAGTGGCCAGTGGCTGTCTCTGAATGTGACATTGGAATATCAGGTGGCAGCACTTGCTCTACTGGGCCCAGGTCCAGGAGGCTGTAGGTATACGATCCTGCCTGTCATGTGGCAGCCACACTCCCCATCCCCCTCATTTCTAGGCCCACAGCACGGTCACGTGGAGCTCAGGGTCGGTATCTGCCTCACTTGATATCATGACTTTGGGTTTTAGAATTTTCTGTCAGTGGCATACGGTCGGTATCTGTCTCATTTCTTGCCATAACTGAGTTCCCCATTCCCTTGTGCAGGTTAAAGTCTGAGGCAGGCCAGGCGCCGTGGCTCATGCCTGTTATCCCTGCACTTTGGGAGTCCAAGACAGGAGGATCTCTTGAGCCCTGGAGTTTGTGACCAGCCTGGGTAACATAGGGAGACCCTGTCTCTTTAAAAAATTAAAATAAATGAGCCAGGCATGGCGGCACACACGTGTGACCCCAGCTACTTGGGAGGCTGAGCAGGAGGCTCGCTGGAGCCCGGGAGGTCAAGGCTCTGCAGTGAGTTGTGATCATGCCACTGCACTCCAGCCTGGGCGACAGAGCAAGTGAGACCCCGTCTCATTAAAAAAAAAAAAAAATCTTAGCCAGATGCATTTTCCCTGCAGCTCACACTGCTGATGGGTATAGATCTAAAAAACAAGTTTCCTTGTGCTTGGAGAGAGCAGTCAGGTCCTGCTGTTGAGGTCACCTGTGTCCCCATTCAGTGTTTGGAACTGGCATTCAGGGTGGTAAGAGTGCTGCTTTGTGTCCCTCAGGTCACACTCCAGGAGCCGGCAGGGCTGGAGCATCTCGGAGTGGGCAGTAAGGGCAGTCCCTTCCCACCTGTTATTAGGGATGGTGCCGAATCCACTTTCTTTCTTTCTTTCTTTCTTTCTTTCTTTCTTTCTTTCTTTCTTTCTTTCTTTCTTTCTCTCTTTCTCTCTTTCTTTCTTTTTTTTTTTTTTTTAGATGGAGTCTCACTCTGTCACCCAGGCTGGAGTGCAGTGGAAAAGTCTCGGCTCACTGCAACCTCCACCTCCCGGGTCCAAGCGATTCTCCTGCCTTAGCCTCCCGAGTAGCTGGGGTTACAAGTGCACACCACCACGCATGGCTAATTTTTTGTATTTTTAGTAGGAATGGGGTTTTGCCATGTCGACCAGGTTGGTCTCAAACTCCTGGCTTCAAGTGGTCCACCCACCTCCGCCTCCCAAAGTGCTGTGATTACAGGCATGAGCCACTGCACCTGGCCTAATCCACTTTCTACCTAAACTGGGAAACTTCCTAGATTGCTTTTATTGAAAAGAAAGTTTAAGTCCAGAGTGCAGTCTCTTGTTTGCAAAAGTTTGGGGGAACACAGATCATCTAATCATGTAGCTGAAGAGTGTTTCTTTCATCACACATATACACCCTATTGATGTGTATTCAGATGGAAGTTTCAAGAGGAGATGGATCAGTCCTTTCTAAAACCTGGGACAGCCAGAGCACAGGTGCATGAAACCAGCCTGTTATTTGAAGCCATCTGTGTGCTCTGCACAAAGGCAATCGGGAGAAATGTAGCCCTCAAGTCTGGGACTCCTGGGCGCAGACAATCAAGCTTGCTCCCTGACACTGGGGGGATCAGGAAGGGTCCAGCCAGGACAGTGAGTGTCCCTGGGGAGGTGGGGAGGGGTGGTCACTGCCAAGTGCCTGGTTGGTCTTGGGTTCAGCCTCCGCAGTGACATGAAGTTCTGCCTGCCTCCGTGTGGGCCACCTCTTCTCCCCTTTCCCCTGAACAAATTCCTCTGCTCCCAGAAAAGACCATGGCTACAGTGAACACTGGATCTTGGCTGGCCAATGGCAGGGCATTGAAGACAAGGGTCCTCCCTACTCATGACTTAGTCACCGAGACCCAGCGGATAATTAAAATGGAATGGGAAGAAGTCATCTTGGGATAAAATCTACACTCCTCTCAAACTTACCTTCAGCACAAAAAAGCCAAAGTTTGGAAAAGAGAGGAATGGCAATGCTTGCCCTTGAATTCGAAATTGTTTTTGTAATTTATGTGTTGGGCTCCGGGGACAGCCGCATCTTCTTGCGCTGTTCTCCGGTTACCTCCCCCGCGCATCTGCATCCTGTTCTCTGGAAGGCGCCATATATCACAGGGTCCTCCAAACGCAGTGGGTTGTGTGGGGTTCATGAAAACGAGGGCGGCTGAACAGGCCCCAAATGGGGATGGAGGGGAGGGAATTCCTGGCTGCTGGGCACGCAGGCTTTGCCCAGCTTTGGGCAGGATTGTGTGCAAACCCCCAGCGCATCCTGGGGAATGCTCAGTGTCTCCCAAAGTTAATAAGCAAGGACAAGGAAGAACATTTGCGCCAAGTCAGGACACACAATTTGGACTTGAGTCACTCCCCTGTGGTTCTTATTTGCTTTATTTCAAAACAGGCTCTGAGCCCACAGGGGTAATAATATGCATTTTCACATGAAGTGGGGCCTGGATTTGGGGAAAGTAAGGCTGGAGTGCTGCGTGTGGGGTGTGGCTGCCTTGATTATATTGGACGTGAAAAGAAGATGGGTTTTATAATAAGCACAGGGGCCAGGGAGTGGGCTATGATCTCAGTTTGGGAATCAGTTTGATTCATAAAGAGGAGTCCAAGATTTTTGCTTGGAGTTGCAGACCTTTATTTTTAAAGTTAAGGCATAAAAAACTTCAGGTAATAACTTGATAGGGAATTTTTTAGCTGACATGTTGCTGCTGATAGAAAATTCTAAAACCTAAGGTCATGATATCAGCCTCTGGCCTTCTTGTATAAAACACTAGATATTTTCCAATGTGATTTTCATTTGGGGAATCGTGACGATGCTGCCATTTTCCTTGAGAGTGAAGGGACAGGGAACAGGAAGGATAGATGCATTCCTGAGTCCTCTTTCTATTGCTGACCTCCGTCCCCATCAGCTGACACAAGGACCCCAGGCCAATGTTATCTCTGCATCAGGTGGTACCATTTGCCTTCTCCAGTCTATGTCCCGGCCCCTACTCCCAGCAGTGACCACCAGCTTGGGGCCTCACTCTGTCATTCCCAAGACAGACATCTGCCCACACAGATGGACCTCCAATGTGTGGAATATTATTTCCTTGGCAAAACAATCCCAAGCCCTCTACAGGACTCAATTTCAGGATTTTCCTGGAATGTTGTGAAAATCTGTGTTTTTGCCATGGGAACATTCAGAAGTAGAGGTTTGGATGGCTCCAGTTACAAGATGGTATGTCTGAAGCTATATTTCTTAACTCAATGGCTATTCAGCAAGCCACCAACTCTCCTCTCCTGTGTACCAGTGAGCCCAGGAGAGGAGGGAAGCTGCCTTTATAAAATGTCCCCATTCATGCCCTAGCTTTACTCTCTGTCCATTGCCACTCCTCTCCAAGTTACCAGAAGGGGTCACGTGCTTTCCTCATGCTTCCCTTGGGGCAGTCCACTGGCCACTTTGACGGGACCCTCGGACCCTGCCAGGAGCTGGTTGGAAAGCCTGGTGATTTAGGAAGAGGCTGATCTTTACGGAATGACCTCTACTTTCAGATATATTGTGGTCAGAGCCAAATTTTTAAATCTTTGATACTCAATGCCTATCCAAAAAATAAGTGATTTTTTTTTCTTTCTTTCTGAAACGACAGCTTTTCAAGAACGTCTGGCTTTTCCCCAAGCCACTGCCATTTTGGGCTGTCTGCTCTGCACAGCTTGCAAATTGAAGCAAGCAGTTGCTTGGGCTGCAGCACGTTACCTTGGACTAGGTCCCCACGGGGGTCATTCTGCAGATCAGTGAGCCCAGTCCATGGGGAGCGTTGAAGGGGGTTAGTGTTTTCATTATCTGCCCAGGTGCCATAGTCAAGCAGGACTGGCCTTCGAGAGAGATGATCTTTTGCTTGGGGCCATTGTGGCTCCTGGTGGATTGCTTAGAAGTATGGAGTCTCCATCTGTTGTGACTTGAATTGTGTCCCCTCAGAGGATCTATTCAAGTCATAACTCCCTTGTGTGTGAATGTGAGCTTCTGTATTAGTCCATTTTCACGCTGCTGATAAACACATACCCAAGACTGGGTAATTTATAAAGAAAAAGAGGTTTAATGGACTCACAGTTCCACATGGCTGGGAGGCCTCACAATCATGGCAGAAGGTGAAAGGCACATCTTCCATGGTGGCAGGCAAGAGACAGAATGAGAACCAAGTGAAAGGGGTTCCCCCTTATAAAACCATCAGATCTTTTGAGACTTATTTACTACCACGAGAACAGTATGAGGGAAACCACCCCCATGATTCAATTATCTCCCACTGAGTCCCTCCCACAACACATGGGAATTATGGGAGCTACAATTCAAGATGAGATTTGGGTGGGGACACAGCCAAACCATATCAGCTTCCCTGAGAAAAAGGTCTTTGCAGATGTAATCAAGTTAAGATGAGGTCACACTGGAGGAGTGTAGACCCCAATCCACTGGTCAGTGTCCTTATGAGAAGAGGGAAATTTGGACACACAGACCCACAGAGGGAAGACGGCCATGTGAAGGCAGAGGCAGAGATTAGAAAGATGCAGCGACAGGCTGAGGAGGACCAGAAAAGTTTAGAAGCCAGGGAGGGGCAAGGAAGGATCCTCCCTGGAGGAGGCCTCAGAGGGAGCACAGCCCTGCCAACATCTTGATTTGGGACTTCCAGACTCCAGAGCTGTGAGAGAATACATTACTATTGCTACAAACCACATAGCTCGTGGTCATTTGTTGCAGGGCCCTAGAAAACAAAAACACTGTCTCTGATGGCTGTGGCTCTGGCATCTGTACTCCATACCCTGGCACCGTGACTCTGCACTGGGTGAGCAATGATCTGAATGCTGGGCTGAGTGTTTGGAAGGAACAGAGAAGACGCTCTCATCAGTGGCATGTCCCCTGCTCTGGTAGCAAGAAAGACTTGACTGGACAATAGGTTGTGGGTTTTTTTGTTTTTGGGGTTTTGTTGTTGTTGTTGTTGTTGTTTTTTAGACAGGGTCTCACTCTGTTGCCCAGGCCGGAGTGCAGTGGCGCGATCTCAGCTCACTGCAACCTCCACCTGCCGGGTTCAAAAGATTCTCCTGCCTCAGCCTCCCAAGTAGCTGGGACTACAGGCATGTGCCACCACACCGGGCTAATTTTTGTATTTTTAGTAGAGATGAGGTTTCGTCTGTTGGCCAGGCTGTTCTCAAACTCCTGACCTCAGGTGATCCACCCGCCTCAGCCTCCCAAGTGCTGGGATTACAGGCAAGAGCCACCACGTCTGGCTAATTTTTTGTATTTTTAGTAGAGACAGGGTTTCACCATGTTGGCCAGTCTGGTCTCCTAACCTCAAGCGATCCACCCACTTCGGCCTCCCAAAGTGAGGACAATTGGTTTTTGTTGCAGTAATGAATGAGATGAGGAAATGAGAACAGATAGAACAGATTTTCACATTTTATTTTCTGCACTACCATATGGTTCATATCCTTACAATGAGAGCGTAATAATGCAGTTCCTTCGTATGATTAAAAAGACAAGAGTCTTAAACAGAAAATAATTAGCTACATCCAGCTAAAAATGGGGCGTGTAACCAATGTAGATGACCCCTTCCTGTTCTGCAGCTGCAGTGGGTGAGGTCCTCGTGGTGTGAAGTGGAGGATGTGAAAAACCAGCCTCTGAACCCACGGCTTGTCTGTCTCTGGACATGGGTGAGAAACCAGAGAAGCTTCTGGCTTTTCACTGATAATAACTGGGAGAGAAATAGTTCAGAAGGAAAAAGAAAAATAGGTTTTACTAGCGGGGAGGTTGCATTAGTTGGAGTTATGATCTCCTGTGAGAAGGACTCCCACAGGTCCTGATTTGTACCTCTGTAATACGGCCTCTCAGAAATGCCCTGGTATTCCCATTAATTGTGTGCCTGATAGTCGCCCTTTCTCTGTTCTGGGTAAATTGGGACAGAGACTATATCTTGTCTTTATATCACTCCCCAATAGCATCTTCCAAATGGGTCACTGGAGTTCAATACACATTTGTTCAATTAAACACCACATTTATTGAATTAGAGTCCTATATGCAGAAGTGTAAATTTTGTTGTTGTTGTTTGTTTGTTTGTTTGTTTGAGACAGAGTCTTGCTCTGTCACCCAGGCTGGAGTTCAGTGGCATGATCTTGGCTCACTACAACCGCCGCCTCCCAGATTCAAGGGACTCCCCACCTCAGCCTTCTGAGTAGCTGGGATTACAGGCACCTGCCATCATGCCTGGCTAATTTTTGTATTTTTGTAGAGATGGGGTTTCACCATGTTGGACAGGCTGGTCTTAAACTCCTGACCTCAGGTGATCCACCCGCCTCAGCCTCCCAAAATGCTGGGATTACAGGCATGAGCCACCACGCCCGGCCAGAAGTATGAACTTTTTTTAGCATTTGATGAGATGAAATTTGCAATGTCAACTTATTTTTGAAATGTTCTGAATTTTGAAATTTGAAAAAGAGGTAGAATTTGCAAAGCACAGGAATAAGTGGACTGAAGATCACTTTCAGACCAGAAACTGAAACTTTGGGATAATTATATTAGTCAGAGTTCTCCCCAGTAACAAAACCAACAGGTCGTGTGTGTGTGTGTGTGTGTGTGTGTGTGTGTGTACGTATGTAAGTGGAGAGAGATTTATTTTACGGAATTGACATGTAATTGTGGAGCCATAGTGAGTCCCAAATCTGATGGGGTAGGCAACAGTCTAGAGGCTCAGGGAAGAGTTGCAATTGACGCCCAAAGGCCATCTGCAGGCAGAAGTCTTTCTTGCTCAAAGAGGTCAGAAGTTGTTCTATTCCTGCCTTCAACTGATTGGGTGAGCCCCACCCACATTAGGGAGCGCCATCTGCTTTACTTCAACTTGGCTGATTTAAATGTTGATCTCCTCCCAAAAACCCTCATGAAAACATCCAAAATAACAGCTTACCACATATCTGAGCACCATGGCCTAGCCAAGTTGCCCTGTAAAATTAATCACAGCAATTCTCTGGATCCCTGTTTCTCAGGGTACACCTTGAGCTCTATTGTGCAGGACTGTATCCAACATTGCCTGAAATTTAACATTTTTAGTCCCTGCCTACTAAATATGCATGGCGAGTCTTGTCATTGCAACAAAAGCTGTGCCCACACGTTTCTCTACACCCTCTTGGGAGCTGGGTTTGCCCAGACTGGAGAACCACTGATGTAGTCTGTCTAACTCTGCAGTAATGTTGCCAAAAGATTGGCAGCATCAAGAAGGTGAACTTCTCAGGTTTTGATGTTCAGACTTCACATGGATATGGTCATTGTCTAATGCAAGGGTTGGCAAACTTTTACTGTAAAGGGCCAGACAATAAATGTTTTAGGCTTTGGGACTCTATGGCCTTTGTTAGAACTACTCAGCACTATAGTGGTAGGATGAAAACAGCTAGAGAGAGTACACAAACGAATGTGGCTGTGTTCCAACAAAACTTTATATAATGGACACTGAAATTTGAATTTCATATAATTTTCACATCATCAGATATTCTTCTTTTAATTTTTTTTAACCATTTAAAATGTAAAGACCAGGCCAGGCGTGGTGGCTCATGCCTGTAATCCCAGAACTTTGGGAGGCTGAGGTGGGTGGATCACTTGAGGTCAGGAGTTCGAGACCAGCCTGGCCAACTTGGCGAAACCCCGTCTCTACTAAAAATACTAAAATTAGCCAGGCGTGGTGGGGCACGCCTGTAATTCCAGCTACTTCAGAGGCGAGGCAGGAGAATCGCTTGAACCCGGGAAGCGGAGGTTGCGGTGAGCTGAGATTCCACCACTGCAAGCCAGCCTGGGTGACAGAGTGAGACTCCATCTCAAAAAGGCAAAATAAAATAAAGTAAAATAAAATGTAAAACCATTCTTAGCTCAAGGACAATCAGAATTTAACTTTCCTATGTCTTATCGCTCACCAATGTACTGTGTGTCCAGCTAAGAATTGAACAAAATCTTCAAGGAGCATTCATTTAACTGAACCAAACTGGGAATTGCGCAAATACAGTGCTTTTCAAACTTTTTGTTTTCAGCAGAATCTTTTTGCAATTCAAATCTGATGGAAACCTCAATGTCTGAAACAAATGTAGTACTTTGTTGGTAAAATTTTATTTCACAAGTTCAGATTTATAATACTTGTACCTTTTGATGAATACAGAAATTGAGAGGAAGTTCCAGATGGCTGTGTCAAGATGCTCTTTACTTAAACTGATCCAGATGCTTGAGAGAGGAGAACGAGAGGGAAGTTTCTGTTTTGAAGCAGAACCATGGACAATATCTAACGGTCGCTTGTATTCTTATTCATAACAAAAGTCAGGCAAGAAGCATCAAAACTTTACAATAAATGACAAAGATAATATCAGCATGTCTCAAGCTGTTTATCCACAACTGGCTCTTTTGGCTGTGATAAGGGCATGTTATAGCTGTATTCCCGCAACTTTATGTAAGTGGAGAAAATCAAGTCTGAATTTTTAATAGATCCATACAAGAGATACAAACTTCCTAGCCACTGGTATAGTTGCAATAATTGCAAACTCCCTGGTGAAAATGCTGGGAGAACTTTGATTCCCAGGTGAGCACAAAGAGAAGGGAAAACGGCCGGGCCCAGTGGCTCACACCTGTAATCCCAGCACTTTGGGAGGCCGAGGCAGGGGGATCACCTGAGGTCAGGAGTTCGAGACCAGCCTGGCCAACATGGTGAAACCCCGTCTCTACTAAAAAATACAAAAATTAGCCTGGCATGGTGGTGCACACCTGTAATCCCAGCTACTCAGAAGGCTGAGACAGGAGAATCACTTGAACCCGGGAGGCGGAGGTTGCAGTGAGCCAAGATCGTGCCAATGCACTCCAGCCTGGGTGACAGAGTGAGACTCTGTCTCAAAAAAAAAAAAAAAGAGAAGATAAAAGGGAAACACAGCTTAGCACACAGGTGGGCCGTGTGTGTATTTTTAGTACCCGAGTGTCCTGTTCTTACTACAGTTTTGTAAGTAGAAATTTTTTTTTTTTTTTTTGAGATGGAGACTTGCTCTGTCACCCAGGCTGGAGTGCAATGGTGTGATCTCGGCTCACTACAACCTCCACCTCCCAGATTTAAGTGATTCTCCTGCCTCAGCCTCCTAAGTAGCTGGGATTACAGGCGCCCACCACCATGCCCAGATCATTTTTGTATTTTTAGTAGAGACAGGGTTTCACCAGGTTGGCCAGGATGGTCTCCAACTCCTGACCTCAGGTGATCTACCCACCTCAGGCTCCCAAAGTGCTGGGATTACAGGTGTGAGCCACCAGGCCCGGCCACTTCATTACTTTTTTAAGGCTGAATCATGTCCCATGATATGGATACATCATATTTGATTTATCCATTCACCCATCGATGGACATTGAGTTGTTTCAACCTTTTGGCTACTGTGAATAATGCCGCTATGAGCACTGGGGTACAAAGACTGTTTGAGTCTCTGCGTTCACTCTTTTGGGCATGTATCCAGCAGCGGAATTGCTGGGCCATGTAATAGTTCTGTACTAAATTTTTGGAAGAACCTCCCTACTGTTTCCATAGTCGGTGCACCATCTTACATCCCCAATAGTGCAAAAGCGTTTCAATTTCTCCACACAGTCACCAACACTTGCTGTTTTCAAGGGTTTTGGTTTTTGATACAGGCTATCCTAACAGGTATAAAGTGGGAAAATTTTTAAATGAGATTTGAGTTGAGCATTTATGGCCCCTGAAACACTTTCAAGTCGCTCTGAGTGACCTTAGGGTTCAGTAGATAACAGTGGGAAGACCCGGGGCTGGGTTTTGCACTGTAAGAGTAAGCAAGTCTTCCTTGACTTCATTCCAAGGAAATGAGGGAAGTGGTTGATTTCAAGCTGGAGGCAAGGCAAGAGAAGGAAACACCTATATCTCAGTGCAGAAACCAGCCACCCCCTCCTCAGGACCAGGTTAAATGAGGACTCATTCTCCCCTTCTCCCCCTTCTCCTCTCCTCTCTTCCCATGTCCTCCTCTTCTCTCCCTCCTGTCTCTCTACACACACACACACACACACACACACACACACACACACACTTTCTCTCACGATAAGACTTTATTTCCCCTTCTCTCTTCGGGTGCACAGCTCCAACATACTGCAAGAGATTATCCCAGTTTAAGATATTTTAAATCAATACCAGTTTGGGATGAGTGGAGTTTAATTCAGGGAGACTCATCTACCAACCAATTGAAACCATCATTGCTTCTGGCGCACTGTGGAAATACCTGCAGTGGGCTTTCCCCCTGCCTGCCTCTTCCCCACCACAGCACGGCCATGGGGCTCTGCTTGCCTAGCCCTTGCAACCTACCCATGGCTCTGTAAGGCTGGCCACTGTCCCAACTCCAGCCTCACTCCAGCTCCCATGAGGCTGCTAATATTCTTCCCCCATGACAGCAGTGATCCTTTCTGCTCTGAAGGAAGAAAACTTCCCTCCAAATATCACGAAGCTGTGATGGGTCTTTTGTCTCCCAGCTACACCTTCTGATTCTGTTAAGAACTTGTAGACTGGGTGCAGTGGCTCATACCTGTAATCACAGCACTTTGGGAGGCTGAGGCAGGAGGATCACTTGAGCCCAGGAGTTTGAGACCAGCCTGGGCAACGTGAGAAACCCTGTCTCTACAAAAAAATATAAATCAATAAATAATAAATAAATAAAAATAAGCTAGGCATGGTGGTGTGAACCTGTGGTCCCAGGTACTTGGGGAGGCTGAGATGGGACGATTGCTTGAGCCCGGGAGGTCAAGGCTGCAGCGAGCGGAGGTCGTGCCACTGCACCCCAGCCTGAGCGAAAAAGTTAGACCCTGTTTCAATTTTAAAAAAGAAAGAAAGAAAGAACTCGTATCAATTATCCCAGGGGCCAGACTGAGGGGCTGCTTGTATTAAATATATCTCCCTACCTCACCCTGGCAGTTCCTCTCACCCACTGAGGTGCCAGGGCAAAGAGTGACCCTAGCTCAGGATGACTTCTCTGCCTCCCCAGCCACAGAGGGCTTATGACCCCTTCTCATTCTTGTCCCCAGAGGGCATGTCCCTGAGGACTCAAACTTCCCCTCAAATGCACCCAAGGGGCTTGAAGCCTCACAAACAGGGCTTCCTGTGACTGGCATGTGAGTTGGAAGGTAATAGATATCCCCACCTCAGCTGGCTTTAACAAAAAGAAAAATGTGTTCTGTCACTGGAGCTGAAGTCCTGAGCTAGGACAGCTCCAGGGTAGGTTGATTCAGTGGCTCAACAATATCTTCAAGGATTCAGGCTTTTCCATCTTTCTACCAACATCCTCAGAGTTTGGCTTGGTCCCCAGGATAGCTCCCTAAGGCTCAAATGGCTGCCGCATTGCCAGTCATCACATCCAGAAACGGTGCTATCCTGTTGAAGGAAAAAGTGGTCCTTTGGCTTCTTTGTTCTTCTTTTTAAGAGCAAAGAAGCTTTACTCAGCAGCCCCCTGGACAGTTCCTCCAATCTCATTGGCCCTGATGGCATCACATGACCAAGTGCCACAAATCACTGCAGAGGGATGGGATGGGATGGGACCACCATGATTTTATGTTTTTCCAGATATCTCGTGAGACACAGGCAGGTAGATTCCTGAGCAAAAATGGGATTCTGTAAACAAGGAGGAAGAGGAGCGGCAGCAGAGTTTGTGAGGTGATGGGCAGACTACGCCACCATTTTTACCTTTAGGGTTACCCCTTGGCATCAATCATGTACTTGCTTTGTTGCTATGTTTTTCATTCTTTTCCTTTTTTACATAAGAAATATAGAAAGACTTTCTTGTTCTAAATAATGTATTCAATACAAAAGTATGTGTGGTAAAAATATGAAAGGTGCCCTTCTCTGTCCTCCCCAGTCTCACTTCCCTCCCCAGGAGGAACCTCTGGCTCTTTTTCCACGTGCTTTCCTCCAGTCCCCCTTCAGCCGTGTGCATACACACATATGTTCACAGGCATACACAGATATGTTCACATGCATACACATATATGTCCACACACATCTGTGTGCTTTGCTTTAATTTTTACATAGATGGTGTCTTGTTCTGCTACTGACCTTTTCCTGCACAAGTCTGAGTACATACGGATCCAATTCATCCATGTTAATGGCTGAATATTATTCCGGAGAGTGGATATTCTATTGTCTTGTATTTTACTAGCTTTTCAATCATGTGCCTTATCTCCCCAAGTAAATTATAAACATCCTGAGAGCATGCCATACTTTTCCTATCTCC
This sequence comes from Homo sapiens, assembly GCF_000001405.40. Taxonomy (NCBI): domain Eukaryota; kingdom Metazoa; phylum Chordata; class Mammalia; order Primates; family Hominidae; genus Homo; species Homo sapiens. The sequence goes on along the minus strand of NC_000021.9, from coordinate 36,512,435 downwards.
AAACACTTAATACAATATTCTTCTACAAAATGAAAGTCAATTAATAGCTATTGTTGGAAAGATTCCCTCTCCCTTACCACATAAATCTTCTCTTAGCACTTCTGACTGCCTCAGGTGAAGCCCTCCCTCAGCTCGTAGAAGGGACACAGCACCACAGTCTATCAGTTTGTCACTCTTCCATCAGTTTGGCAAGTCAACCTCCTAACATGGGAGAGTTGTTAATCTCCCACTGTTCCTTTGGCGATGTCTTCTAGGCTTAGGATGGCACAGCACCTCCCTCTCCCTGAGCTAGTCATCAATTTAGAGCGCTCAGCTACCTGCAAACTTAGACATTATCTCTTTGTTCTGCTCACATAGGAGCATCAGGGCAGAGTCATTAACAGTCAGCACTTCCTGGAGATCCATTTCAAGGGCTACTAATGGTATTCACAGGCTGTTGAGCTGGAACAGTTACCCACATGCCTAGACACACACTCTTAATAACCCTTTGAGGTGTCTTGAGGCAGTCACAGCTACATAAAATAGATTACAAATAAACCTATTCTAGACCCTTTGGTGGGGAGAAATTACTTCAGTACGAGGCTATCACCTCAGAACAGACCAACCAAACTTAGAACTGGGGTAAACTTCTCAGGGTAACCACTCTCTAGGCAGATGTTGGCATCAACCTGCTGATAACATCAGTGAATATCATCTTAGGTCTTGGTGTGGCTTCTTGTACATCTGAATCTGCTGGGCTTCCTGTAGTAGCTAAGAAAAAAATTACCATTGTACAGGAGGAAAGAAAGGAAACACATGGCTCACAGATGTGCTCCCTGCAGCAGGGAGGACTCTCGAAGTGTGGGCCAGACAGGAAACCTAGAATGATGGAAGAAAAATCAGGCACTAGGAATGAGACTGAAATTAGTTTACGTTCCTCAGCTGATTGCACACAAGAGGAAACTTTTTGTTCAATCATTTAAACTACTATTGATTATGGAAAAATTCTGGTCCCTGTTACTAAGACATCTACAACTGAATTGGTAAAATCCACATAGGAAAATTGGACAATGACACAAGGCAATACGGGATCTGGTCTAAGTAAACAGCTATTATGGGTTCAGAAGGACAACCCATTGAGATGGCAACGTTGTGCTTCCAAACAGGGCTGGAAATCTGCTTCAACGCACCGTGAAAAGGGTGTGCTTAACTACACCTGCTCACTTAGAAAAAAACACAAACATTTCCCTCTGGGAACCCAGCCTGAATTTGTTTGCTGACTTGCATGCCTCTATGTGTGTCTTCACCTGTTGGGGTTGGAGGCTCCCCGGCCTGCCTCCCTCCGTGTTTCTGCCACTTCCCTTATCTTGAAATAGCCATGACCATCGGAGAACTAGGTTTCCCTTCTCCCCTTTTCTACATCCACCACCAACTCACATTAATTTATTGAGGACAAACATTGCTGGCAATAGAGAAGGTAGAATCAGAAGAAAACATATCTACCTCTTATTAAAAGGGTTAAGAGGGTTCTTAATAAGTAGACCAGGGCTTGACCTGAAGGATTTTGCTAAGGGCTACTGTACAAGATCCAACCTCCTGCCCTTTACTGGCGTCCCCAACACCCCATGTGGGTTTTTCTGTAGCCAGATATTTTTCCAGACCAACATTGGATTACATGGCTGCAGACCTTGGGATTCAAAAGGGAAAGATGAAACCTTCACAGCAACTTGGAGTTTCTTTCAAGGGGAATTTTCATTACAGAATGTTTTGTTTTAACTGGTAATTAAAGGTAGGTGAAACACTCCTGTAGTAAGGGGTTTTCCTCCTCTCCAACCTGTCCCTCCAAGAGAAACAGGCACAGGCAGGGCCACGAGGCCTGCCCTCCTCTCTAGAGGTAACTGCTCCTGAGAGTTTATGGTCTGGTCCACTTCGGTTTCTCATGTGTCACCTTTCTAGGGGCTGCAAGGCCCAGAGATCTGGACACAAGCCAAGAAGTCAAGAACTGTTGAAGCCGCAGTCTCCACTCTCCTACTGACACCAGAGACCACCCAGCCCAGCCAAACCATATGGCCTCTTGTTTTCCTGATGTATGAGGTGGGTAGAATGCTTTTCCCCCAAAAGAGGACTCCAAGGGATCAATTACTTAAAATCTGTAAACATGTAGCATTATAATTATGATTCCAGTTTCTAGTCAAAACGGAACTGGCCAAAAGGAAAGAAAATACTGACACTGCCTCTGAGGGCAGCTGCCACCGCTTTTCCGGTATTTCCAGTCTGGCGGGTGGAAGAATGTCTTGGATCAGCTCAGCGCTTGACTGGCCCAGAGCTATGCTTTCCCCATTTGAGGATAAAGAGGCCAAAAACCCAACTGAGCCCTGGACATAACTGGGCCGTGGGAGTTTACACCATTTGCTGTAGCAAAGGCTGGACCTCTTAATGGGTTACAGGGTGTCTATGGTAGGGCACTAAACCTTCAGGTTGTTTAGGGATTGACAGGTTGTGTAGGTGGCCAGTAAACAGACTTTTGGTTTCTAAGCTGTCAGTCTAAAAGCAATGCTGCTGGGCCAGGCGCGGGTGGCTCACGTCTGTAATCCCAGTACTTTGGGAGGCTGAGGTGGGCGGATTACGAGGTCAGGAGTTCGAGACTAGCCTGGTCAGCACAGTGAAACCCCATCTCTACTAAAAATACAAAAATTAGCTGGGTGTGGTGGCGTGTGCCTGTAGTCCCAGCTACTCGGGAGGCTGACGCATTAGAATCACTTGAAGCCGGGAGGCGGAGGTTGCAATGAGCAGAGATTGCGCCACTGCACTCCAGCCTGTGACAGAGTGAGACCCAGTCTCAAAAATAAATAAATAAATAAAAAATAAAAGCAATGCTGCTAAGACATCTGCGGTTGTCAGGGAGAAGGAATTTCTGTATGGAACTGGCAGCACTCCCTCTCAACAGGGACTCTGCCCCCAACCATATGTATCTTCTCCATGGGAATCCTTCAATAAATGCCTCAGCCAACAACCACTGCTCCCCTTCTCTGGGCCAAAAATTTTCATCCCATTCTAACTCCTTCTTCCCTGCAGCCAACACCACCTCCAAACATCTACCCTTCTCCTAATTCAGCCCAAAGCAACACAAAGAGCCACTCCTGCTTTCCATTCCCAGTTGCGTTCTCCAGCCTGTGGTTTCCGGTCTGAGCTGCTCCCAAGATGGCGGACACCGGAAGTGCCTTCACAGCAGGTGGGCAGCCATCTCCACCTGTGGCGCTAGGGCCGCCTCCTGCTCAACCAAAGAGAGTCAGAACCTAGCACAATACACACCGCAGCCATGCCCAGGGCCAGGTGGAGACAGGATAATAATTTGACACTGTTTAAACTATTGGTTTTTATATATTCTTTCAATATTTACCTAGAGGAAAGGCTGAGTACTCTAAATAAATAAAGGAAAGGCCCAGCAGGAAGAAAGGGCCAGCGGGGAGCAGCCTCAGCGGCTTCTTTACCTCCAGAGAATTCATTTTTTGCCTCAAACTTGCAGCCTCCTCTCAGCAAAACAAAAGCCCCACAATTAAGGACGCCTACCAACCCACAGGACAATGTCCTGAAGCCAGCCCCTCGAGGCATAACCCCTTACTCCAGAACCTTCCATCTCCCACACTGCTTCCCCCAAGGGGAGTGCTAAAAAGACCATTGTCTCTCCAACTTGTGACTGTTTTCAGTGATGTTGCAGACATTCAGCTGGCCCACCCTGGCTAACAGAAACCTCGGTGGTTTCTTCCCAAGAGCAATGGCCTCAGTGCTCCGGTGTCCTTGTAGAGGGTGGCTCTGTGCTTGCTTGCCCTCTGACCACTGTAGAGGATGGCTCTGTGCTTGCTTGCCCTCTGCCCACTACTCCTGGCTCTCCGGGGCCCCCCAACGCATCTGTCAGATAGGCCATGACATAGAAGGACTGCGTGCTCTATGGGTCTTTATAAGCTTAATTCCGGCTTCCTACCCTAATGCTGTTTTCAAATCCCCTTGGTCATCTCTCCCAGCCTTACAGTGCTGTTAATGATGCCCGATAGGATTGTGAAGGATTTCCACCTGTCCTTAAACTTCACCCTCTGCTTCCTTCATCATTTCCATGAAGGCAACTTGAGCTGCCTGGAAAGTAGCTTTTTGACACTTGGCATAATATTCTTCCTTGGTCTCTTTAGGGTGAGTCTAGAACAATCACTCAAACACCTTTTACCCATAACTGTGAGTCAAAACTGTTCCCTAGAACATGAAATGAGTGGCAGAAAGGAAGATCACAGTGGAATAAACAGTGCATTTTGCAGAACACAACTCAGGACAGCACTGAGAATACTCTTCGGCCAAGAGCATTTGTAATATAGTGTAATGTGCTAAGGACTCCAAAGACAATCTCCTTCCCCAGCTCTCCCTGGCTGAGAGCACAGAGTGTGATATGTATGTGTGTGTGCATGTATACACATATATGTGTGTATATTTTTATTTATGTGTATATATGTGGTAATTATATACAACTTTTAAGAAAAGTATTTCTGAGACCAATGGTATCATAGTGAATCAGCACTGTGCAGGGTGGAATTAAACAGGAAATGTGTGTGTCCCGTTTGTAAATGTTAACAGTGCTACTGGTTCCCAAGACACAAGACACTCCCTCTACTTATGAACCAGGGCCAGGCAACCTTTTTCTTTTTTTGAGATGGAGTCTCACTCTGTCACCCAAGCTGGAGTGCAGTGGCACAATCTCAGCTCATTGCAACCTCTGCCTCCTGGTTTCAAGTGATTCTCCCGCCTCAGCCTGCCAAGTAGCTGGGATTACACGTGCGTGCCACCACACCCAACTAATTTTTGTATTTTTAGTAGAGACGGGACTCCACCACATTGGCCAGGCTGGTCTCAAACTTCTGACCTTAGGTGATCCACCCACCTTGGCCTTTCGAAGTGCTGGGATTACAGGTGTGAGCCACCACGTCCGGTCAACCTTTTTTTATTGAAGTAACCAAACCCAATTTCCTTCCCTCTCATTCCATTTTCACATAGTAATTAAACACTCAAGCGGTTGTCTCTGGGCTTTCTCACCTGGTGATGGCCACAATCCCTGGAAGCCTTGGGTCCTCTGCCACATGTTCCTCTGGGTTTTATGGGGTCCCCAAGGCTCATCACTAAAAGATATACACAGCCATGGGTTGAGAGAACACTGGGAGTTGTGTGTTTTTTCCTTGTTGATGTCCCTTGAGCTTAAGGGCAACTACTATTTTGTGCAGCCGCTTGTGTCAGGTTGTGTCTTTGGCTGACTGATATTTGCTGCCATTTCCTGTAGTGCTTTTTTTTTTTTAAGAGGGAGCATCTCATTCTGTTGCCCAGGCTGGAGTGCAGTGGTGTGATCATAGCTCACTGCAGCCTCGAGCTCCTGGGCTCAAGCAGCCCTTCTGCCTCAGCCTCCTGAGTAGCTAGAACTACAGGTACACACCACCATGCTCAGGTAATTTTTTATTTTCATTTTTTTAGAGACAGGGTCTTGCTGTGTTGCCCAGGCTGGTCTCAAACTCCTGGACTCAAGGAATCCTTCTGCCTTGGCCTCCCAAAACACTGGGATTATAGGTGGGAAGCACTGCACCTGGCCTCTTGTAACTCTTGATGCTCTGCAATAGATACCTTGCTCCCTATTAAATTGATACAATTTTGCTTTTTAAAACGTCAGACCACATACAAGAGTGTGAAGTTAAAAATGAAAGTCCTCCCCGACCTTGACCCTTGGCTCCACCCCCCAGAGGTGATCGCTGTGAACGGCTTTTTGTGCAGCCCTCAGAAGGTCTCTCTGCATGACAGAAATGCATTTGTTCTTTCTTTTTTTTTTTTTTTTGAGACAGAGTCTTGGTCTTTCACCCAGGCTGCAGTGAAGTGGCCCGATCTCGGCTCACTGCAACCTCCGCCCCCCCGGTTCAAACGATTCTCCTGCCTCAGCCTCCCAAATAGCTGGGATTACAGACATCCATCACCACACCCAACTAATTTTTGTATTTTTAGTACAGATGGGGCTTTGCCATGCTGGTCAGGCTGGTCTTGAACTTCTGACCTCAGGTGATCCACCTGCCTTGGCCTCCCAAAATGCTGGGATTACAGGCATGAGCCACCGTACCTGACTGCATTTGTTCTTGTTTACACAAATAGGATCATGCTGTACACACTGCACTTCAACTTGCTTCCTTCACTTAACATTGTGTCTTGGAACTCTTTGCATATCAGTAACTGCAGAAGCATTTAATCTTTTAATGGTGCATACTAATCTGTGTGGATGTACCGTAGTTATGTAACTAATCTCTTATAAAGGACATTTACATTTTATCCAGTTTTATTCTCTCAGAAAGAGCCAGAGAGTATTGAATCCTGTATTATTTATGTCTTTGCTTACTTTAGGAGTATAACTGGGGGATGAATTTCTAGCAGAGAAATAGCTGAGTTGAAGAGTATTCACTGTTTACATTTTGATAGATATTACCAAATGGCTATCCAAAAAAGACACTGACAGTATGCTAGTGTAACAGGGCATTTTTCAGAGAAGACAAAAGCCAGCTCACAGTTACCCATAAATGGAAGTCCACAGTGCCTTACGCCTCCCCTCCATCCAAGCCGGCTGGCTTTGGGTGGATCAAACCAGGAAGGGGTTAACAATGGACCTCTCTGTGTGTTTCTCTTCTGAACCTAAATATGTCAGACTTGGGCAATCCTGAGTGGTTTTGCATTTTCTTTTCACTGTAACCACCTGAGATCCTCTTGTCCCAAAGTCAGTGCTAGGCTGATTGTCTACATTGGGCAGGCGAACTGCTGGGAGTGGCAATGGTGGAATCTCTGAGCCTTTGCAGAAATGTTAGGTTCTGGTGAGCTGCTGACTGTGGGTTCAGAGGCTGGGACTCCCCGAGGTGTTCTGTTCTTAGGATTTCTTTTTAGCTCTCCAGTCATCCTGTCCTTTATCATCTAAGTGCTCCTGTTCTTCAGCCCTTTCTTAGCTGTTTGGTCTACTAGAACATTATTCAGGAGTATGATGGCTTCATCGTCCTGGAATTGCCTCCTCCAGCAGCTTGGGGTGGGCTGTCTGCAGTGCTTCAAAAGCTATCTGGGCTGAAGGGCTATTTTTTAAAAAATTCCAATCTATTATGGACCAATACTTTTGTAAAATACTAAAAGAATTGAATTACTGGAAAAATGAAATATGAAACAAAGACATATGAAATACAATCCTGATTTCTTTTTATTAGATTTAGCAGACGTAAACCTGTTTAAATTTGTTATACAAGTTTTGAGATACTTACTGTCCATTTCTGTTCTCATATAGTGGAGATTGGTAAGAATTTGAGCAGCATTGCTCTAAGCACGTCTCTGGAAGCTTCATGGGCTTCCTTTTGGCCCTAAAGCTTGTATTGTTTTGCTGAAAAAGTGATTCTCACCCAGCAGGGAAAATCTTCCAGATTTTCAGTCAGGGAGGGCCTGGGTCAATGCCCAGGGTTAACACTGGGCTTGGCTTCAAGCTCAGGACCCAGTCCTATCAGCCCAAATTTTCTTTTCCACCCAGCTTTTCCTATCTCTGGGAGCAGTGACTCATGGGTACAGGGTACCATGATCTGCTGTCTTCAAATCAGAAGATGTCATACTCTTTCCTTCAAGTTTTACTTCTTATTTCATTGAAGTCAACATCAGCCTTCCTATCAGTGTTACCATCTCTTCTCTATAACCCACTGCAGACTAGTCATGAGTTACACGCAAAATGTGAAATTTGGGGATGTGGATAAAAGGGAAGCAATTGTTTTCTATCAAGCCATTAAAACTTTTCAGTTTCCTTTTTAAATAATTGTACACTTCATGAGATACTTCAGATAGGTCTTAACACAAAGAAAGAATGAGCCACAACCCCCTAAAATATGAGGTGGTTAAAATATCTTTTGTCTTTAAAGGGGGTGAATTATTTCAATTTTAAATCCTTGGAGAAAATTGGCTTTCAGATTGCCTTTCGGAACCTGAAGTAGCAGGTCACAGCGGCATCTAGTGGAAGTTAATGGTATAACAGTTGGCCTAGACTAAGCAGAAAAAGAGAATACAGTAATTTCAAAATATTGTATTTTTTTCTTGTTTTTAACTTTTTTCTGAGACAGGCTTGAGTGCAATGGCACGATCATAACTCTCTTCAGCCTCAAACTTCTAGGCTTAAGTGATCCTTTTACCTCAGCCTCACAAGTAGCTGGGACTACAGGCGTGCACCACCATGCCCAGGTAATTTTTTTATTTTTACATATAGATGGGATTTTGCTATGTTGCCCAAGCTGGTCTTGAACTCCTGGCTTCAAGTGATCCTCCCACTTTGGCCTCCCAAAGTGCTGGTATTACAAGCATGAGCCACCACATCTGGCCTTTTTAACATTTTTGAAGTTAGGGTGTGACATACTAGATAGCATGTCATAATTTAATGAATCTATTTTCTTTATCAGTGATACTACATCTTACAATTGATGGCATCTTAATTTCATCAAAATATAATTTTTCATATAAAACTTTGTAGGATGCCATTCATTCAGTAACTCAGTAATATTTATTGAGCATCTACTTATACCTGGAAGCTAATGACTTACTGTATGTATTGTATTCATTGCATATATTTTAGTTGTGTTATATTCAAAACTGTTTATTGTAATGCATAATGTAGACATTTATACATTAATGCATTGATATTAATCAGACCTAACTCCATTAATTTAAAAATCCATTCTTGGCTGGTGTATTAGTTCATTTTCATGCTGCTGATAAAGACATACCCAAGACTGGGCAATTTACAAAGGAAAGAGATTTCATGGAAAACTCATAGTTCCATGTGGCTGGGGAAGCTTCACAATCATGGTGGAAAGAAAAGAGGAGCAAGTCATGTCTTACATGGATGGCGACAGGCAAAGAGAGAGCTTGTGAGGGAAACTCCCATTTTTAAAACCATCAGATCTCTGTCACGAGAACAACGTGAGAAAGATCTGGCCCCATGATTCAATTACCTCCCACTAGGTCCCTCCCACAACGCATGGGAATTCAAGATGAGATTTGGATGGGGACAGAACCAAACCATATTAGCTGGGCATAGTGGCTCATGCCTGTAATCCTAACACTTTGGGAGGGCAAGGCAGGTGGATCACTTGAGGTCAGGAGCTCAAGACCAGCCTGGCCAATATGGTGAAACCCTGTCTCTACTAAAAATACAAAAATTAGCCCGGAATGGTGGTGCACACCTGTCATCTCAGCTACTTGGGAGGCTGAGGCAGGAGAATCTCTTGAACCTAGGAGGCAGAGGTTGCAGTGAGCCAAGATTGTGCCACTGCACTCCAGCCTGGGCGAAAGAGTGAGACTCTATCTCAAAAAACAAAAAAATCCATTCTTGTCTAAACCCAGTAGTTCTCAAGCTGGCTGCATGTTAGAACTGTCTGTACAGTTTTCTAAACCATCAGTTCTCAGACCACACTTCTCAGAGATCTGAATTAATTGGTCTAGGAGTGGGGCCCATTCATTAAGAATTTTTCAAAGCTTCCCAAGTGTTCTAATGTGTAGCCTGGGTTGAGAACATTTTCCTTCCTTTAGGTCAGATGGATTCAAGATTACATAGATGTTTTAGTAGTTGGGAAATATAAGTGTTTGGTTTTATAGTAGACAACTCGTATCTTTATTACCATTTATGAATGCAAAGAAACCCTATCTATTAAAGCATTAGTGGATAACACTGAAACCATGATATTTAAGGAAATATTGGCTCCTAAAGACATCCGTGTCAAATACTGTACAATTTGCATTTGATTCTTACACACCCAACATTATTTGAAGTGAACACCATAATAAGATCAGGAATGCTGATGAAGTGTAAAACAGTAGCTGTAAAGTTTACAAGATGTCTCAGTAACATGAAGCCTCTCAAGTGATGTCTATGCACTAAAAGAAAGCAATCTAAGATATCAGTTCCTCGGAATATCCTTTTCATGGCTGAAAGTGAACTCTGCTCATTTCAGGACTGACCCCTAAGCATACTACAGAGATGGCATAATGCTCTTGACCCCCTAGCTGGTCCAGTAGTATAATGTGATACCACATCAGACCTCAACAGGCATAAGAATAGTATTTCATGGGAGCCAGCCTGCAGAAGAAAGGACGCTGTTCATTTCTGGACCCTACCTCTTGCTAACTTTGTAATGTTGGACAAGTTATTAAACTCATCAAATCTGTTGTTTCCTGGTATGCACAATTCGGATAATAATTCTAAGGTTCAGCTATTGCGGATGTTGGAGTTAACATAGGTAAAAACATGCTACTCCTCATGATGGTTCCCTGTGACTGCTTTTGGCTCATTGTGGTGTGTTACAGAATATTCAAGAAAGAATAGCACCATTAACCCCTTCCATCCTGCCTCTTCCAACCTCTACAAACTAGTGTGCAGGGTTTGGGCACTGGGTCTATGTTTAAACAATAGCTTAACGCCTTTTGGGTTCCTTGGATTTGATTTAAAAAAAAAAAAAAGGTCTTTTCAAATTCATAAGACTTTCCATCCAGTGTTTCCTTGTGGCCTAGTAACAAGATCCTAAAATACATTCACTTTTATCTCCCTCCTGCCATCAAAAACAACCCCTCTCGAGGGCCAGGGGCTGGCTGGGAGCCTGGGGTGTGTTCAACTAGAGAAAACCATGGGCCCTTTAATTTAGGGCCAGGCTACTGAAAAGAGAGACTAACAGAGCCTCCCAGTCTCCACCCATCACTGGGTTGAACGTGTGAGTTTGGAGACAGGGGGTGGCGTACCTGTCAAAGCAGCAGAATATCTAGAAGAAAAACAGTAGCGAGGAGATCTTCAAGGAGGAAATTTAGGAGCTTTTGGGCTTGTTCCCTAAAGCCCATAAGTTCTAGTTCAGTTTCATAGTCTCAGGCCCAAATGTCCCACTGACTTCAGGGGGACCTTGTCTGTGCTCTTTGAATGTGACCCGCCCTGGGTCAGATGACCGTCTCCATGTCCCAAAGGTCAGATTTAACCTGGTTTCTACAACTCACACTAATGTAACCCAATCATGGTTTCACTTTTCTAAAAAAAAAAAAAAAAAAAAAAAAAAAAAAAAAAAAGTGAGATATTGACTGAAACTCCCATTAATAATGTATTTCAATGCCCTGCAGATGTGGCAATATAAACAGGCAGTTTTCTTTGCTCTTCATGTTGCTGATATAAACTGGGCAGATACATTTCATGCAAATGGGGCTTGATGTGGATGAAATCTTTCAGCCCTCAGATAAGCCATCATCCTTTTCTCTTCTAAGGCAGAGAAGGAAAGATGAGGGTGACATTGAAGGGTTCAGGATGTGGCAGGCCATTAGCCAGGCAGACAGCAACCACATCGCTGAGAAGACCTGCGGCTGAGCCGCACCCCCCGGGTGTTAGCTGGGCTACCTTGGGCCGCTGATTTAAGCTCTCCGAGTTTGCTTTCTCATCATTAAATGCGATCTAATCATACCCCCTGCGTAGAGTTCTGTGCAGATGAAATGAAATGATGTAAATGGAGTGGCTGGCACAGTGATAGCAAGTCTTATTAAAAGATAAGGCGGTGTCTATTTGAAACTCAAAAGTAAACATGAGAAAGAATCGGCAACTTCCTACTGAAAGTGGGTTGACTTTGTAAAAAGAAAAGAAAATATGTAAGAAAGAGGGAGCTAAAGAATGGAATGTATCAGCCGGGCACGGTGACGTGCGCCTATAATCCCAGCACTTTGGGAGGCCGAGGCGGGTGGATCACTTGAGGCAAGGAGTTCAAGATCAGCCTGACCAGCATGGTGAAACCTCATCTCTACTAAAAATACTAAAATTAGCCAGGCATGGTGGCACAAACCTGTGATCCCAGCTACTAGGGAGGTTGAAGCAGGAGAATTGCTTGAACCCAGGAGGTGGAGGTTGCGGTGAACCGAGATTGCACCACTGCACTCCAGCCTGGGCAACAGAACAAGACTCTGTCTAAATTTAAAATAAAATTTTAAAAAAATGAATGGAATGTATCTCTTTCCTGGGAAATTATCCTCCAGACCCTGTGGTTGGTCAGCGGGACGTGTCACTGTCCGAGGCGTCACTGTTATTCGGGCTGCAGTAACAGGTCCGAGGCTGCAAAGTCTGAGGTGGCCTGGTGCCCAGCCTGACCTCAGGCGAGCTCCCGGCTGAGAGGGCGGGTACAGGGAAGCCCAACCCAGCCCTCCCAATGTTTCACTTCCTTGCCCGCTCCCTGATTTCTGCTGGGGCTGGTGTTAGGCTCCTGGATATGGGGCCGTGTGCTAACTTGCCATAAACAGACCAAAAAGGGGGAACTTTGCAGCTAAGCCAAGTCAAACACCACATTGAAAACCTTGCCTGAGTTGCCCCAGGGTGTTTCCAAAAGCAAAGCAAACATTATAAATGAACAACATGCTCTAATTCTTCACCTCGCGGGACTCGCATTGGAAGACAGGTAGACTCTGTGTGCGCGGCTGGGGCAGGCTTCTGGGCCCAGTACTGCTCCCGGGGTTGCTCCGGAGACCCCCCGATTTTCTCCACCAGCCCCCTGATGTTGTGAAAATGTTGCTCGTCATCAGGAGATGACAGCAGCCCTGGGGGCAGCATTGATCATCTAAGGAGCAATAAATCCCTGCTGGCTTTGCCCAGCTGGCTCCATGAGCTAGAATACGTCACTCGATTTGTCTTTGGCTCTGTAGTCCAAGAATCAGTATTTATTGTCTGCGTGTCTAAATCAGTGAATCTCAACATCATGATGCATAAGAGTCACGTGGACTGGAACAGGGGCTGACATAAAACCACAGATTCCTAACCTCCCCTCCTGAAATTCTGATTCGGTAGGTCTGGGTTGGGGCCCTGGTACGGACATTGCAACAAGCCCCCTGCAACAACTTTAGAGACTCTAAACACAGATAAGCCACTCTATTCTAATCTTGATCACTTTCTACTAATAGCCTAAATGCACTCAATCCTCCATTCATAACTCTCTGTAGGAACCCAGCCCATAAAACAAAAAGGCTGTGTGTATGCAGGTTTCAAGTAAAAACTTGGGAGGCTGAGGCAGGAGAATCGCTTGAACCCAGGAGGCAGAGGTTGCAGCGAGCTGAGATCACACCACTGCACTCCAGCCTGGGCGACAGAGTAAGACCGACAAACAAACAAACAAAAACCTTGGAGAAAGCTGAAAGCAATGGCCCCATTCACATCAAAGTGCTGAAGGTCAGTTTCCCGCAGTTGCGGGGTTCATTGCCCCCACAAAACCGATGTGTGCTCTGGGCTTATTTCTTGAGTCCTGTGGTCAATGATATCATCTCTCTACTCCTCCTTCAATGAAATTTCCTAAGATGCAACCCCAGAAAGGTTACCCTTCTGTCATATCGGTGATTGTCATGTGCCCTGAAACTGGCCAAATTAGAAAATAAAGGTGCTTCATCCAGATGGATGGAGTGCAAGAGGACACTCCCATCTGGGTGGCTGAATTACAAAAAGTACCCTTGCTGAGCGAACCACCTAGAAGAAAGGGACAGGTTCCTGGCACCTCAGGCAGGAATCAAGCCTTGGTTGAATTTCAGCCCCCATGAGGGCCCCTCAGCGGCCACCTTCGTGCAGGGCTGATGGTGTCCAGGCAGACGCAGCCAGTGGGGCCCAGACCTGAACTGAGACTGGTTTTCCCGTGTCTGTATTGGAGCTGAAGGCCAGCTGAGAGGTGCCCCCACCTTTCTGTAGGCTGCTGTCTGCCACAGCCAGATCCTATGTTCATTTTTTCCAGGGTGGAGGGGAAGAGAGCTTAGCCATCGGTCCTACCAGTTCCACGTCCCCATCGCCTGCAACAGTGCTCAGTTTATAGAGGCTTATACTCACAACAAGTCTGCTGATATTAAGTGCATGTATCCAATCTGAGACTGGAAATCTCCTATTTTATTCAAACAACCTGCTGCCGTGCAAGTATTTTTCCCACCAGTTGGTCTACTGGTCTTTCACAGCTAAATCCAGACAAGAGATGTAAAATACAAGTTCATATAGATCTTCCAGGACCAGAGAAAAGGCATTATTAGTATTATTATTTTACTTTTTTTCTTCTCTTTCCACTCACAATTGTCCCGGCTCACAAACGCATCTTCCTGTCTGGGCGCAGTGGCTCATGTCTATAATCCCAGCACTTTGGGAGGCCAAGGCAGGTGGACCGCCTGAGGTCAGGAGTTCGACACCAGCCTGGCCAATATGGCAAAACCCCATCTCTACTAAGAATACAAAAATTAGCTGGGCATGGTGGTGGGTGCCTGTAATCCCAGCTACTCATGAGGCTGAGACAGGAGAATCGCTTGAACCCCGGGCGGTGGAGGTTGCAGTGAGCCAAGATTGCACCACTGCACTCCAGCCTGGGCAACAGAGCAAAACTCCATCTCAAAAAAAAAAAAAGCATCTTCCTCTCGCTGACAACAGTGTCACCCTGTGCTGTACCACCAGTGGCCAAGACACATTTCAGTGGCTGAGACTGAGACTGAAGAGCTAAGGAAAGTAGCAAAGGAAATTAAACCACAGCCTCACGGGGCAGTCCCCACAGGTGCCCCCACCCAGCCCCCCGGAATAACACTGAAGCCACCGGCCAAGGACCAGGAGTGCGGCTCCTAACTCATTGCTTTGAGGATGGATCACGCAGGTGTCTCAAGGTGGTTGGGACCTGGGCGGGGGCAGAAGGGGGCAGATGTGATCTGTGGACGGGAAAGGTGTCTTGGCTAAACGGCGATGAAATGAGGACTGATTTCTGGGCTTCGTTCCGGCTTTCCGGGCTTAGGTCAGGCCTTTAAGATGATTTGTGCAAAACCTTTGAAGTTGGATATTTTCTCAGCTCGTTTGGGGCCTGTTGGAGTTTGCTGAAAGATAAGAGTTATTGGAGATATGAAAGATCCATCTGAAAGGAAGGGAAAAGAAAACAGACCCTGAGCCCCTTCCTGTTGGAAAGCAAAGAGAGCCTGTGTGCGTGTGCCTGCCGCCTGCCTCCCTCCCTTCCTCCCTCCCTCCCTCCCTTCCTTCCTCCCTCCCTCCCTCCCTCCCTCCCTCGCTCCCTCCCTCCCTCCCTCCCTTCCTCCCTCCCTCCCTCCCTCCCTTCCTTCCTCCCTCCCTCCCTCCCTCCCTCCCTCCCTCCCTTCCTTCCTCCCTCCCTTCCTCCCTCCCTCCCTCCCTTCCTTCCTCCCTCCCTCCCTTCCTCCCTCCCTTCCTCCCTCCCTCCTTCCCTCCCTTCCTCCCTCCCTTCCTCCCTCCCTCCCTCCCTTCCTCCCTTCCTCCCTCCCTTCCTCCCTTCCTCCCTCCCTTCCTCCCTCCCTCCCTCCCTTCCTCCCTCCCTCCCTCCCTTCCTCCCTCCCTCCCTTCCTCCCTCCCTCCCTTCCTTCCTCCCTCCCTTCCTCCCTCCCTCCCTCCCTTCCTCCCTCCCTCCCTCCCTCCCTCCCTTCCTCCCTCCCTTCCTCCCTCCCTCCCTTCCTCCCTCCCTCCCTCCCTCCCTCCCTTCCTCCCTCCCTCCCTTCCTCCCTCCCTCCCTTCCTTCCTCCCTCCCTTCCTCCCTTCCTCCCTCCCTTCCTCCCTCCCTTCCTCCCTCCCTCCCTCCCTCCCTTCCTTCCTCCCTCCCTTCCTTCCTCCCTGCCTTCCTCCCTCCCTTCCTCCCTCCCTCCCTCCCTCCCTTCCTTCCTCCCTCCCTTCCTCCCTCCCTTCCTCCCCTCCTCCCTTCCTTCCTTCCACCCTTCTTTCCTTCCTTCCTCTGCTTTCTTCTCCATTGGCTGGGCGGGTATCCTGAGTGATTTGCAAGCATTCGCTCTCAGGGGTCCATGTCATCTGATTTAGACTAGGAAGGGGGAGCAGGGGATGCTCTTGTGCCTAAATCTCCTGCCTGGTTCTAAATTTGGAGGGATTCGTCCCTAGAAGAAAGGCTTCTAAATCATTTCAGATAGAGCACAGGCTCTAGAAACCCTGACTTTTTTTTTTTTTTTTTTTTTGAAACAAGGTCTCACTCTGTCTCCCTAGTTGGAGTGTAGTGGTGTGATCATGGCTCACTGCGGCCTCAGCCTCCTGGGCTCAAGAGATCCTTCCACCTCAGCCTCCCAAGTACCTCGGACCACAGGTGTGCATCACCATGCCCAGCTAATTTTTGTATTTTTTTGTAGAGATGGGGTTTCACTATGTTGCCCAGGCTGATCTCAAACTCCTGGACTCCAATGATCCTCCTTCCTCAGCCTCCCAAAGTGCTGGAATTACAGGCATTTTGGGAGCCACTGCACCCGGCAGAAACCCTGATTTTTATAACACAGTATATTAGCATCCTAGGGCAGCTGTAACAAAGTACTTCAAATTCGATGGCTTAAAACAACCGAAATTTACTCCCAGTTCTGGAAGCCAGAATTCTGAAATCAAAGTGCCAAGAGGACCATGCTGTCTCTGAAGCTCTAGAAAAGAAGGCTTCCTTGCCCCTTCCAACTTCCAGTGGGGCCTGGCCATCCCCAGCATTCCCTGCCCTACAGCTGCAATCTCCGCCTCAGTCTTCACATAGCCCTCTTCCCCCTGTGTCTCCTCTGCTCTTATAAGGACACCAGTGGCATTGGTGTAGGGACCACCCTAATCCACTGTGACCTCATCTTAACTCATTACACCTACAGCCCTACTTCCAAATAAGGTCACGTTCTGAGGTTCTGAGTGGACAAGAACTTCGTGGGGTAAGAACACTCTCTAACTCAGTGCATGGGTTGTAAAATCACCCTTGCTTCTTAGCCTGTGGGCCAGGGGCTCTAGCCCCAAGCTCCAGGCTGTCAGGAGGGAAGCTGCAACTGCTCATTGTAAACATCAGCATCTGCATTGATCGAATGTGCATGGCAGCACCTGCTTTTTTGATGAAGTCAGTGTGATTTCCTGAGACTTCAAAACTCAAATGGGTAGCAAAAAATTTCAGATTCCCTTTTCCATAACTGAATATGATTTCTGTCCCAAGCCTTCATCCCACCCCATAATGGAGTTCTTAAACTTGACAATTAAACAAAATTCAGTCAATTCAGGATAAACTTGATCCAATCAGACTTTCTGGTTCCCCTTTATTTATTATTTATTTTTCTGAGATGGAGTTTCACGCTTGTTGCCCAGGCTGGAGTGCAATGGCACGATCTCGGCTCACAGCAACCTCCGCCTCCCGGGTTCAAACAATTCTCCTGCCTCAGCCTCTTGAGTAGCTGGGGTTACAGGTGTCCACCACCATGTCCAGCTAATTTTTGTATTTTTTAGTAGAGAAGGGGTTTCACAATGTTGGTCAGGCTAGTCTCGAACTCCTGACTTCAGGTGATCCACCAGCCTCAGCCTCCCAAAGTGCTGGGATTACAGGCGTGAGGCACCGTGCTGGGCCTCTGGTTCCCCTTTCTGTGTGGGGGGATTTGTTCCTCCACCCAGGGAACTCAGGTAACAGCAGGCATCTGAGGGAAGTTTGGGAACATCCAGGCCTCCTGTGTGGTCCTCGTCTGGATACAGATGTCTACGGGGATGCACAGGAAGACCTGTGGTCCTTGAGCAGAATCATTGTATTCATCTGCCAAGAATGTTGTAACAAAGCTCCACAGACAGGGCGGCTTAAACAACAGGCATTTATTGTCTCACAGTTCTGGAGGCTGGAAGTCCGAGATCAAGGCACCCACAGGGTGGGTTTCTCCTGAGGCCCCCTCCCTGGCTTATAGATGCTGTCTTGTCCCTGTGCCATCCCAGGGTCATCCCCCTGCATGTGCCTGTGAACTCGTCTCCCCTTCCTGGGAGGACACCAGTCAGATTGGGTCAGGGCCCACCCGTACGAACTCATTTTAACTGAATCGCCTCTTTGTACACTCCATCTCCAAGTACAGCCACATTCTAAGGCACTGGGGGCCAGGACTTCAACATATAAATTTGGGAGGGGACACAGTTCAGCCCCTAACAATCATCTTTTCATGCCAAGGCAGTAACAGTTCAGATTCTCTCGAACATGCCAGTGTGCAGGGACCACAGAGCTTCTTTAGTTCTCCTCCTCGTGAGACCCTCTCCCACGGCCAGCCCAGGGGACTTTAATTTGTTAGGAATATCCTCTCAGCCCTGTCTGTTTGAAACAAGCTTCTTTGATTGAAATGGGCCTTATTAGATAAATATTTGTTTGTAGATACCACTCTCGTCAGTCCTGTTTCTCTCTTCCCTGGCATCATATCCTACATGGCGACCAGTGTGCAGGAAATCTCACAGTCCCCCGCTGGGAGAGAAGATGGTCTCCCGGTCTGTGCCAGAGGCTAGTCCGACATCAGCCTCTGCTGCCCAGCAGGTGTCCACCCAGCACGGGTGGGCTCTTTGCGAATCCAGTTGATGTCCCCGCAGAAGATCCTGAGGTCCTGCTCTTGGGGGCTCTCATGTGTGAGCAAGTCCACCATGGTGATCCCCCCAAGATCTAGTGGGATTCCCAACCCATCCTGGCAAAAGTGGGCTCTTGGCATCCACTGGCTCCCAGCCAGGACTTGGTGCCCAGCCACTCTATACCTGCTTTGGGAACACATGAGGATCCTGGGTCCCCTCCACACCATGGAGGAGATGAAGGCTGTGAGGAATCCCAGCGTGTGCTCATCCATCCCACCTTCCTCCAGCCACATGTGTTCCTTCAGTACCCACCCACACTCCCATTCTGAAATGGGGCCTCCTCCAATGATTCCAAGCAGGGGGCAGAAAAAAAGCCCATTTTGCAGAGGCTCCCGCTCCACAATGTTAGCTGTGAGAGAGACTATGACAAGTGTGCGGCCGCTAGGCTTCCCTTCCTCGCCTTCCCTCCTCCTCCTCGTGCCCCAGGACTGGAAGAACTGAGCTTCCCTTGCTCCTTGAAGCTGACACTGGCATGCAGTGTCCTGAGTTTTCTGGATTATAAGAACCTCAAAGATCAGACCTGCAGGCCCAGGTCTTTATATGGTAATCAGAGCTAAAGGAACCTTGAAGATTATCTCTTACCAATGCCTGGCTTACAAGAACCCTGTCTTGCTGAGAACATAAAAACCTATGTTACTAGAACCCACATTAAGAAAGCTTAATGTGTCTTGCCATTTCTCCTCCGTGCCCTGCCTCCCAGGGAAGGCAGAAGAGCAGCCCTCTCTACTCACAGACCCCAGCTCAGGACTCCTGTGGTGACACCCCCAACTGTGGGGTGGACCCAGAGACCAGGACAGGACGAAGGCCCCTCTCACAGCCCCTCACAGCTGCTCTCCAGGAGGCTGCCCTTTTATTTCCTTGAGTCCAGGAGGCTCGACCTCCTCCCCGGGGGCGGGCAGAAAAACAAACCGGTAAACAAAACACGTGCTCAACAGTATCCTCTCAGGGTTGGTTCTGTCCTGCTCATGGTCTTCAATGCCTGCTTTAAAGGCCAAGAGTTTGAGATGCTTCTTTGCGATCTTGTCTGACTCGTCTCTCCCCACAAAGACACAGTGGCTCAGAGCTCCCAGGCAGAGAGGGGGACTCAGAGAGCTTCCTCCTACAGAGAACATCATTCTCTCACAGCTCCAGAGGCTGGAAATCCAAAATCAAGGTGCCTGCAGGGCCACGACCCTCTGAAGGCTCTAGGGGAGGCCCCTTCCTTGCTGGTCCCAGGTCCTGGTGGCTCCAGGTCTCCTTGGCCTTCCCTGGCTTGTAGTCGCATCATCCCCACCTCTGCCTCTGTCGTCACGTGGCTGTCTTCCTTCTTCCATGCCTATCCTTTTTTTGTAAGGACAGCAGCCATTGGAAGCCAGTATAACTTCATCTTTACCTTTTTTTCGTTTTGTTTTGTTTGAGACAGGGTCTTGCTCTGTCACCTAGGCTGCAGTGCAGTGGCACAATCACTGCTCACTGCAACCTCCACCTCCCGGGCTCAAGAGATCCTCCCACCTCAGCCTCCCAAGTAGCTGGGATTACAGGTGCTCGCCACCATGCCCTGCAGCTAATTTTTGCATTTTTTTTTTTTTTTTTTTTTTTTTTTTGGGACGGAGTCTCGCTCTGTCGCCCAGGCCGGACTGCGGACTGCAGTGGCGCAATCTCGGCTCACTGCAAGCTCCGCTTCCCGGGTTCACGCCATTCTCCTGCCTCAGCCTCCCGAGTAGCTGGGACTACAGGCGCCCGCCACCGCGCCCGGCTAATTTTTTGTATTTTTAGTAGAGACGGGGTTTCACCTTGTTAGCCAGGATGGTCTCGATCTCCTGACCTCATGATCCACCCGCCTCGGCCTTCCAAAGTGCTGGGATTACAGGCGTGAGCCACCGCGCCCGGCCCTTGCATTTTTTTTAGAGACAGAGTTTCGCCATGTTGCCCAGGCTGGTCTCGAACTACCAACCTCAAGCAATCCTCCCACCTCAAGCTCCCAAAGTGCTGGGATTACAGGCGTGAGCCACCGCAGTCAGCCACATACTAACTTAATCACACCCATAAAGACTCTATTTCCAAAGAAGGTCATAGTCTGAGGTTCTGGGTGGACGTGAGTTTTGCAGGGACACTATTCAACCCACGTCAAGGACTCCTCACTTAATGCATCATGATACTGTTCTTACTCCAGTGGTGAGACCCCAGCCCAGAGCGGGTGCTTGGGAAGAGAGGCGGCCTGTCCACATGCACCTGTCCTCCCAACATGCACCATATTTACTGGGAAAGCTGTACAGCCTCACACATGACCTTCAGTAGTCCCCGGCCTCCTACAGTCGCCACTCCCGAGGCATGTACTCCAGGCTCCCCACTTTCCTGACACAGCCCCACCCTTCTCCAGATCTTTTATGACCATTTGCTTATTTGCTTATACCCCTCCTTGTTCCAAAAAGGATTTCAGGCAGATGGTTTTTATTACCAGGCTAAATGAACACAGCGAGATCCTGTAGCAAATACAGTCTTCTCAGCAAACATAAATTTCCATGAAGCCAACATGAAAAGACCCAAAAAGTACGCGGAAATTAAAATGATCGTGTCAAGCTTGACATCAGGTCCCTTTCTTATTTTCGTTGACTCGCTGACACGCACTACATTCCTCGCCGTTTCGCTTTTGAAAGCTTTGTGTGTTGCTTCTTGTTTTCTGGTAACCCCTTTATGGAAGAGGCGCCCAGCTGGGAAGGGAGGTTCTTGAGGTTATTAAGAGCTGAACACAGTGAGTCAGTGCCTTGTTTTAGGGCACAAACCTTAGGAAAGAGACTGTGAGTGAAGTTCTTCAGGATATCTGGGGATCCTAGTTCCTGCACCAGAGCTGAGCCCTTTAATCACATTGACCCTAATTAGTTTGCTGGGGTGAGGGTTGAACCGTTGACTCATGTTTTGTACTAAAAACAGGGGAGGAGATGCAGCCCCCCAAGTTAACGTGATGCAAATGAAGGCCTTTCTTCGGCCTTTGGAAAGGTTTGGCTTTGCTGCTGCCAAAAGTCATTTTGAGAAAACAATGTGTGTGTGTCCAGGGGTGTGTGTGTGTGTGTGTGTGTGTGTGTGTGTGTGTGTGTCTGTGCACTTGCATGTGTGTGCCCACACGTGTTGGCATATGTGCACGTTGATGCATATCTGAATATGTTCATGTGTTTGGGAGGAGCAGAAAGCAGAAGCGGTGAGGAGGGTGCAAGCAAACCTGGTTCCACGTGTATCAAACTGAACAGTCAGAGAAAGGCCCAGGTGGGAGGATCTCTTAAGGCCAAGAGTTCGAGACCAGCCTCCGCAGCATAGAGAGACCCCATCTCTACAAAAAATTATAAGTAAAGAAATTTTTTGGCCAGGCATGGTGGCTTACACCTGTAATCCCAGCACTTTGGGAGGCCGAGGCAGGTGGATCCCTTGAGGTCAGGAGTTTGAAAGCAGCCTGGCCAACATGGTTAAACCCCATCTCTACTAGAAATACAAAAATTAGCCTGGAATGGTGGTGCACACCTGTCATCTCAGCTACTTGGGAGGCTGAGGCAGGAGAATCACTTGAACCCAGGAGGTGGAGGTTGCAGTGAGCCAAGATCACGCCACTGCAGTCCAGCCTGGGTGACAGAGTGAGACTCTGTCACAAAAAAAAAAAAAAAAAAAAATTAAAAAAAAATTGAACTAGCAGACATGGTGGTTCGCACCTGTAGTCCCAGCTCTTTGGGAGGCTGAGGCAGGAGGATCTCTTAAGCCCAGGAGCTCAAGGCTGCGGTGACCCACGGTCGAGCCATTGCACTCCAGCTTGGGCAACAGGGCAAGATCCTGCCTCTAAAAATTAAATTAACAAAGTTAAATAGAATAAAATAAAACAGAGCATTCTTCTCCCTTTGGGAGGGGATCTGATGATATCTGAGTGTCTGTGGAGCCTCTGACTTCCTCATCTCTAGACTGCCTGGTCCGTGGCAATCTAGAGAGATGCTTCCAGCGAGGCCGCAGCAAAGTCATCCTGATCCCTCAGCCGTAAGAGATACAGCTGGGCCTGGGAGTGGAGAAGACCTTGCAGAAAATTGTGTTTGAGATTCACACCTGTTCATTCAACGGCTCCTGGTTGAGGGCTCAGTGCTCATCACAGCTGCTTCCTCTCATGGCTTGAGGGAGGGTTGGTGGCTCTGGCTGGCTACTGGGGGAGGAAAGAACTTGGGGCTTGGATGGGAGGCCCAGGTGAGGCCCGGATCTTCTTATGGCCAGCCGTGAGGACTGGACATGATGCCTGGCAGTGATAACAGCTCCCTCGCGGTCATTGGCAAGACTAAATAACAGTCTATGCAGACGTGCTTAGGAAATTATAAGGTCTGAGGCAGGCCAGAGGGTCAGGTTAAGAGGGCAGCAACTAGGTGGCATCCAGGACAGGTTTGGCCTTTGTCCAGAGTGGCAGTGGATGACTCTGCCGTCGTCCCCGGCCCCCCACCAGGCCCTGCCATCAGCTACTCAGCTGCCTCGTCCCGTGAGAGCTGAGCCCCTGCCCAAGCTGGTGAGGCCTTCCCACAGCACACCCTGGAGAAGAGGACACTGCAGGAAGCTGCATGTGTTGTGGCCCAAAATCCTGACTGTCGCTCATCCTCCTGGGGTGGGCATGGATCAAGATTTGCCATTGGTGTCTCAGCATCAGCTGGAACTGAGAAGGGAGGGAGGTACTGTGTTGATTAATATCTGAGAACATTCATTCCAATAAAACTCCTTACTCCTAAACAAGTGGACAGCTGCAAGACCACATTTGATGGGACAGTCCAATTCAGAATGGCTAATATCAGTTTTGGATGTTCTCTCTCTCTCTCTCTCTCTTTCTCTCTCTCTCTCCCGCCCCCCATTCTCTTTCTCTCTCTCTCTCTCTCCATATATATATATATATATATATATATTTTTTTTTTTTTTTCTTTGAGACAGACTCTCACTCACTCTGTTGCCCAGGCTGGAGTGCAGTGGCTTGATCTCGACTTATTGCAACTTCCACCTCTCAGGTTCAAGTGATTCTCCTGCCTCAGCCTCCTGAGTAGCTGGGATCGCAGATGCATGCCACCACACCCAGCTAATTTTTGTATTCACCGTGTTGGCCAGGCTAGTCTTGAACTCCTGACCTCAGGTGATCTGCCCACCTCAGCCTCCCAAAGTGCTGGGATTAGAGGCGTGAGCCACTGTGCGCGGCCTCTTTCTGTATTTTTTATTGTAGTAAAACACACATAACGTAAAATGTGCTATTTCAGCCATTTGAAGTACATAGTTCTGTGACATTAAGTACACGCATATCATGCAGCCATCCACCACCATCCCTCTCCGGAGCTTTCTCCTCCTCCCAGACTGAAAGTCTGTACCCATTAAACTGTAACTCCCCACCCCCCCGCCCTCAGCCCCTGGCACCCGCAATTCTACCTTCTGTCTCTATTAATTTGACTATACTAGGTATCTCATAAAAGTGGAATCACAGGCCGGGCGCGGTGGCTCACACCTGTAATCCCAGCACTTTGGGAGGCCGAGGAGGGTGGATCACGAGATCAAGGGATTGAGATCATCCTGGCCAACATGGTGAAACCCCGTCTCTACTAAAAATACAAAAATTAGCTGGGCATGGCGGCACGTGCCTGTAATCCCAGCTACTCGGGAGGCTGAGGCAGGAGAATCGCTTGAACCCAGGAGGCAGAGGTTGCAGTGAACTGAGATCCCGCCACTGCACTCCAGCCTGGCAACAGAGTGAGACTCTGTCTCAAAAAGAAAGAGAGAGGGAAGGAAGGAAGGAAGGAAGGAAGGAAGGAAGGAAGGAAGGAAGGAAGGAAGGGGAATCACAGTATTTGTCTTTTTGCAATGGGCATATTTCACTTAACATAACATCCTCAAGGTTCAGCCGTGTTGGAGCATGTGTCAGAACTTCCTTTTTCTGGCTGGATGTTGCATTGTGTGGTTACAGCATATTTTGTTTATCCATTCGTCTCTCAGTGCACGCCTGGCCTGCTGCCACCTTTTGACTATTGCAAATAATGCTGCTATGAAGGTGAGTGTGCACACACCTGTTTGAGTCTCTACTTCATGCTTTTGATCTCTTTATATTTTAAGAGACAGTTTTTTGGATGTCACTTCTCATCAGTTCATTCCTGGGAAGCTCAGCTGGGAAGTTACTGGTATCTGTCTCATCCAAAAGGTTAAATCTTCCGGTGTCCTGAGTACACACCAGCAATTAGCAAACGCAGGACCACATTGAAATGCCTGTTGCTGAGATTGTTGTCAGCTAAATGATGGGTGCCGGGTAGATAACAGTGAGGTTGCATTTCACAAATGTGTCATCTGACTTTCAGAAACTTCCCATTTCATACCAACTATGATCTGACAGCACCAAAGAAGCTGCAACATGAACTAAGGTGTACCTAGCTTCAGAGAAGAAAAGTGTAAAAGGAACCTCTTTAATTCATTTCCTCACTGATCCTCGCTATTAAATACATTGCCATCAATTAACTTTTCTATTCTCTATTTGGAAATTTCCTTACTAAAGAAAATTCTATCTGATTCTTTCTAAGTAGACTATGAGGCACTATTAACCTAAGTTATACATGAAGGATTATTTCAAGAAATGGGAGGGAGGAGGGTGGCAGGATGGTGTTGGAAAGCGCTATGGTGTGTGTGGACAACAGTGAGTATGTGCAGAATGAGGACTTCTTCCCCACCCAGCTGCAGGCCCAGCAAGACGCTGTCAACATAGTATGTCATTCAAAACCCACAACAGGCCGGGCGCAGTGGTTCACGCCTGTAATCCCAGCACTTTGAGAGGCCGAGGCAGGCAGACCATGAGGTCAGGAGTTCAAGACCAGCCTGACCAACATGGTAAAACCCCGTCCCTACTAAAAATACAAAAATTAGCCGGGTGTGGTGGCAGGCGCCTGTAGTTCCAGCTACTTGGGAGGCTGAGACAGGAGAATCCCTTGAACCCGAGAGGCAGAGGTTGCAGTGAGCTGAGATTGCGCCATTGCACACCAGCCTAGGTGACAGAGCAAGACTCAGTCTCAAAAAAAAAAAAAAAATTAAACAAAATCCACAGCAACCCTGAGAACAACATGGCCCTCATCACACTGGCTAATGACTGTGAAGTGCTGACCACACTCACTCTAGACACCGGCCGCATCCTGTCCAAGCTACACACCGTCCAACCCAAGGGCAAGATCACCTTCTACACTGGCATCCACATGGCCCATCTGGCTCTGAAGCGCTGACGGGGCAAGAATCACAAGACGCATATCATTGCCTTCGTGGGAAGCCCAAAGGCAATGAGAAGGATCTGGTGAAACTGGCTAAATTCCTCAAGAAGGAGAAAGTAAATGTTGACATGATAAATTTGGGGGAAGAGGAGGTGAACAGAGAAAAGCTGACAGCCTTTGTAAACACGTTGAATGGCAAAGATGGAAGCGGTTCTCATCTGGTGGCAGTGCCTCCTGGGCCCAGCTTGGCTGATGCTCTCATCAGTTCTCCGATTTTGGCTGGGGAAGGGGGTGCCATGCTGGGTCTCGGTGCCAGTGACTTTGAATTTGGAGTAGATCCCAGTGCTGATCCTCAGCTGGCCTTGGCCCTCGGGTTTCTATGGAGGAGCAGCAGCAGCGGCAGGATGAGGAGCCCAGACGAGCAGCTGCAGCCTCTGCTGCTGAGGCCAGGATTGCTACAACTGGGACTGAAGGCTCAGACGAGGTCCTGCTGAAGATGACCATTAGCCAACAAGAGTTTGGCCATACCGGACTTCCTGACCTAAGGAAGAGGGGATTGCTTATGTCATGAAGATGTCCCTGCAGGAGCAGAGTTTGGCCAGGCGGAATCAGTAGACATTGATGCCAGCTCAGCCATGGACACTTGCCAGCCAGCCAAGGAGGAGGATGATTACGACGTGATGCAGGATCCTGAGTTCCTTCAGAGTGTCCTGGAGAACCTCCCAGGTGTGGATCCCAACAATGAAGCCATTTGAAACGCTGTGGGCTCCCTGGCCTGCCAGGCCACCAAGGATGGCAAGAAGGACAAGAAGGAGGAAGACAAGAAGTGAGACTGGAGGGAAAGGGTAGCTGAGCCTGCTCAGGGGACTGCATGGGACGCAGAGAATATAGGGTTAGATGTGTGTTATCTGTAACCATTACAGCCTAAATAAAGCTTGGCAACATAAAAAAAAAAAAAAGGAAATGGAACCTCTCATTTCCCATCAGGTTTATATCTGATCTTTCATTCATATCTGATGGGAAATGAGAGGCTCTCCAAGGTAGGTGGTGCAATTTTTGGACAGTGACTTGGTTTGCCTTTACTGTCTCTTCATTGTCACTTGTCTGAGGATGACAGGGTGTCCCGAGACAGAAAACAGGACAGAGCAGAGGATTGGGAAGGCACCTTGCTTTCGCTCTGTATTTGGAAATGAACTTGACTGCTGCGATCACTAGTGCAACATCTTGCTGTATTGATTAACCTGTACTCAGGTATCGCTGGTGACAGAAGTGATCCGTCTGATCCTAACGAAAATCAGAGCCTTGGCCAGGCACAGTGGCTCACGCCTGTAATATCAACACTTTGGGATGCTGAGGCGGGTGGATCACTTGAGATCAGGAGTTCAAGACCTGCCTGGCCAACATGGTGAAACCCTGTCTCTACTAAAAATACAAAAATTAGCCAGACATGGTGGTGCATGCCTGTAATCCCAGCTACTTGGGAGGCTGAGGCAAGAGAATCGCTTGAACCTGGGAGGCAAAGAGTGCAGTGAGCCAAAAATCACGCCACTGCACTCCAGACTAGGTGACAGACTAAGACGCCATCAAAAAAAAAAGAAAAACAAAATCACAGTCTCACTCCAAGTCATAGAAATAGTGGCAACTGTAAAGAACACATATGGCTGTCAGTGGGTGAAGTCTGTCCCCCAAAATGCATATTGAAGCCCTACCTTCTGGTGCCTGTGAATGTGACCTTATTTGGAAACAGAGACTTTGTGGATGTCATCAAGTTAAGATGAGCCCATTAGAATTGGCCCTTATCAGCCCAGTACAGTGGCTCATGCCTGTAATCCCAGCACTTTGGGAGGCCGAGGCAGGCGGATCACCTGAGATCAGGAGTTTGAGACCAGCCTGACCAACATGGAGAAACCCCGCCTCCACTAAAAATACAAAATTAGCCAGGCATGGCGGTGCATGCCTGTAATCCCAGCACTCGGGAGGCCAAGGCAGGAGAATCACTTGAACCCGGCAGGCGGAGGTTGCGGTGAGCCAAGATCACGCCATTGCACTCCAGCCTGGGCAAGAAAGAATGAAACTCTGTCTCAAAAAAGAAAAAAAAAAGCTTCTTAGAATTGGCCCTCATCTAATCTGACAGGTGTCCTTATAAGAAGAGAACGACGTGTGAGGAGAGACATGCAGGAAGACCACCATGTCATGAAAAAGGCAGAGATTGGAGTGGTCATGCTGGAAGCCAAGGAATGCCAAGGATTGCTGGCCACCACCAGAAGCTGGAGGAGGCCAGGAAGGCATCTACCCAGTCTCAGAGGAGCACAGCCCTGCTAGCGTCTTGGTTTTGGACTCTTGGCCTTCAGAACTGCAAGGCAACAGACAAATGTCTGTTGTCTCAAGCCTCCCAGCATGTGGCACTGTGTTACAGCAGCACCAAAACACCAATGCTCTGGCCAAGTTTCGGGGCTGTTCTCTTGGTGGAAAAGTAACCATCTCTTAAGTCTGAATTTGCAATTCACTGTTCACGTCAGAAAGTACAATCTTAAACCCAAGAACATGGGGCTTTTGAATCCAGAATCTAATGGACATGCATGCGTAAATAGAATCCGAGCCTCATGCTCTTCCTACCTCACTCGTCTTTGGGGCAGTTTTGTGGGATTTTCCTAAGGAAAGGGTCTATTTTTTGAAAACGGCCCCAAGGCCTACGGTTCTAAATCCAGACCGTGTCTGAGCATGGACAGTCTAGGTTCCTGTGTCCCTGCCGCCCAGTGGGGCCATAAGTCCTGCATCCTCCTCAGTGAAGGGCGGAGACTGCCCATCCCTGCAGTGGGTCCGTATCTGGCCCTGTCCCCCTTGGCTCCTTACAGGGCAAGAGAGGCTCAGAAGGTGCTTCTTTCTTTCTTTATTGCAATTGGCCTAGTTCTTGGCTTCTTTTCCTGCCTATATCACCAGCAGGGAGGGAAGGAGACTCCTCCAACAAGAAGGTCCCCACCCCAAATAGTGCCATTGTCAATGCCAGGAATCCAAAAGGTCTCAACCCACAAACCACAACACCCCTCTCCAGGAAGGGGTGACAAAAGCTCTCCTTCGGCAATACCTACGATGGATAAGGCACCACGCCGGGCACTTTGCATCCATCAACTCACACAGCTACATCATTACCAAACCTGGGCTCACCGTTCTTTTAACCAAAGATGGAGGATCCTTTTCCGAGGCTGACCTGCACTCCTAGTTGCCATGGAGAAAGAAGAAACCCTGGTTCCTTCACCGCATGGTTCCTATGAGGCCTCAGCAGCTGCCTTGTGCTTCTCTCTCTGGACCTCACGTGGCCTCTAGGCCTCACTGGACACAGACCCTGTGACCCCAGACAAAGGGTCAGGAACTTTCTGAGGCCCATTCCAGCAATTCCTGCTCAGAGAGACGCATGGTTTGAAACCACATGATGCATTTGTGCAGCCCTCCAGTTGTAACATTTGCCCAAGGGCTGTGAGCTGCGAAGCTAGCACTGGACCGGGCTCGCTCCTCAGGGCCTCCTGAACCCAGCGGCGCAGAGAGAGATGCAGACCCCGAGTCAGAAACAACACCACCTGGCCGTGCAAGGAGCTGATGCTGAGATGCAAGGGCTGCAGTGGGGCCTTGGGGAGAACTTGCAGCTGCCAACTCATTCTGGAGGTGGATACAGGGTAGTAACATGAGGCAGCGTAGTGGTAGGAGCCCACGAAGTGAGGCCAGTGTGCTCGGTTCAAACCCTGCCTCCACCACTTACAGGTGTATGACCTTGGGCGGGTGACTTCACTTCTCACAGTCTATTTTCCCATCCATAAAATGAGGTTAATAGGAGTACCTAAAGCAAAGGCTGTTTCAGGATTAAATTAGTAAATAGACGTAATATGCTTAAAACCACAGCTAGCACACAAAGAATGCTGCCTTTGTGTTCAGGACAATTGTGATTGTTGTTACTATTGACACAAGCAGTCTCCTTAGGTCAGACCTCTGCAAAGATATCACAGGCCTAGCACCAAGGTTTTCATGGAAGCGTCGTGACTTTCACAGGATATGCTGTTGATGAATAGAGCAAGGTCAAGTTTTACCACAACCTTTACTCTAGCAAGTTAGCTAAGGATCCACTAACTTCAGACTCAAGTTGTCAGCATGTGTGTCGCTCAAATCAAAGGGGACCCAAAACGGTAACCCAAACCCCAGGCATCTCTGCATACATAATTTTCCCTTCATTAATTTGTTTAGTCAACAAACTTTTGCCAGCTTCCTAATGTGTCAGACCCTAGTCTGGCTCCGTGAGAAATCAAAAAATGAATCAAGCTTCAAAGACCAGTTGAGATCAGAATAAAGGTGATCTATGTATCCATCCATCTATCCATCCATCCATCCATCCATCCATCCATCCATCCATCCGTCTATCCATCCATCCATCCATCCATCCATCCATCCATCCGTCAGTCTATCCATCCATCCATCCATCCATCCATCCATCCATCTATTGAAACATTGACTAACTTCCATCATACCCAGCCCATCAGGATAGTTGCTGCCCTAACTCAATGGGATGATTTTAGCAGTGTTAGGAAAATGCTCAAGACCTTCCTCTTCCAAATCCTCACTTACCCCTGATTGGCATTCGAAGTTTTACTATTAAATCTTTATTCCTTAGACTTAAAAATACCTCTTGGGAGGGACAAAATGTTGAGCCATTATGAGTCATTTACACCTTAGAGTTTAAAACCAGACCCAAGGGCAGACGTTGATGGAAGTTGGAGGAGCCAAGAGAAGAGTTCCCTGCCCACTCAGGGAGAGGATTGGGAGAGAAGGGCTGGAGACTCGGGACCAGCCTCTCTACCCCCTCATTTTCCCTCGCTCTGTGTGTGCCTGTGGCCCTGACCCTGAGAGGCAGGAGGGGAAGGTGTAGTGCTAGCCAGGCTCCCTGCTACTCATACGTGCTGGAGTCCAATAACTATTTGATGAACGAAGAACAAATCAATACCTTTCTATTTAGATTTCGTCACATCATGTTTCTGTGACTTTGCCCTCTGGTCCAGGAAACACTGTTTTATCCAAGAGGAGCCTTGGGCCAGGGTCACAGGTCAGGGAATTTTCAGGCTTCAGCCCAGAACAGGAATGACTTGTTCC
Organism: Homo sapiens; assembly: GCF_000001405.40. Classification (NCBI taxonomy): domain Eukaryota; kingdom Metazoa; phylum Chordata; class Mammalia; order Primates; family Hominidae; genus Homo; species Homo sapiens. Next base: position 36,481,679 of record NC_000021.9, on the reverse strand, counting down.
AAAGAAAATCAAGACTAATAAAGATTTCACAAAATATCTACAAAACAGAACGTTACGTCCATTTCATTCACTGTCACAGTGTAATATCCCTAAAAACTATCATAATATTTTAAAGCAATTTGGAGTTTACATTTTCTCTCTGCGGGGTTTCCTAATAATACACAACGAATGCCAAGAAATCAAAGCCAGTTGTAAACTAAATGTAATGAACTTGTAGCCAAATCATCTCAAAGACAAAGTTATAAAAAATAATTTCTAAAAAGTGCCCAGCATAAAATTATAGATAATATGGGCACATTTTACTATTATGCTGGTACCCCTATATATTCCAATATTCTTAAAATGGTGTTCAGCAAAGGCGATGATTCTATCTCCAAGTTAGTTCATTCCTTTAACAGTTTCATTTCAGCCTGTGTAACTGCTTTAGGTGGGGTGGAGGATCTAACGAAAAGGTCTATTTCGTTGTCAGGTAAAATTCTGCGTGGTTTTACGTAACTTTCCTGGCATAGATAGTGAAATAGTATATCTGGTGGGAAACCTCTAAGGATAGAGGATCTGGGCCTATAAATGACCTGAACCAAAGTTGTTTTTGTTTGTGACTGTTCACTTCCAAAAACAGACCAAAAAAGCTATGCAGATGTGGGTTATGTCAATCCTCCATCAATAACATTTAACAGATGCTTCCGAATGCCTGCTCCAAGCTCCTGACACTACTGGATGTGCTGTCTTTCTGTCCTTCACCGTCCCATTGCCAGGGACACAAGGGCCAGGCTTTTGGTCCATGCCCAGGGCGTTTGTCCACACCAGATTCCTTCGCTGCATCTTTTTTTTTAAACACCAACCAGAGCCCGGCGGATTGATGCACACTGTGGAAGACACGCAGAAGCCCAAGTAAGTCCCTGGCCCTGGAGCATTTGCGGTGTGCTCAGTGACGAAGGGGCGGAAATTCTTGTCATGTTAAATCCATGGCTCTCAGCACACTTCTCAATTCCAGAATCGCCCACAACGATTTTCAAAATTGAAAAGGAACTGGGATTTGTGCCTTGAGAGGGTCCCCAAACCTTGGAGCCACTCAGGGTGCTGGCTTTTGGCTACACATTCCCACCAAGAGATTTCATTCTTGCAATTTTCAAGGCCAAACATCTCTTAATCAGCGAATCATTCCTCAAAGGGCTGGAGGCGTTCCCAGCCCTGACCAGTTCCCTCAGCCACCCTCAGGTGCTGCCTTCACTTCCAGCAGAACTCTCCCTAGCCCTCCTGGACATCGCTGTCAAGCAAGTGTCTTGACCTTCCAAGAAAGTCACCTTCTTCCGTCAGCACTGGTTTCACAGTATGCCATGTCTCTTATCTCCAACTTGTAGCAAATTGTCCCTCTTTCCACACTGTGCTCCTTGACCCGTCCAGCTCCACATTCCACCAACAGACCATCCGAATCACCCACAGCTGCAGCTGTAGAAAAAAGCAAACAAACAAAAGCAGTTGCTCGTTGATCAGAATCGACCAGCATGCATCTAGGGCCCATAGCAGCCTAAAGGCTGAGAAGCTGAGTTACTCAATAGCAGAAAAGTCCAAAGCAGTGTGAGGACAACCGCCAGGTGGTGGCTCAGAGGAGGACACAGTCGCTGTGGGCAGGTGGTCAGGGCGCAGGAGGGAATGAGCTGTGGATTTTTAGTAATCTACAACAATCAGGCAGTTCCAGGACACAGGGAAGTGAGTGTGAACAGCCAATGGACCCGGAGCCGAGAGCCTGGGCAGGCGTAGGCTGGACTATGGACGCCCTGCAACCCTGCCAGGCTGGGAAGGGGAGGCTTGATCCTGAGCGCGTGTTAGGAAGGAGATGCCCAGGTTCAGGTGTATCGTGCATTTTTTTTCCACAGTGCAGAAATGACATTTCTGGTTGGTCTTGAATGTCTGCTCTGGCCAAGCCACCTCCTCTCATGCTAGCTAACCAAGTGGCACGTGTGCCCACGCAGGCCATTCTAAGGAACACTGTAATTGTCTAGACAATTTTCTCTCAAATACTCCGTCCTGGAAGCGTCTGGTTGGCAGAAGAGGGAAGGCAGGAGGGTGGCAGCGTCCCGGCTGAGTCCTCTTGCACATGGGAGCTGGAGTCCAGCCAGGCTCCAGAGCGGCTCCGGCTGGCAAGGGACCTGAACAGGAAGATGAGACTCGAGGTTTTCTGCATGTGAGTTTGGGGTGAAGCTGTGGATGTGGGGTGGGCGGGCTGGGGTTGACAGTCATCTGTTTTGGAAGCCCTTAGGCCCTGCCGGTTAGATGTGCATGCAGCCAGGGGTCCGAGCGTTCTCCAGAGGAAGGGACCGTGCTGGCCCCTACAGGAAAGGAAGCTGCAGGCTGGTCTGGGTGGCCTCCAGAGGACCCCACGCAGCTGGCATGAGGGCAGCCAGGCTCCTAATGAGCCAGGAACGACAATAATCCAGTTCCTGAGTGTTTGGGCAGAACTCTTTTCATCGCTTACCAGGCCTGTTTGGGAGGAAGGACTGAATCTGTTCAGTGTTTTGAGGCCACAGCTCAGCTCGGGGAGCTCAGCGCCACTGCCCCCTTCTGTCTGCTGGGACTCCCTCGTTTTTCTGCAAAGAGGGCCAGGCAGACTGTTCCGAGTTTCCAGACTTGGGAACATTCTCCTGCTCCCTAAATACACCCCTGCCCTCCAACACAGACACATATTGGCATGGCAGGAGAGGGGGGGAAGTGATAGATCTCTCTCAATGAGGGTAAAAAATGGTGCTGAAGAGGAGAAATGCCATGCAATTTGAGACGTGAGTTAATCCTTCAGTTACCTGGGGCCCCACATCCCCAACAGCTGCCACGGCTTCCCAGGATGGGCAGGAGGGACCCAGGCAAAATAGAAAAGGAACCAGGATTAGTGTCCTGAGACCGTCCCCAAACCTTGGAGTGCTGTCCTCACTGGCTTTAACTGGGTGCTGGCTTTAATTCCCGCAGTGTTCAAAGCCAAACATCTCTTGATCACTGGGTTTCATTTTTGAAGTCTTGGGAAACCAGAGGACAGTTCATCATCGTGTGCTTCCAGGGGCTGGGCCCAGGTCTGCTGTGAAAAGATGCTGTCATCTGAGCTCAGCGTTCATGCCCGTGTCTCTCAGTCACTCACTGGAGTTGGGGACGGGCTTATCTGTTAGGATGATAAAACTTCCATAGCATACGCCTTGCATTTGCTGGTATCTGTCCCAAAGGGCTTGTCAGTTTTTACATATATTATCTCAGCATCTTCTAGATGTCTCTGCAGAGGAGCTATTCCTATGTAGACAGTCATTCCTGTGTAGACAGTGAGTAATAGGCTGAGCAGCTTGCCCAAGATTAGTCAGAATTGAAGCCAGCGCCAGCCCCCATCCTTATCTGGCTCCAATCTGATTTGCATATCTCAAGCTTACTGTGTTTTATTTACCCATCTGTATAAAGGGTTCAATGCTTCTTAAGACATCTACAGAAAAATCTATAAAAAGGAAGACACGTAGATTCTTCCTTTGGTGCTATGAAAATGTCACTATTAAATATTTCCTGTTTTCCAGTTAGTTTTTAGTTTTTAGGTAAAGATCAATAAAATGGAATATGTCCATTATTGTTTTTAAAAAAATCATTCTGTTGCCTATATATCAGAAAAGATCTTTCATTACGCAGAGTAAGAAGTCTAAAAGTCTGTTTTCAAGGCTAGTGCCAATGTGTTTTTAAAACGCAGGTGGCCAGCCTTGCCAGTTCAGGAATGATTCTTGGCGTTTTCAAACTCAAACGTTCCTCCTTCCAGCTAATCTGTGGATTCTTCACTCGCACCATTTGCAGGACAAGTGGCTGCCAGGGCCAGGGACTTTTCACCGGGTGACCAACAGCAACATAGTGTGGGGAATTTTCTACTCTGGGCCATTTGCTGAGAGGGCTCCTGGGCCTAAGCTGCTACCACCTCCTTTATCTCTCCCTGTCGGGTGACTCTATAAAAAGACAGGAGAAGCTGAGGCTCATTCACTCACTTTGTCCACTTCATTCCCAAGAGAAGTGTCGGGGGGACCTGCCAGGCTTAGGGGAAGCTCTGAGCTGAGCCCCTTGTGCAAAGAGGCGAGCCACCCAGAGGCAGCTGTTCCCTTCTAGGCCTGGAAGTGCACATGCTCATCTACAGCTTTCTTGGAAGAAGAAAGAAACAAAAACTGAGATTTAGAACACCAGGTCTGTTTCCACTGGCGGCCACTCTTGGGCACTGGAGACCAGCAAGAGCTTTGTTTTTAAAAGGCTCTTCCATGGCAGATATTCGCAGAGGCATCAGGGCTACACTTAAATGAAGGTAAAGTAAACATATGAAACCATATTTTCGATTCTACAGAACACTGCAAGAGCGTCTCTGTTCCTTTCAACATTCTAACTCAATGCACTCATTGTTTTAAGGGGGGAAAATCCCAATGTCCAGTTCCCAGCATGTCCATAGCAGGCAGGGACAGCTTCACAGGCACATGATCTGTGCAGTTACAGGGAGCCCCGTGCTCAGACAGGCTTGCACTTGGCTTGATGTTCTGCAGACGCCATCTTGACATTCTTAATAATTTCTGAACAAGGGGTTCTGTATTTTCATTTTGCACTGGGTTCTGCAAATTATCTAGCAAGTCCTGAGAGCAGGCAAAGGTAACCTACAGGGCCTGGTACTCTTCAGAGCAAATGCACAATCTGGCCACTGTGTGTATGTCTAAAGGCTAAGCCACACCTGCCATGCACTACTTTAGCTGCAAGGCCTTTGCTTACACAAGGATTTCTGCAATCTGAAATCTCATACCTGACCCAATTAATTCTAAATGTCTTTATATCAAACTATCACAGGCTTTTCTGGAAGACTCACCCAATCATTCTCACCACTGTGAGTGTATGCTTTGGGGCCTGGGCCAGGAGGAGATTTGTTTTCAAAGGTCATCCATGGGCCGAGGGCAGTGGCTCACGCCTACAATCCCAGCACTTTGGGAGTCCAAGGCGGGTGGATCATGAGGTCAGGAGTTCGAGACCAGCCTGACCAACATGGTGAAACCTGGTCTCTACTAAAAATACAAAAATTAGCCAGACATGGTAGCAGGCGCCTGTAATCCCAGCTACTCAGGAGGCTGAGGCAGGAGAATCACTTGAACCTGGGAGGCGGAGGTTGCAGTGAGCTGAGATCGCACCACCGCGCTCCGGCCTGGGTGACAAAGTGAGACTCTGACTCAAAAAAAAAAAAAAATAGTCATCCATTAAAATATAAATGCCTGTGGGGTAACTTCTTGGCCAAGATTAACAATGAGGGAGGCTCAGTGCCCACAGTGGGCTGGGGTCCCAGGAAGAGGACCCAGGTTGTAAGAACAGGCTTCCGTGGGGCTCTGGGAAGGTAAGAGCCAGAAGGCAGCAAGATAAATAAAGAACCACCCCCCCAACCACTTTTTCTAGATGGCAGAAGGCAAGGGTGCAGGGCCACAGGAGGGAAGGTAAGATTGTAGCTGGAGAAGAGGATTTCAAGCGAAGGGAGTGGGAGAGCCTAGCCTTATGGGTAGGTGAGACAATATTCCAGGGACAGGCCAGAGACACCTGTCTCCATCTCAGGAGATCCCAAAGAGAGCCTGCACTCAGCAGGCAGGCCCAGCAGAACAGACATCTGAACTATGACTCTCTGTTAAACCGTTTTGGACTCTTTAAAGCTCCTAATAGGACCTTTAAAAGTTACATCAGGCCAGGTACGGTGGTGGCTCATGCCTGTAATCCCAGCACTTTGGGATGCCGAGGAGGGCAGATCATTTGAAGTCGGGAGTTTGAGACCAGCCTAGACGGAGTGAAACCCCGTCTCTACTAAAAATACAAAAATTAGCTGGGTGTGGTGGCGTGCACCTGTAATCCTACTGTGCTCCAGCCTGGGTGACAGAGCAAGACTCTGTCTCAAAAAAATAAAATAAAATAAAATAAAAAAAGTTAAATCAATGAAGCCAGCGGGGCTGGGTGCAGTGGCTCACACCTGAAGTTCCAGCTACTCGGAAGGCTGAGGCGGGAGGATCACTTGAGCTCAGGAGGTCAAGGCCGCAGGGAGCCGTGATTGTGCCACTGCACTCCAGCCTGGCCAACAGAGTGAAAAATAATTTTTAATGAAATAAATAAGCCATTGGTTCTCAAACCTGCCTGCACATCAGAATCACCGGGTGGGGGAGAGGAGCTCGAAAATTCCCATGCATGGACCCCACCCCAGTCAGCGAATCAGAATCTCTGGAGGTAGCCAGGGCATCCGGATCTTTTTAAAGCTCTCCAAGGGCTGCGGCTACAGCAGGAGGGTGGAGAGCCACTGATCCAGGTGACTTCTCCACGATGAACAGACCTTCTCTATTGTCCTCAATGTCCCTCCATCCCAGCTTTGACGCCACGGCCCGCCATGATGTTCACACCTTTGTGTGCACGCATATTTCCCTTGGCTGTCTGCCTTCATCATTTTCCCCTAGGAAAATCCCCACCAGGTCCAGTCCAGCCCTTTGTCCACTTGGGACCCTCGCAGTGCAGTTGATGGTGCTGGGAAAGGCTGTCCGGCGTGATAGTCTATGGTACCCGCAGGACCACTTGCCCCACCTGCACCCGGCACTGACTAGCACTTGACCCCTTGACTTGGTCCAGGCCTGCGGTCATTCTCCTGGATGACCATGGTCTCCTCCTCTGTGCTCAAGCCTCCCGCACCTCCTCCCCCATCTCCTGTCTCAAGACATCATGTTGCTTCTTATTTCCCTGAGAAACTTGGAGCAAACTCAGAACATGCGTTATTGCCCACTGACATCTCCCCCAGCCTCCTGCTCCCGCCTCCCCTCCCGTTCTGGAGTGAGTTCTCTGCATGCTGGTCAGAGCTGGTCTCTCCATGTGCACACAGGATCCCTACTGCCCCTACAGATGTTTCCCTCCTCGCTGAACCATTTCCTCAGGCATGCAAACATGCTTCCATGCCTCTCATCTTCAAAACAACAGCAAAACAAGGGTCCTCTCTTGCCTACACATCCCACTGGCAGAGGTTTCTAACTCTTTTGGTTTAGTTTTTTGTTATCGGTGTTGTTCTGGGTGGCGGGATGGGGATTGCCTGGGATTCCTTTGGCAATCTGGCGAAGCTGATGTATTCTTCTCAGCACAATACTTTTAAATGTGTAATATAACACATAACATGCAGGATTATAAAGGAAGTGAATTATAGTAAAACATAGTTATCAAAATATTTTAGTGCAATTCTGTTCCTAGTAATGGACGACCTTCCTTATTAATGCATTACATCATGAGGTCTAGCAAGCATCTTATAAGTATCATTTGAAATTGTTAGAGTGATAAATGTCCTTTGCAGGTATCTGCAACGCCTGTAATGCGATGCAAAATATCATGGTCTCTATTGCTGATTAAGGCACAGGCACTGGTCATATTGCTGTAGGTGGCTGCCTACATTCAGGATTGAAGGAAATGCTAATTGTCAGTGAGAGGTAGATGAAATAGAAGATGTCACTTTTTTTCCTGGCTGAGTTGACAGATATCCTGAGGTCTATGGGCCCTGGAACCCATCCTAAAACTGTTGCCTCATTTCCTGATTCCCCTGGAGGGTCCAAGTTCCTGAAAGAATTCTCTGGGCTCATTCCCTCCTGTCCCTCTGTCCCTATTCTCTCTTGAACCCACTCCAATCAACTCCGCCGAAACTGAGCTTATCAAGGTCTCCAATTTCCTTCATGTTGCTAATCCAGTGACCACTTCTCAGTGCTCAGATGACTTGATTTATCAGATTACTTGACTTGACAGAGTAGATTGCTCTCTCCAACATGGAGCTCTGTCCTCCCTCACCAGTCTCCTCTGGGTTGACCGTTCACTATCGCCCATTCCTACAGCCCGTGGCTGGCTCCTCTTCCTACCTCTATCCTCATCCCTCCCCTGATGTTGGAGGGTTCCTAGAATCAGCCCTGGAGCCCCTGCTCCTCTCTATCTAACGTTCCCTCCTAAGAGACTCCATCCCATATTTTAATCCCATCTCCATGCGGTGGTGACACAAACAGACTTCTCCAGTTCAGTCCCTCCCTGAACCCTGCACTTACATATGCAACCATGGTTATCCCCAGGTGGGTAGGCACAGACATCTCAAACTGAACAAGTCCAAAAGAAAATTCCTCTCTTCTGCCCTTCATCCTCTGTATCAGTCAGAGTTCTCCAGAGAAACAGAGCCAATCGAATATGCATTTATATAGAAAGAGATCTATTTATTCTAAGGAATTGGCTTGCATGATTCTCAAGGCTGGCAAGTCCAAAATCTGCAGGGTGGGCCAGGCACAGTGGCTCACACCTGTAATTCCAACAGCCTTGGGAGGCCAAGGTTGGAGGATTGCTTAAGCCCAGGAGTTCAAGACCAGGCTGGGCAACATAGTGGGACCTCCATCTCTATAAAACATTTTTAGAAATTAGCCAAGTGTGATGGCACATGCCTGTAGTCCCAGCTACTCAGGAAGCTGAGGTGGGAGGATCACTTGAGCCTGAGAGATCAAGACCAGCCTGGGCAATATAGCAAGAGCCCATCTATAAAATGAAATTCTGCAGGGTGGGCTAGCAGTTTGGAGACCCAGGATCACGGACACTGCAGTTTCAGTTGGAAGGCAGCCTGCTATAGAGCTGAGAAGGGCTGATGTTGGAAATAAAGGTCAAACACAGTCTGTTGGAGAGAGTTTCTTGCTCAGGTGAAGCTGCATGTTATGGACTAAACATTTGCATTCTCCCAAAATTCCTATGTTGGAGCCCTAAGCCCCGATGTGATAGTATTTGGAGACGGGACATTTGGGAGGTCATTAGGGTTCAATGAGGTCATGAGGGTGGGTGCCCTCACAATGAGATTCGTGCTCTAAAAAGAAGGGAAAGAGAGAAAGATTTCCTCTGCCTGCATGCAAAGAAGACGTCAGGTGAATTTCCACCAGGAACCCAAGCAGCCAGAACCTTGGTCTTGGACTTTCCAGCCTCCGGAATTGTGAGAAAATTAATTTCTGTGGCTTAATCCAGCAAGTCTGTGGTATTTTGTTGTGGCAGCCTGAGCTGATGGAGACACCAGTTTTTTCTGGTTCCAGTCTGGCCTTCACCTGACTGGGTGTGGCCCACCCACACTATGGAGGGCAATCTGCTTTCAATGTTAACCTTGTCCAAGGACTAACTTCACAGAAACATGAAGAATAGTGTTCAATCATATATCTGGGCACCCCATGGCCCAGCCAAGTTGACACAAAAAATTGATCATCACATCCTCCAAACCCAGATCTCCAACCCTCTTCAAGCTCTCAATAAGTGGCAACTCCATTCCTCCAGTTGCCCAAGACAATAACCTTAGGCACCTGTGTCTCACACCCCGCAGCTAAACCATCAGCACATCCCGCTAGCCTCACCTGAATATAGAAACTGACCTCTTCCTGGCACCCACCTTTATTTCCACCACCTTGGCTCGGCCTCCTGGCATCTCTTACCTGAAAGATCACAAGAACCTCCTGTTTGGTCTCCCTAATTCAGCCCAGACGTAACCTTGGACAAGTTATGTAACCTTTCTACACTTCAGTTTCCCTATCTGTAAATAAAGATGGCAAAATGCGCATTGCGATTTGTTTAAGAGTTCATTGCATGCCCACAGAAGCACTTAGCACATGTTTGGCATATCATAAACACTCTGGAACTTTAACTATGACTGTTTTTACTCTTATCATTAACAACTAACTGCTTTGGAGCACCTGGGCTTCAAAGGCTAAATTTACAGAGAATGAGTTTTAAACCTCATGTTTAATAGTATTTTCCTTACCATTAGAAAATCTTAGCCTTATGTTTTCATTTGACACATTTTAACCACTGCAGTTTATCCCCAGTTCAATTCTCAAGTAAATAATTTTCAGAGGCTTACGAAATTCACAGAATAGTTGTCTAATTCATGAAGGTTTTCAGCCAGGTGTGACAATGTCCTATTGCTTGTTTGGGGTTTGCTTTCTTTTTCTATTTTGCTGTAAGTCCTGACTAAAGGCGGAGCCTAGTGGGCTCTGCTGGATTTCCAAGGTAAAGCTTCAGCAGGCTTCTGAGTCACCTTATTCAAATCTGGACTCTGCCCCAAATTTGGGGCTTTTATGCTCTATGAAATCAAGACATGTTGACTTAAGAAAACCAGACACCCAGCCTGAAAAGGTCAGTCACCAATTATACCCCAGCCAATTGCACACAAGCTGGAGACATGAGCCCCCCCAAACTCTCTGTGAGCTAAGTGAATTCACACACTTTTTAAGCCTGGAGAAGCTGAGTCATTTGATTACTATATGGCTTACTTACTATAGATTGTGTTTGCACTTGAATTTTCAAATTTGCAGGGGACTTTCCAGATTCTTCTTTCTCCATGTCCTCTACCTTTTCCTTAGATTTTGTCCTCCACACTTTGAGACATGAAGCTAACCATGGCTTTGTTTTTTGTTTTTATGTTTGTTTGTTTTTTGTAGAGACAGGATCTCACTATGCTGCTCAGGAATGGCCTCGAACTCCTGGAATCATGCAGTCCTCCCACCTTGGCCTTCCAAATGTTGAGATTACAGGTGTGAGCCACTGCACCTGGCCTGTTTTTATCAATGACAAATGTGAAGCCACCAGATCACACTCAATGCCTGTCCTGGAAGGGGACGCAGTTCTTATAATCACAAATGAGGTTTTTTTGTTTGTTTGCTTTTTGAAATACGATGTTGCTCTCTCACTCAGGCTGGAGTGCAGTGGCACAATCTCTGCTTATTGCAATCTATGCCTCCCAGGCTCAAGCCATCCTCCCACCTCAGCTTCCAAAGTAGCTGGGATTATAGGCTTGAGCCACCATGCCCAGCTAATTTTTTTTTATTTTTAGTGGAAATAGGGTTTCACCATGTTGACCAGGCTGGTCTTGAACTCCTCAGCTCAAGTGATCCTCCCACCTCAGCCTCCCAAAGTGTTGGGATTATAGGCCTGTGCCATGGGGCCTGGCCGAGCATTTTCTCTGTAATTCCCCGTGCCACCATTCAGCTACTCTGCTGTGTTTGTTTCCTGGGGCTGCCATGACAAAGCACCACAACCTGGGAGGCCTGAAACAACAGAAATTTATTCTGTCATGATTCTGAAGGCTGGAAGCTTGAAACTAAGGTGTGGGCAGGCTGGTTCCTTCCAGGGCTGTGAGGGAGCATCTGTCCTGGGCCTCCTGCTGGGCCTCTGCGGGTTGCTGGCGATTCTCCGCGGGTTGCTGGCGATCCTCCACATTCCTTGACTTGGTAACTTCTCGCTCCACTCTCTGCCTCCGTCTGCACATGTTCTTTCTATCTCCGTCTTCATATGCCCATCCTCTTATAAGGACACCAGCCCTATTGGCTTAGGGGCCACTCTATTTTACGTATGACCTTATCTTAACTAATTACATCTGCAATGACCCTATTTCCAAATAAGGTCACATTCTGAGGCACTGGGAGCAGGGAAGACTTCAACATATCTCTTTTGGGGGACCAGGTCAATCCATTGCATCCCCTAGATAAAGTGTTCCCACAGAACACTTAACCATAAGTCATCCAACAATCAGCTAAGGCTTGAGGAAATGTTTGTATGTCCACCTGGGTTTTTTGGGGTATTGTTTTTTTGTTGTTGTTTTTGTTTTTGTTTTGTTTTACTTTTCTAGTATTTTTTTTAATCTCAGATGACAAGTTTTTAATGACCTGCACCTTGAAAAATGAAAAACAACAACAACAAAAACAGCAACATAGCAAACCTGCCTGACTGTCTTGTCGGGAAAAATCGCTCTGAAAAGGCACTCATGTATTTAAGTAAATGAAACTCATTTCATTTCTAAATGTTGATCTACTGCATTTTAAATGAATTCTAATGAAATTTGGTGAGTTGAAATGAGAGAGATAATGCCTCCAGAAAGGGTTTTAATTTTTGTGGTCATGGTGACTTAAGTTTGTAGTTTTCGGTAAATCAATAGGTCATTCAATCTTACTGAGTTGAAAATAGCCTCTGTTAGCATTTAACTGCATCCATGGTTTTCATTTGTATTCACATAAACTTTTCTTCGAATCAGTTCTTGTTATAAAAAAATAGATTTTTATTTCTTCATCCAAAAGAGACAGGAGGAATTCATGGAACGTGTCATTTCCGTGTGATTTTGAGTAAGATACTTCACATTGGTTTTCCTAAATAACAATAGCAAGCAGTAACTATCATGATAGTAATAAGTCGTAGTCACGTAAGTATCCCGTCTCTGCCTCTCATGGAAAGAGTGCATCAAAGACTCTATGCGGATGGTATAGAAAGTCCTCACACATTTAAAATCTAGATGCCTGCCAGTCTGAAAAATAACCCAAGGAAAGTTACAGAAAGTTTGGAATAGTAATGAAGAAAATATTATTTTTAGAGCCAACACCCCACAGTATAGCCCATGTGAAATGAATATGAAGTGGTTTTTCCAAGGTATTGCTTGATCGCTTTCTCATCATTCTTACATATTTCTGTAAGAAGATGTGCTAAAAATAGCCCCTCTAAAGTATCCCTAAGCTTCTTGAAAAGATATGCGTTTGTTTCGCACATGATTAAGAAACACAGTGTCCAAGATGCCCTTAGGAAATACTAGCTGAGTCCGGGCACAGTGGCTCACACCTGTAATCCTAGCACTTTGGGAGGCAGAGGTGGGTGGATCACTTGAGGCCAGGAGTTCAAGACCAACCTGGCCAACATGGTGAAACCATCTCTCTACTAAAAATACAAAAATTAGCCAGACGTGGTAGTGGGGGCCTGTAATCCCAGCTACTCTGGAGGCTGAGGCAGGAGAATCACTTGAACCTGGGAGGCAGAGGTTGCACTGAGCCAAGATCGTGCCACTGTACTCCAGCCTGGGTGACAGAGCGAGATTCTGTCTCAAAAAAAAAAGAAAGAAAGAAAGAAAGAAAAAGAAAAAAGTAATACTAGTTGAAGTTACTTCATGCAGATACATCATAGCGTAAGAGTTACTTTCTTTTCTCTGTGTTAGGTAGTTTTGCTAATATGTCTTATCTAAATGAATCCAAATCTCCCCTGAGTTTATTTTTAGTTCCTAAATTCAAGCATTTATGATTTTGTTTATTTTCTTTTGTTTGAGACAGAGTCTCACTCTGTCACCCAGGCTAGAGTACAGTGGTGCAATCTTAGCTCACTGCAACCTTCAAGCGATTCTCCTCCCTCAGCCTCCAAGTAGCTGGGATTACAGGCATGCATCACCACACCCGGCTAATTTTTGTATTTTTAGTAGAGACGGGGTTTCATCATGTTGGCCAGGCTGGTCTCAAACTCCCGACCTCAGGTGATCTGCCCACCTCAGCCTCCCAAAATGCTGGGATTACAAGTGTGAGCCACCATCTCCAGCCTAAAGCATTTATGAAATAGCTAAACAGTAATGAAGAGGCCATTTGGTTGGGGTGACAGTGAGGACATTCAGGTTTTTGAACCAGACATTTTCTGAAGTGGCTGAACATCAACGTTGAAGGGCCAATGACTATGTTCATTTGAAGGTGGCACTTCATTTTTCTCTAATAAGTTTACAGAAAGCAAATCAAGTTTTACGCTGTTTCTATAATGGACCCAACATCATGTCAGAGCATTTGAGGGCAAACATATATAATGGCTCGTTCCCAAACATCTCGAGAGCCATTCAGACCACATGGCAGGCAAAAGGCACTGGTGGCCACATCCTCCAATTCTCTACCTGCACAGTAGGGCTCAGGGCAGTTCTGGGTAAAGAAACTTCCACCACACACCTGGCTTGTGCCCCAGCTCCCCGCTGATGTCCTCCACCCCTCCCATCTGGGGCTGACATTTCTTTCACCAAGGTGGGTAGACAAGGGCCACGGAGCAATGTGTGTCCATAGGAAAGCTTTCATCACAGGGGCTGATTTTGCAAGGGATGAGGTGACAGTAGCAGGTGAGACTGCTGAGGGTTAAGGAGAGTAAGGGACTCAAACACCCCACCCATCCCATCCCTGCACCCCTCCAAGAAGCCTGGTCTCATATGCAGCATCCATTAAACTTATTTGACTAGAGACACCCCCCACCACCGCCTTTACCAAAGAAGAACTTGCAGTAAAATCACTTTGGCACAGTCACTTGGACCAATGGTGAGATAGGGTGGCCTCGTCCCACCCCCGCACCCCTCCAAGAAGCCTGGACTGACAGAGGCCCCAGCACACACCCTGAAGAACTAGAGAAAGGACTTCTGAAGATAGGACAAAGTGAAGGATGAAACAGACATGCCCAGGGAGGGACCCCAGGCAGTCAAGACGCAGGCTGGTAAACAACACGTCCACCCCTCAGTCCTGGCCAGGCGATCCCCATGGCCACTGCTGTTGAAATGATGATTAATTTGGAGCCAAAGTTGACGCAGCTGGGGTCCAGGTGGGCCAGGAGGTGAGCAAAATGAGGGCACCCTACTGTGTGCTCCAGAACCCTGCTTTTTTAAAGAAAAACATAGCTCAGAGAAAACAGAGGGAGACAACATAAAAGTTTATATGGACACACACAGAAAAACCCCCTCCCTTCAGAGCTGGTGATCCTGAAACCAGAGCCAGTTGGAAGGGCCTATAGCAGCTCTAGCATTTCACAATTGCCTTTCACAGATTTTCAAAATTCTTTACCGCTCTGTCGTTTTCTGATACTCTCTCTGCTGGGGATGAAGTCGACCAAAACTCTAAGGTTTAATGACTGCCCTATTGGATTTCGAACTTGCATGGGGCCTGTAGCCTCTTTGTTTTGGTCAATTTCTCTCATTTGGAATAGGGGTATTTACCTAATGCCTGTACCCCCATTCTATCTAGGAAGTAACTAATTTGCTTTTGATGTTGTAGATTCATAGGCAGAAGGGACTTGCCTTGTCTCAAACGAGACTTTGGACTTGGACTTTTGAGTTAATGCTGGAATGAGTTAAGTCCTTGGGGGACTGTTGGAAGGACATGATTGTGTTTTGAAATGTGAGGACATGAGATTTGAGAGGGGCCAGGGCAGAATGATATGGTTTGTCTGTGTCCCCATCCAAATCTCATCTTGAATTGTAGTTCCCATAATCCCCACGTGTCGTGGGGAGGGACCCAGTGGGAGGTAATTGAATCATGTCGGTGGTTTCCACCATGCTATTCTCATGATAGTGAGTAAGTTCTCATGAGATCTGATGGTTTTATAAGGGGCCTCACCCTCGGCTCAGCCCTCATTCTTCTCCTTCCTGCTGCCATGTAAAGAGGATGTGTTTGCTTCACCTTCTGCCAGGATTGTAAGTTTCCTGAGGCCTCCCCAGTCCTGCGGAACTGTGAGTCAATTAAACCTCTTTCCTTTATAAATTACCCGTCTCGGGCAGTTCTTCATAGCAGCATGAGAACAAACTAATACAGCAACCCACTCTATCTCACCATTGCCAAGTCCAAGTTATTGTGCCAAAGTGATTTCATTGCAAATTGTTCTTTGGTAAAGGGGGTGCAGGGGGGTGTCTCTAGTCAAATAAGTTTAGCGGATGCTGCCCATGAGACATTTCCTGGGAGAGTCACGATGCACATTGACACGTTTCCAGCTATGAGAAGTCCTACAGTCACGCAGGTTTTCTTAAACATATTTGACATTTGTGTCCTCCACACAAGACATCCTGCAAATGCAGCATTCCAAGATGCTGTCGTTGGGAAACTCAGCCCTAAATCCTGCTCTCAGGTGCAGCTAAGCCACATACTCCCCACCCAGGATTGTACTTTTGGGGTTTTGTGAACCCAAATGCAGGACCCAGTACTGATCCTCTAACACATCTTGTTAGATTCTGCCTTCCCACCACTACTCAGCCTGTCGAGGGCTTTCTAGAGCTTGATGCTTGGAACCCTATTTGTTTTGGATCCGTATCTCTCTAGCAAATCTTCCCACATGCACACACGTGGCTGCAGGAAAATGGTAGCCCACAGGTGAACACCAGTTCAGCCCTGCATGGGCTGCTCCCCCTGGGAGGCCAGGCTTGGGCTAGTTCCTTCCTATACAAACAGCCCTGCAGGGCAGGGCGCTTCCGGAGCATCACGGAGGAATTTTATGTGGCTTCCAGGGAGATGCGTTCAGTTAAAGTTGTTTTTCCCTTGAAAGGCCCCAAAGTGAAAAGTAGTTGCGGGGAAGTTGAATTATTACCTAATGCCAGTAGCAGCTGCTGGTAAGGAAGAAGGAAAGCAGGTTGGGGAGCTTGTGTCTGGGAGTTGGGGGCTCATTAACACTCACTTCTTAAATTAGCAAATCCTTATAGCACACGTTTAAAAATAGCAACCTAATGGTTTCTAAAATTAGCCATCATTGCTCTCCATAAATATTTAGACCTCCAATAAACCTCTGGTCCACTTGCCTAGCCTAATGGGCTTGGCTTTTATGCCACATTCTTTAGGGTCTGTATACTTAATTATTGACCTTGACAGTGAGAGCTGCAAGAAGCCCCATTATGCTTGGACCAGGGACACCCTGTGTGGCCGTCAGCCTTGAGGCAGCCTCAAAGCAGGGCAGGAAGAGATCTCAGAGGCCATTCGGAGATCTGGGCACCTGGAGGAGCCTCTGGTCCTGGTTTCCTTGGGACTGTCTTAGTTTCAGCCCTGAAGGTCCCTGTCCTGGGCAACCCCTCAGTCCCTAGCAAAGCAGGGCAGTTGGTTGCCCTGGCTGCCCAAACCACTGCAAAAGGGGCAAGGCCATTGTTCTGAGATCTCTGTGGGAAGGAGAATCTGTTGCTCACACCATCCCTCAGCCCTTACACTAACTTCAGTCCTATGTCATTGAAGCAGGTAGTGTTTCTTAAAGGGGAAATGACAGCAAGGAGAACACTAGCCAGGCCAGGCACAGAACTTTCATCCTCTGCTCCTCTCGTTTCCCCATGTGTAAAAAGGGGATGGTAACAGTCACTGCCACATTAGGTTGTTGGGAATAAACTAGGAAATGTGTCAGTGTTCAAACCATGCTCAGGCTCAGTCAGCTGGTGCCATCGGTGTGCTCAGGGTGCAGGGTGGGTCCGCTGGCACCCCCTCTGGCTGTGCCTATCAGGGTGGCCACCTTGGCCTTGTTGCCAGCACCTCCCCCAGGGCAGTGAGCATAGGACAGCCGGCCCCGGTCCTTCTCTGGCCAGCAGGGACTGTGATGGCGTCCCTAGCCCCTGGACAGAGTGAGTGCTTGCTGAGTGGAGGGAAGAGAGGCTTTGTGCAAAGCCAGCATCGTGCATAGTGCGTGTGGCAAATTCTGGGCTGTGAACAAATAGTCACCCAAAGCAGCAGCAGAAAAACAGCAGCAGAAAAATACTCGGTGTATCAGTCCGTTCTCGCAATGCAACCTGAGTCAAAGAACTACCTGAGACTGGTTAATTTATAAAGAAAAGAGGTTTCATTGGCTCTCACAAGCTGTACAGGAAGCGTGGCTGGGGAGGCCTTAGGAAACTTACAATCACGGCAGAAGGCAAAGGGGAAGCAGGCATGACACGGCCGGAGAAGGAGGAAGAGAGAGAGGGGAGCAGGCAGGTGCTGCACACTTTTAAACAACCAGATCTCGTGAGAACTCACTCACTATCACAAGAAGAGCAAGGGGGAGGTCCACCCCCGTGATTCATTTGCTTCCCACCAGGCCCTTCCTCCAACACTGGGGACTGCCATTCGACATGAGATTTGGGTGGGGACACAAATCCAAACCCTATCACCTGGACACACCTTCAGTCCACTCCGTGTCCTGTGAGGCACCACGTTGTTTTGTTATTATTTATTTTTGTTTGTTCATTCACCAGGACAGAACCAATTACCTCCTACAATGCCAAAGTATTTAAACCCAGTATATGTTTTTAAATTAGCAAGATGATGGTTTAGACTCCCAGTGGAAGCATCAGTTATTAATTATTTACTTACCAAGTGATTTACATCTAGTAGAGGATTTATTTATTGATTTATTTTATTTCATTTTATTTTATTTATTTTTCAAGACAGAGTCTTGCTCTGTTGCCCAGGCTGGAGTGCAATGGCATGATCCAGTCTCACTGAAACCTCCGCCTCCCGGTTCAAGCGATTCTCCTGCCTCAGCCTCCTGAGTAGCTGGGATGACAGGTGCACACAACCATCGATCAGCTAATTTTTGTATTTTTAGTAGAGGCAGGTTTTCACCATGTTGGCCAGGCTGGTCTCAAACTCCTGACCTTAAGCGATCCACCCGCCTTAGCCTCCCAAAGTGCTGGGATTACAGGCGTGAGCCGCCGAGCCCCGATGGGGATTTCTTGACAATGTCCCAGGGTCTCATGGGCAACACCCTGCAGACCCGCTTTTCCTGCCTGCAGCCTGCACTGCTTAACTGAGGCTCAGCTCTCTGCAGAAGAAGAAGCAGGTTTTGCCTACTGATTCTTTGC
Organism: Homo sapiens; assembly: GCF_000001405.40. Taxonomy (NCBI): domain Eukaryota; kingdom Metazoa; phylum Chordata; class Mammalia; order Primates; family Hominidae; genus Homo; species Homo sapiens. The sequence continues at coordinate 36,463,291 of NC_000021.9, read as the reverse complement.
TGGTTTGGGACGCTGAAGTGACTTGTCATCAGCAGAGACGCTTCCCTTTTCTCCCTTCAGAACCAAAAAAGAAGCTGAGCCCCAGGTCGCCCACTGGATGGGCGCAGCCAGGGCTGGGACCTCCTAATGCTCGCTGCTAATGCCCGGTCTCGCTGATTACCTTGCCCCAGGCAGGAGAGAAAAGCTAGTGGTCCACTCAAGACTTCCACTCCCTTCCTTTTCTGCCTTCATCCCTTCCTTTTTTTCCTTCCTTTCTCTGTGCTCCCCCTTCCTTGCTTTCTCCTTCCTCCCTCCCTCCTCTTCTTCCCTCTCTCCTTCCTTCCTTCTATATTTCCTAGTGTTTTTTTTTGTTTGTTTGCTTGTTTTGTTTTTTTGAGACGGAGTCTTACTCTGTCGCCCAGGATGAAGTGCAGTGGCGCGATCTCGGCTCACTGCAACCTCAGCCTTCCTGGTTCAAGCGATTCTCCTGCCTCAGCCTCCCGAGTAGCTGGGATTACGGGATGCCTGGCTAATTTTTGTATTTTAGTAGAGACGGGGTTTCACCATGTTGGCCAGGCTGGTCTTGAACTCCTGAACTCAGGTGATCCACCTGCCTCGGCCTCCCAAAGTGCTGGGATTACAGGCGTGAACCACCGTGCCTGGCCCTTAGTGTCTTCTATATGCCTGGCCCTATGTTGATGCTGGGTCCTTGTCCCGAAAAAGTATCCTGGATTTTGGTATGCTAAGAATTCTTTAAAAGCCTTTGAAAGGGCTCAGCATTCCCATATCCCTGAAAGCCAGGTAGCAGCCTCTGTTTTATAATAAAGTCACCCTCGGACAGCCCTCACCAGTCACAAGCAGGCATAGTGAATGGGGAGCGTGTTGGGAGCGGAGGTCCGTGCTGGAGAGGAGGGATGCTGGCCCGTGCTCCTGCCGCAGCTCCTGAGGAGCTGTGACCTTGGAAATTCCTGCCCCGGCATCAGCTGACAATCTCTAGGTCACATCCAGCTCTGGAATTCTGAAGGCAGCATCTGACTTGCCGAGGGGACTAAACCTCTCCCTGCCCGAGCACGTGGGTGGGGAAGTTGCCTACTTCAGAAAACCCCTCATCCTGACAACCGCCCAGGGCTATATTCTAAGTCACAGCTGGCACACACCTTAGCACTGTCAGTCCAAGGCATGAATAATACATGTTGATTTAACAACTGTTATTCCTGGTTACTGATGAACCAGGAAGGACAGGAGATGCCAATGCAGCAGCAGTGCTCAAGGGTGGACATAAGCAGAACTTCCGGCAGGTGGCTGGAACCCTTCCCTGAGGCCAGCGTCCGGCTGTCATCCCTTCAGATCCCACCTTCCCAGGAAAGCAGTTACTCTCCCACCCAGTGAAGTCTCAGAAACTATTTTTGAGAACATGCTAATTGCCACACCAACCACCTATGAAAAACTTGGTTTCGGTGACAGAAATAAGTGCATGAGATAATCTTTAACCCATTTCCTTTCTCTCCCTGCTCCCGCCTCCCTTGGCTTCATTAGGGCTCCGGCTGGCACCTGAGGAGCGGCGTGACCCCGAGGGCCCAGGGAGCTGCCCGGCTGGCCTAGGCAGGCAGCCGCACCATGGCCAGCACGGCCGTGCAGCTTCTGGGCTTCCTGCTCAGCTTCCTGGGCATGGTGGGCACGTTGATCACCACCATCCTGCCGCACTGGCGGAGGACAGCGCACGTGGGCACCAACATCCTCACGGCCGTGTCCTACCTGAAAGGGCTCTGGATGGAGTGTGTGTGGCACAGCACAGGCATCTACCAGTGCCAGATCTACCGATCCCTGCTGGCGCTGCCCCAAGACCTCCAGGCTGCCCGCGCCCTCATGGTCATCTCCTGCCTGCTCTCGGGCATAGCCTGCGCCTGCGCCGTCATCGGGATGAAGTGCACGCGCTGCGCCAAGGGCACACCCGCCAAGACCACCTTTGCCATCCTCGGCGGCACCCTCTTCATCCTGGCCGGCCTCCTGTGCATGGTGGCCGTCTCCTGGACCACCAACGACGTGGTGCAGAACTTCTACAACCCGCTGCTGCCCAGCGGCATGAAGTTTGAGATTGGCCAGGCCCTGTACCTGGGCTTCATCTCCTCGTCCCTCTCGCTCATTGGTGGCACCCTGCTTTGCCTGTCCTGCCAGGACGAGGCACCCTACAGGCCCTACCAGGCCCCGCCCAGGGCCACCACGACCACTGCAAACACCGCACCTGCCTACCAGCCACCAGCTGCCTACAAAGACAATCGGGCCCCCTCAGTGACCTCGGCCACGCACAGCGGGTACAGGCTGAACGACTACGTGTGAGTCCCCACAGCCTGCTTCTCCCCTGGGCTGCTGTGGGCTGGGTCCCCGGCGGGACTGTCAATGGAGGCAGGGGTTCCAGCACAAAGTTTACTTCTGGGCAATTTTTGTATCCAAGGAAATAATGTGAATGCGAGGAAATGTCTTTAGAGCACAGGGACAGAGGGGGAAATAAGAGGAGGAGAAAGCTCTCTATACCAAAGACTGAAAAAAAAAATCCTGTCTGTTTTTGTATTTATTATATATATTTATGTGGGTGATTTGATAACAAGTTTAATATAAAGTGACTTGGGAGTTTGGTCAGTGGGGTTGGTTTGTGATCCAGGAATAAACCTTGCGGATGTGGCTGTTTATGAAATGGACAGTCTCTGTTTCTGCTTCCAGACTGTTACTCTGTCTCCTAAGGCGCTGGTAACCACAGTCAGAGCCCACTGGGGCTCAGGGTCGCAGGACCATGCAGCCGTGCTGACCACAGCACCGTGGAGTCCTGACTCCGATGCGGGGTGGGGACGTTGGAGGAAGACGGGGCTGATCTCCATCTGTAAGACGCTTGAAAACACTAGGAGCTGCATCCCGGCTTGAACTCAGAGGCAGGGCAGAAGGGAAGGGGCTTCCTCGGAAAAAGACAGTTGCCAGAAGTCACAAAATAAGGACGCTGTTTTTTTCTTCCTGTGAGCAATAGGTCCCCACTGGTAAAAAAACAAGAGTCAGAAGGAAACGGGGCCGGGCATGGTGGCTCATGCCTGTAATCCCAGCACTTTGGGAGGCTGAGGCGGGCGGATCACCTGAGGTCACAGTTTGAGAGCAGCCTGACCAACATGCTGAAACCTCATCTCTTATAAAAATACAAAAATTAGCTGGGTGCGGTTGTGGGCACCTGTAATCCCAGCTACTCAGGAGGCTGAAACAGGAGAATCACTTGAACTCAGAAGGCAGAGGTTGCAGTGAGCCGAGATTGAACCACTGCATTCCAGCCTGGGCGACAGAGTGAGACTCTGTCTCAAAAAAAAAAAAAAAGGAAAAATGGAGTGAAACATGGTTGGTGTCTTAGCTTTCTAGGCTTTGGCAAAAAGCCCAGTTAGGAGCACCACTTGCCCCCAAGGGCCCCACTGGGACTTCACTGGCTTCTTTTCTGGGGTGGCCAGTCCTGGATGCAATGAGAACAGGTCCTAGCATCTGTGGCTGTTCCTGCAGCTGCGAAAAATGTCTGGGAAGCTGGGGGAGGCCTGATGGCTCTGAGAACACTGCTGATCCCTGCTGGCCATGATCTAAGTCACATGGTGACACACACCCCCCAGCAGCCCAGGGAGCCTGGGCCTGCTCTGACATCCACATGGGCTCATGTCCTTGGCCCACCTCGGACAGCACCTGCTCATGCCTCTGTCCCCAACCTGAGGCTCTGAATGTGGGAGGAAACAGCTCACTCCATGGAAGGGCTTGGCCTGAGACCTACACACAGAGGGGCTGTCACGTGAAGTCCCTCTATTCTCTGCAGTCTGGGAGTCAGGGTTCCAGCAGTCACTGCATGCAGGGAAGAGCCGCAGTAGCCAGCTGGCCAGGCTCGCTTGAATGGCCTGCTGAGACCCTGGTATCAGTGCCAGGGAGGCTCTAGTACAGTGGTCAAGAGGCTTGAGAACTGGTGTCGAAAGGGCAGGCCAAGCAGCCCACAGCCCAGAGCCCCGGAATCAACAAGGCCTGAGGCCTGCTAACGCTCTCCTGACTTGGTGCCTCCTCCTGGCCTGAGTGGGTCAGGCACCTGCTTCTCCACTGGCCAAGGCTCACACCGGTAACATGTGCCCACCAGGCAGCCCTCTTCTGATTGCTTTAGGCTCTGCCATTTATACCTAATAAACTATGTTGTGATAAAATCCCTCAGGGGCCTCCTAGCAATATTGAAGAGTGGAGGATTGAAGGAACAGCTGTACACATACTTACATATTTCTTTTTTGTTTGTTTGTTTGAGATGGAGTCTTGCTCTGTGTGCCCAGGCTGGAGTGCAGTGGCACAGTCTCCACTCACTGCAACCTCTACCTCCTGGGTTCAAGCGATTCTCCTGACTCAGGCTCCCAAGTAGCTGGGACTACAGGTGCACGCCACCACACCCGGCTAATTTTTGCATTTTTAGTAGAGATGGGGTTTCACTATGTTGGCCAGGCTGGTCTTGAACTCCTGACCTCAAATGATCCTCCTGCCTCAGCCTCCCAAAGTGCTGGGATTACCAGCATGAGCCACTGCTTCTGGCTTCTTGTTTGTTTTGTATGAACCTCTAGACCCCAGGCAACAGATGACTCTTCTGGAAGGAGTGGGTGCAACACATCTTGGCCTTTATCTGACCACAGAGAAGCTGAGGAGGCTGGGATCTGCCATGCTATTTAGGCCAGGCATTGAGATCTGAGAGGTCCTCATTTATTTAGGATAAAACAAGCAGTTGTCATCTATTCTTTAAGTTATAAAAAAGGAATAAATCTGAATCCATAAAAAGGAGGAAAAAAATTTTCTACCAACAGAATGATACTGTCTGTCTTTGCTTGATGGGCACCATCCAGAAAGCATTTTATGAAGTTATTCTAGTTAACAGACCTGTTACAAATGAAAGAAAAAATAACTTTGTTTTGAGATGGAGTCTCGCTCTGTCACCCAGGCTGGAGTGCAGTGGCGCAATCTCGACTCACTGCAACATCCACATCCCAGGTTCAAGGGATCCTCCCAGTTCAGCCTCCTGAGTAGCTGAGATTACAGGCACCTGCCACCATGCCTGCCTAATTTTTGTATTTTTAGTAGAGACGGGATTTCACCATGTTGGCCAGGCTGGTCTTGAACACCTGGCCTCAAGTGATCCACCTACCTTGGCCTCCCAAAGTGCTGGGATTACAAGAGCAAGCCAACGCACCCTGCCATGAAAAAATAACTTTTTCAAACTCTTTCTCTGAATTCTGTCACTACTGAAATAACATATGGCTCGCTTTCTTCCTCAGGTGAAAGTAATAGTGATTACTATTTATTGATCACTTACTATGTATCAGGCATACTTTTCATCTATTAATTTGATCCAATGTGAGATAAATAGTATTATTTTTTTTCTGTTTTGTTTTGGTTTTTTGAGATAGGATCTTGCTCTGTCACCCAAGCTGGAGTTCAGTGACTCAATCACAGCTCACTGCAGTCCAGCCTCCTGGGCTCAACCAATCCTCCCATCTCAGCCTCCTGAGTAGCTGGGACTACAGGTGTCCACCACCACACAGCTGACTAAATTTTTTTTTTTTTTTTTTTTAAGAGACAGGGTCTCACTGTTTTGCCCAGGCTGATCTCCAACTCCCGGGCTGGCTCAAGCAATCCTCCTGCCTCAGCCTCCCAAAGTGCTGGGATTATAAGGGTGAGCCACCGCACTAGCTAAATATTATTCTTAACCCCATTTTACAAAGGAGAAAACTAAAGCACAAAGAGATTAAGTTACTTGCCCAGGGTCACAGAGCAAGTAAGAAAAAGACCCAGGATTTGAACCCAGACAGGTAGGCAAGGGGTGAATACATTAACTCAAGAAGACACATGACCTATAATCTAAGCACATTTATGTCCAGACTATATCCAAATAACTCAGGGAATTGCTTCATGGCCATATTCGGCTCTTTGCAGAACCATCACTCTACAGGGCTTGTGTTAACTGGGTCCTAGCTGGATTGGATGAAAGGTGATGTCAGACCCAGAGGGCCAAGATGGAATCCCATGGGAAACAGGAACTGGCACACAGGAAGGGACACGCGTGGCTCCGTCATCCAAAAGCTGGCCAGCTCAGACAGGAAGTTGACCTTCGTAAGACCTTGGTTCCCACACTCAGGAAACAGGTGTAAGAATGCAGCACCTGGCTCTCCCTTCTCTCTGGCTCTCGCCATTCCTCGGGTCCTCTGAGCCCCTCTTTGCCACATTACAACCTTGGCCATGAGAGATGCCTGTATCCACCCAAATCTTTGGGACTAGGATTTCTTAACCAAGGTTGTTTCAACAAAAGCATGATCTCCTTGTGGAAGTACAATGCACAACCCCACATTTCAGACTGAAAAAGGAACATGAGTCTGACTCATGTGTTCCAGAAAACTGTTGTTATAGGCATAAATTTACAGCATGACTCTTATGGATTAAGAATGCTGCATTTCTTTATTTCTCTTAATCAAATCAAATTTGGCTCCAATCCAGAGAGATCTAAAGTCATTATGGGGAAAAAATGTAAATTAAAGTCAGCCATGTTTTCTGGTCCCCTACCCCTGCATTGAGGGGGTCTCAGGGGCCCAGCACTAAGGGAGGCCCTAGACTTAGAAGGGAAGGGGGCGTCGGTCTTCAGTCCTTGGGGTCGCCCTGGTTTCCCACTGATTGCCAGGCCTGATGCCTTCACAGCCTAGGAGCTCCCAGTGCTCCTCATACCTCCCTTTAAATAGGCACTGGAATCTTCCACCCTGTAGGACCCTAGAGAAAAAGTAACCTTTTTCCCAGGCAGTTTCTGGGAAGCTGTTTCCCGAGATGGAGCCGCCCCCTCCTATACTGAAAGCACCTGTTTCCCCTCTTGGACAACACACCCTAATTGATTTCATAGATTTAGCCTCTTGAAATCAAAGCCTTCTGAAATGTCCCAGAAATCCCACTTTCATGTCAACCACTGCGGTCCTGAATGGAAATAATTTGAAAACTACAGCACAATTTGAAATGTGTATAATAACAATCAATTTATTGATAGTAAGAAATCAAAGACAGCACCAGAATTTGCACCCAAAAATCCTGGCCCCAAAGCCCCACATTTGGCCACAACGCCATCCTGCCTCCCTGCCTTGGTCCCCCTGTCCCCCACTGCCAGGCAGAAGGAGAAGCATGGATGGTGACAATCCAGGCAGGTAGACTCCATGTGGGTCTGGACTAGGCGGTGGCAGTGGAGAGGTGGGAAGAGATGGGGATGGGTCTGCAGGTAGAGCTGATAGGGTTTCCTGATGGCCAGGCATGCAGAGTGAAAAAAAAAAAAGATGCTTTAAAGATGATGCCAAGGCTTGGGACTGGATCGACTGGAAGAAGAGCATTACCATTTTCTGAAATTAAGAAGATTCCAGAAAGAATGGGTGTTGATGAGGTAGATCAAGTTTGCTCTCATCTATTTGGTGTGAGCTACCTTGAGTGGAGAAGTTGAGTGGGTACTTAGATATATAAGTTCAGGGACAGCCCTGAGCTGGAGAGATTGGCCCAGAGATGGAATTTAAACCATGCAACTAGAAAAGATCACACTGGAGGTGAATATAGATGAGGAACCCGAGAGACCGGGCCGAGCCCTAGAGAGAGTGGCGTATAGAAGCTAGCAGAGGCTGGGGGATTCAGCACAGGAGCCAGGTGAGAAATGCCCAGGGGGCAAGGGGAACCAAAAGAGGAGCGTCCTGGAAGCCAAGGGCAGAGCCCGTTTCAAGGAGGAGGGAGCAATCAACAGCACAGATTTACCACCTTCGATCTTCACAGCCACACAAGAAGTCAGCACCATCCTCACCCTCCTTCCACAGACGGGAAAACTGGGGCTGAGAAAAGTAAAGCATTTGCTCACGTGACTTGAAGATGCCCGTAAAGTCCCTTCACCATGAGAAAACTTTCATGCAACTGGAACTTCAAATTTCCTACTGCACGTAAGCGACGGTTTAGTAAAATAGTTCCTAAGAGCTACATGGAGACCCAATAGGACTTCATGTGTGTGGGTCTTGGGGGAGGAGAGGGCAGCAGAACAGGAGGTGGAGCTGAGCACCTTTCCTGAGGCCAGCAAGCACCTGGGCCCATCGTTCATTCTCAGAGTGAGCCTTCCCCTATTTGTCCTAGAATACAATGCTAAATTGGCAGTGGTTTTTCATCTGTGCACTGTAAGGGCCATCTCAGTGCCTTGAAGGGAATGAATTGCAATTCCCCCAAAGGCAGTTTTTGCATCTCTTACAAACAGAATGGGTGGCTCCTCACCTGGCATCAGATGCCCCTGTCAGGGCAGGTAGCATGGCTGACTTTGCATGCTGCGTAGACTGGAGACAGAGTCCCTGACGGAGGCCTTGCTAACCCGAGGCAGGCAAAGCTCAAAGGCAAGCCAACAGCACATTTCTTCTGCCAGAAGCACCAATTTTAGACAAAATTAGAATTGGCAATGCTCTGTGGCTTAAGGTCACTGTGGCAGGAAGGAGGAGAAAGCAGAGAAGCCCCAGAGCCAGTGATGAATTAGTTTAAAAAGAATTAACTAAGACTTCCACGATTTAAAGAAAAGCCATCTTACATCTCCTAGGGTGAGGACCCCTTTCTTGCCTGAGACACAGGTGTGTGTGTGTGTGTGTGTGTGTGTGTGTGTGTGTGTGTGTGTATGAGAGACAGACAGATAGTGAGACAAAGACAGAGAGAGACAAACAGAAATATTGAAGCTTAAGATCCTGCATATTTTAAGCCATTTTTAAAAAAATAAAAAACACAAAGCCAGTTACTGGGCAACTATCCAAAGGAAAACACAGAAACTTCATTCTAGTAAATTATTTTAAAATACTACCAACTGGCTTTCACAGGTGTGTGGCAGGGGGAAGGCATTAGTAAACAGCCCATTTCCTGCCTGGGAAAGGCCAGTGAGGGTCACCCCATAAATCAGGGAAGGCCCAGCCCCTGCGGGGGCTAATCACCTGCCTCTTCCTCACCTCACCTCTTGCTCTGCCAGCTTCACCCCAGGAAAGCCCAGCACAATACGCACTTTAATTCCTTTCTCCTGAGGGCTTTCTATTGAAAAGCTCACCACCTTCCCCATGCCTGCTGGGTAAATGATTGACTGGCTCAAGCTCTCCCTCCTGCCGGGAGCCCACCAGCTCCTGCCGGGGAGCCTCCAAGGCCTCCAGCTCTGGGGAGGTCTCGGATTTGTTTTTTGTCATCCCAGGCATTTTTCCAAAATAAAGCATTTGTGTAAGTTCCCAACCAGCATAAGACATAGCCAGAAGGTAAGACTGACCAGCCCGGAAAATATAGGAGAGTTTTGGTCTAGTGGCTTCAACAGGTATCTGGGGAAGCTGAGGCCCGCCTTAGGTAGGAGCTCATCATGATCTTGCTGACATGAGTTGGAGGCAGTGAAGGCCCAGAATGGGGAAGAGGTTGTGAGAATGGGAACATCCAGTGCTATACTTGGATGACCTTGAACCTGGATGGCAAGTGATTCCCAGCTCCCTCCTGATATGTGTGCACAGTGGTGACATCCCAGACAACCCTCTGAGTGGAAGCGGTATCCTCTTTTTCCATCTGTAGCCCCTCAGATACTTCTGTTATAAAATTTAGTATTCTGGCCAGGCACGGTGGCTCATGCCTGTAACCAGCACTTTAGGAGACCGAGGCAGGCGGATCATTTGAGGTCAGGAGTTTGAGACCAGCCTGGCTAACATAGTGAAACCCCGTCTCTACTAAAAATACAAAAATTAGCTAGGTGTTGTGGCGCACGCCTATAATCCCAGCTACTGGGGAGGCTGAGGCAGGAGAATCTCTTGAACCCGGGAGGTGGAGGTTGCAGTGTGCCGAGATGGCGTCACTGCACTCCAGCTTGGGCAACAAGAGCAAAACTCCATCTCAAAAAAAGAAAAAATAGCATTCACCTTGGTAATAACTACAAATTGCTCCATAGTACTCAGGCAGAACATTTCATGCCTTTATTTTTCCAAAATCAAATCTGGTTCCCATTAAAACTACAATGAGCCAGGCATGGTGGCCTGTAATCCCAGCATTTTGAGAGGCCAAGGTGAGAGGATTGCTTGAACTTAGAAGTTCAAGACCAGCCTGAGCAATGTAACAAGACCTCAGTTTCCACAAATAAAGCAATTAGCCGGGCATGGTGATGTTCTCCTATGGTCCCAGCTACTCAGGAGGCTGAGGTGGGAGGATTTCTTGACCTCAGGAGTTCGAGACCAGTCTGGGCAACATGGCAAAACTCCATCTCTACGAAAAAAAAAAAAAAAAATTGGCCAGGCATGGTGGTAGGCACCTGTAATCCCAGCTACCTGGGAGGCTGAGGCAGGAGAATCGCTTGAATCTGGGAGGCTGAGGCAGGAGAATCGCTTGAACCTGGGAGGGTGGAGGTTGCAGTGAGCCGAGATAACGCCATTGCGCTCCAGCCTGGGCAACAGAGCGAGACTCCGTCTCAAAACAAAACAAAAAACGAAACAGAAAAATAAATAAACCATTTGGAAAGAAACTTATGAGGTGGGTAGTACAAGTGCTGGCGCCTCCCCACGAAGCCCTCTACTTCTGGCATTTGAGAAATCCTTGGGGGTAAACCCAGTTTCCTACTTTCTCTGGCTAAAAGGAAGCCCCCCTTTTGACAAACCTTGCTTATGTAAGCAACACTCCCTGCCAGCCTCTGTATTGCCTCACACACCAAAGAGTCACCAGACATTTGAGGAAATACTGCATCATGAAAGGGAGAGAAAAGACGAACAAAGAGAAAACACCTGACACCAGAGGAAACAGATGATTCAGGGAAGAAAATCTCAATTTAGGCCAGGTGTGATGGTTCATGCCTGTAATCTCAATACTTTGGAAGGCCAAGTTGGGAGTATCGCTTTAAGCCAGCAGTTCCAGACCAGCCTGGGCAACTCAGCAAGACCCTCATCTATACAAAAAATAAATTAGTAGGGAGCAGTGGCTTGCACCTGCAGTCCCATCTACTTGGGATCTGAGGAGGAAGGATCTCTTGAGCCCAGGAGGTCGAGGCTGCAGTGAGCCATGATTGCACTACTGCACTCCAGCCTGAGTGACAGAGTGGGACCTTGTCTTAAAAAAAAAAAAAAAAATCTCTATTCTCAGAAAAATTCAAGGTCACATTTTGTCTATAAGAATAGAATGCTATGTAATCCCAGCACTTGGGGAGGCCGAAGCGGGCAGATCACTTGAGGCCAGGAGTTTGAGAGCAGCCTGGCCAACATAGCAAAACCCCGTTATTACTAAAAATACAAAAATTAGCCAGGCGTGGTGGCGGGTGCCTGTAATCCCAGCTACTTGGGAGGCTGAGGTGGGAGAATTGCTTGAATCCGGGAGGTGGAGGTTGCAGTGAGCTATGAAAAGCTTAGAAAATGGAAAAGTCTCTTAAATTTAAAAAATTTTAATAAAATATTTAAAAGTTTAAAATAAATACATTTTTTAAAAGTAAACAAAAGGGTTAGAATATACAGCAGAGAAAACAATCTAGAGCATAACAAAGATTACAACACAAATAAAAGGGAACCATGCACCAGAAGACGAAGGACACAGAACTTCTCTGTAGGAGGTGGAGCATCTGACAAGTAGGAGTCCCTAAAAGAAAAGAATACAGAAAACGGATGAGCGAAAATTATCTTTAAAAATGTTGAAATAGGCCGGGTGCGATGGCTTACGCCTGTAATCCCAGCATTTTGGGAAGCCAAGGCGTGTGGATCACCTGAGGTTAGGAGTTCGAGACCAGCCTGTCCAACATGGTGAAACCCCATCTCTACTAAAAATACAAAAGTTAGCTGGGCATGGTGGTGCACGCCTGTAGTCCCAGCTACTTGGGAGGCTGAGGCAGGAGAATCACTTGAACCTGGGAGGCAGAGGTTGCAGTGAGCTGAGATCGTGCCACTGCACTCCAGCCTGGGCAACAAGAGCAAGACTCCATCTCAAAAAAAAAAAAAAAAAAAAAATTGAAGTAGATTTTCCAGAACTAAAAGGGGACCTGAATTTCCAAATTGAAAGGGCTTAAAAAGCATCAGATTGAATGAATGAACAAAGATCTACATTAAGAACTAAGATACATCCTGGCCAGGCGCAGTGGGCTCATGCCTGTAATCCCAGCACTTTGGGAGGCCAAGGCGGCAGATCACGAGGTCAGGAGATTGAGACCATCCTGGCTAACATGGTGAAACCCCATCTCTACTAAAAATACAAAAAATTAGCCGGGCGTGGTGGCAGGCGCCTGTAGTCCCAGCTACTCGGGAGGCTGAGGCAGGAGAATGGCGTGAATCCGGGAGGCAGAGCTTGCAGTGAGCCGAGATCGAGCCACTGCACTCCAGCCTGGGTGACAGAGCGAGACTCCATTTCAAAAAAAAAAAAAAACTAAGATACATCCTCATGAAATTTCTGAACATAAAAGAAAAAGGACCTGAAAAAACTCCAGAAGGAAGGATTACATCCAGATCATATAGAAGGAGTGACTGGCTCCTTCTTACCCAAAGCAGCCCCCACATCCCAGTGAGTCATTATCTCAGCACACTGTTCATTTCCCACACAGTTTTTCTCAGAATGTGTAAGTATTTTATTAATTGGAACACACGCTTTTCTGAATCTTCCATTAGACTCTAGGGTCTGAGTTCAGAGACTGTCCACGTCATTTGCTGTTGTATGTGCAGGACCAGACATAGCCCCAGCTAAATTTCAGGTCTGTGGTTTTTTTTGTTTTGTTTTGTTTTGTTTTTTTGAGACTGAGTCTCCCTCTGTCACCCAGGCTGGAGTGCAGCGGCACAATCTTGGCTCACTGCAACCTCCAACCTCCCAGGTTCAAGCAATTCTCACGCCTCAGCCTCCTGAGTAACTGGGATTACAGGCTTGCGCCACCACACCCGGCTAATTTTTGTATTTTTAGTAGAGTCGGGGTTTCACCATGTTGGCCAGGCTGGTCTCAAACTCCTAGCCTCAAGCAATCCACCCACCTCGGCCTCTCAAATGTTGGGATGACAGGCCTGAGCCACTGCTGACCCGGGTCTGTATTTTAATTGGAGGGGGATGCAGGGAAGGCAGGAGGCTGGAGTTGTTCCTTGGAAAGCTAGCAAACCAGCTTTGACTCCCACTAAGGTATAGAGCCTGATGCCTCAGCAAGCTCAACTGCCTGAGGGTGGAGGGGAAAGGGCACGAAAAGGGACAACCAGGGGCTGGCTCTGAGATAGACTTAAGTCTAGCACCACCTGGCAGCCTACACAACCCAAGAACATCCTTGGGAGAGGCCTCAGCCCAGAAGCTGCCTTTGGAGGTTGGGTTAACTACAAAATTAATCTGGTTTCCTAGAGCATGAAGTCTGGAGGAGGGAGAATGGAGCACAGAGATGAGGGCAATGGGACGAGAAGGAGACTTTGGGAGGCCCAGGAGCAGTGGGCTCCGTAGCTGCCCTGTCCATCTATAATAGACTCCACCCTCTTACAGGCTCAAGTTCACACTCTGATTAGCAGAGGACACTCTCATCAGACTCCTCTGCCTGACCCAAGAGCCACAGGTGGTAGCACAGACCTTCCTTCCCTCACAGGGCTGCTCCAGGTCACTGGTCTTACAGCAATGACTCTGATTCTGCTGGCAAGGGAGGGTCCAACGGCAGCTAAAGAACGACAGCTTCAGCCAAGCACAGTGGCTCATGCCTATAATCCCAGCACTTTGGGAGGCCAAGGCAGGTGGATTGCCTGGGCTCAGGAGTTCAAGACTAGCCTGGGCAACATAGTGAAACTCCATCTCTACTAAAACACAAAAAATTATCCGGGTGTGGTGGCATGCACCTGTAATCCCAGCTACTCGAGAGGCTGAGGCAGGAGAATCGCTTGAAGCAGGCAGGCAGAGGTTGCAGTGAGCCCAGATTGCGCCATTGCACTCCAGCCTGGGCGACAAAGCAGGACTCCATCTCAAAAAAAAAAAAAGGACAGCTTCACCCCATCTCTGTCTCCTCCTTCCCCCTCAGCCCCCGACAACGGCAAAGCACTGTTCCTCTTATTTAGTATTTCAGTGCAAAACAAGAGCAGCATGTGAGAGGGGTCAAGGCCTTCACAACAGGCACCTTGGAGTCCATGAGTGGTTCTATGGGAGACCTTCAAGTAGGTGAAACTGGAGAATTCAGAAAATGTGAAATGATGGACAGGAATCCTCAAAAAGCCACAGACAATGATGTCACCAACACATTTCAGAGAGTAGAGAGTCCTTCTAATTAAAATGCAATAATGACCCCACAATTCTACTCCTAGGAATATATCCAAAACAGGTGAAAGCAGGGACTCAACAAACACTTCTACACAAATGTTCATAGCAGCATTACCCACAATAGCCAAAAGGAAGAAACAACTCAAATGTCCATCAATAGACCAATGGAGGAACACAATATGGTCTAGCCATACAGAGATAGTATACTCGCCACATGCATTCTGATACATGCCGCAGTGTGGCTGGACCTCCAAGAAAACATTATGTTAAATGAAAAAAAAAAAAGATACAAAAGGCCACATATTATGTGACTGCATTTATATGAAGTTGCATAATGTCCAAGATTCATTCATGTTGTAGCACAGATCCGAACTACCTTTTTTGGTGGGCGTGGTGGCTCACGCCTGTAATCCCAGCACTTTGCGGGGCCGAGGCGGGTGGATCACCTGAGGTCAGCAGGTCGAGACCAGCCTGGCCAATATGGCGAAACCCCATCTCTACTAAAAATACAAAAAAAAAAATTAGCCAGGCGTGGTGGTGGGTGCCTGTAATCCCAGCTACTCAGGAGGCCGAGGCAGGAAAATTGGTTGAACCTGGGAGGCAGAGGTTGCAGTGAGCCGAGATCATGCCACTGCACTCCAGCCTGGGTGACAGAGCAAGACTCCATCTCAAAAACAGAGTTGTTTTTTTTTTTTTTTTTTTTGAGACAAGGTCTCACTATGTCACACAGGCTGGAGTGCAGTGGCGAGATATGGCTCACTGCAGCCTGGACCTCCCAGGCTCAAGCTATCCTCCCACCCCAGCCCCCCAGGTAGCTGGGACCACAGGCATGCACCATACACCTGGCTGATTTTTTAATTTTTTTTGTAGAGATGGGTTCTTTCTATGTTGCCCAGGCTAGTCTCAAACTCCCAGCCTTGAGTGATTCTCCTTCCTTGGCCTCCCAAAGTGCTGAGATTACCAACCTGAGCAACAGCACCTGGCCCATTTTTTTTAAATGGTTGAAGAATAGTCCAATGTACAGATGTCCCATGTGCCATGTGTGTGCCCCACTGTATCAGCCCAGTCCCATGGGTGGTTGCCAGGGGCTGCGAGGAGAGGAATAGACAGTGAATTCTAATGAAGTATGGCATTTTCTTTGGGGATGATTTAGACATTTTTCAAGAGTAAAATATTTTTCACTAGATAGACGTGGTGATTGTACAACATTGTGTATGTACTAAATGCTACTGAATTGTACACTTTTATGTATTTATTTAGTTTTGAGACCGAGTCTCCCTCTGTTGCCCAGGCTGGAGTCCAGTCATATGATGTTGGCTCACTGCAACCTCCACCTCCTGGGTTCAAGCGATCCTCCCACCTCAGCCTCCCAAGTAGCTGGGACTACAGGCGTGCACCACCACACCTAATTTTTTATATTTTTAGTAGAGACGTGGTTTCACCATGTTGGACGCCTGAATTGTACACTTTTAAATGGTTAATTTTATGTTATGTGAATTTCACCTCAATTTTTAAAACATGTAATAGGAGACGATTTCCCAAGCTGTGACCAGGGAGGAAGACGGGAGCTCCCAGCCCAAGGCTGCAGTCAGGAAGGAGGAGGCAGCAGCCATGTGGGAGGGACATGGACAGCCCTGCGCTCCTCTCTGACCACTCCCAGAGTGAGAGCGATCTCTAAGGGGTGGCACCCACTGAGGGGTAACCTAGGGGTAACCTACAGAGTAGCATCGAAGGAGGATTTTCCATTGTTTGCAATGGAGTACAAGATGCAACTCTCTGCCGTCTCCATACTAAACCTTCAGTAAAATTTGTGAAACCACGAATGCCTTTGGGCAACTGGAAATGTTCGGAGGGAAACTGCAGAAACATTGAGTTCCATGACTGGGCTGGCGCAGCATGGAGCAGACACATGTATTCTCAGGAGCAAAAGGACAAAGGGACGATGGATAACTGAGCTCCATGAGAAAGAAAACTCCATTTCATCTGAAAATATGAAGAGCTTCGGCCTCTTGTCATAAACATCAAAGACCACTGGCTGGGTGTAAGTGAGAAAGGCCACACCAGGGATGCACACAGACACGGGATTGGGAGCACGGTGAGGGGCGCCACAGGAAGAGAAGGAAGTTCCGAAGGGCTCCCTGCAACCCTGAAATCCCTGCTGGCCTAGAAGAGCCAAAGGCATGAGTGGGCTCATTCGGACACTCTTCCCGCTGCAGACCAGCGAGACAGGAGGAAGAGGCTCTTGGCCAAACAGCACGAAGCCCCCACGGCCCTGCGCTTTCTTATCTGCTGTTCCCTCTCCCTGGCATGCTCTTCCCCACAATCTCCAAATGGCTCCTTCCTTTCCTTCATTCAAGTTTCTCCTCAAATGTCGACTCCTCAGAGAGGCCCTCCCTTCTCAACCGGGGAGATCTGGAGACACACACATACTTCGCAGCTGCAGGCAAGCAGCGACTGTTGGATAAAAACAAGCGCTCACATACACAACAGAAGTCTCCAGGCCAGGCTGCAAGGCACAACTCCAGCTCAACTCCTCAGTGAAGTGACTGCCTCACACCAATGCAGAAAAACAAACTGAAATACAAAGGTTACCCCCACATGCACAGAACAGCCAGTTTCCCACGGAGTCAACACATTCAGAGAGAAGCCAAAGGGCCGGAGTTTCCAGAAACCACAGCCTCCGTCCTCCTCCCAAACGCTAAGGCAACCACTCAAACAACTAAAGATCTAAAGAGAGAAGAGACGGTGAGATGCCACTTTGCAGAGTAAATGCTAAGGGGATGATTCCAGCCGTGCTCAGGAAGACAGGAAAGGGAAATTTCTCCCATATTATTTTTGACAATGAAGATAAATATTTCTATCACCCACAAGCTTAGGCAACCTCTCCCTCTCTCCACCGCATCCCCAGGTAACTACCATATGGTTCCATTTACATAAAACTCTATATTTTGTCACTTCCTATGTTTATGTCTTTTCCTTACCTATTGCCATGTCTGCAACCTCCAGAACCATGGGGAACAGAAGTATTGAAAGTGAGTGTACTTACTGCCAACCTCAGGGGAAAACAACGCGGTCTTTCATCATGTGATATGATGTTAGCTGTAGTCAGGTACATTTCAGGGAAGACTAGTTCATAGATTCCTGTCATATAACATCTTTCTGTGGACTTGTCACATGACAAGTTGGCTGGGTATGGAAAACGGGGTCATACAACACCCCTCAAACATAGTCCTCAGTAGGCATTATTCCATCTTCTTCTTTCATTTAAAATTGCCAAGAAGGCAAGTCACAGTGGTTCATGCTTGTAATCCCAGCATTTTGGGAGACTGAGGTAGGAGGCTCACTTGAGCCCAGGAGGTCGAGGCTAGAGTGAGCCAAGATGGTGCCACTGTACTCCAGCCTGGGTGACAGACTGAGACCCTGCCTCTAAAAGAAAAGAAAAGAAGAGAAGAAATCTGAAGTTAGACTACTTTTCTTAGCATATAACTTTATTTTTGCCATATTCTTTTTAAGCTTGTCTTTCAAAAATTTCACTCAGAGTTTATAGTTCTTTATTATAATGAAGGACTTCTTTGATGTAAACATTTATGTCTTCCTTCATTTCAGGAAATTCTGTTTTTATTATGCTTTTAATTTTTTTCTATTCCCTTTGTTCTATTGTATTTTTAGGTCTATAAAATTAGCGGTACATTAGATATCTGGGTTGTCCATCCTCCATATAGAGCGTTGCTTTTCCTCAGATGGAAATGGCTATTCTCTTTATTGCAGTGATGGTTTCATAGGTGCGTGTGAACCTAAACTGATCCAGTTGTACATTTTAGATACATGCAATTTAGTATACTGCAAGTATACCTCAATAAGATTCAAAAAATCTACTTGAAGACACAATCTATTTTAAAGATAAGATTAAAATAATTAACTTAGGCTGGATGAGGTGACTCATGACTGTAATCCCAGCACTTTGGGAGGCTGAGTCAGGAGGGTCGCTTGAGCCCAAGAGTTCAAGACCAGCCTGGGTCTGAGGGCAAGGCCTCATTTCTCTTTTAAAAATAAATAAATAAATAAATTAGAAATGAGGAAGTCATATGATTAAAAATCAGCACAGAGCATTGAATCTATTAACTATAAATTACATCCAAGTAATGCAGAAGCTCTAATTACAAGAATATTGTAATTCCTGGGAAAGAGAGGAATATTTCATTATTTTCAACAGACAATGATATAAAGTAGGACAAACACTCCAGAACAAGTAAATAAAATTAGGAAATGGAGAAATAGATGCTCCAAGAGTACATTTTCTCTTTTTTTTTTTTTTTTTTTGAGACAGCAGCTTGCTCTGTCACCCAGGCTGGAGTGCAGTGGTGCAATCATAGATAACCGCACCCTTGAACCCCTGGGCTTAAACGATCCTCCTGCCCCAGCCTCCCAAAGTGCTGGGATTACAGGCATAAGCCACCACACCTGGCCCATTTTCTCATCTTTTATATGAGAAAATAAAGAGGGATGGTTATGTTACTGAATTTCATACATTGTGAAAAATAGGTTTAAGGATACTATTTAAAGTTGTGAAAGTAGCCGGCCATAAAAAGGAATGAGATCATGTCCCTTGCAGGGACATGGATGAAGCTGGAAGCCATCATCCTCAGCAGACAAACACAGGAACAGAAAACCAAACGCCTCATGTACTCACTCATAAGTGGAAGTCGAACAATGAGAACACGTGGACACAGGGAGGGGAACATCACACACCGGGGCCTGTCGGGGGTGGAGGGTGAGGGGAGGGAATTAGGGGATGGGTTGATGGGTGTGGTAAACCACCACGGCACACGGATACCTATGTGACAAGCCTGCACGCTCTGCACATGTATCTCGGTTTTATTTTTTTAGAATAAAGAAAAAAAAAGTTGTGCAAGTAATCACTAGTAGAACCCCAAAGACTATCTGCCTTCTGAATTCAAAGAAGAGAAAAACATAACAAAAGATAGAAACCAAAGAAAGAGCAAGAAAGTATTAAAATTACATACACAGAGAGAGTTTTAGATAGAGGTAATCAATTATAATATAGTCAAATAAGCTTAATAAAATCTAAAAATTCTCACATTACTTGTTTTTTTTTTTTTTTTTTTTTTTTTGAGACTGAGTCTCGCTCTGTCGCCCAGGCTGGAGTGCAATGGTGCCATCTTGGCTCACTGCAACCTCCGCCTCCCAGGTTCAAGCACTTCTCCCTGCCTCAGTCTCCCGAGTAGCTGGGATTACAGGCGCTCACCACCATGGGGTTTCGCCATGTTGGCCAGACTGGCCTATGAACTCCTGACCTCAGGTGATCCGCCCGCCTCGGCCTCCCAAAGTGCTGGGATTACAGGCGTGAGCCACCGCATCCGGCCTCACATTACATTTAAAAAGATAACTCTAAATATATGCTGATATATTAAAACAAGGTGGTTCAGAACAGCTGAAAGTCAAATTACAAGCAAAATAATATGATGGTACCTAAATAAATGATGGTCCCTGAATAAAAAGAAAGCAAGAGAAAGTGTATAATAGTCACATCTGAGAAAGCTGAATTCAAGAAAAACTCAGTAAGTTATATGAAAAGATCACTTGATTATGATGAACCTCATGATCCACAGTGAAAAGATATTTCTCAGGATCTGCAACAAAGGACAGTAACATATTAGTGTAGGATATTTTAACTCACTTCTCTCAGTCCCTATCATCAAGTAAGCGGGTAAAAAAGATGCAGAGGCTGACCAGGCACGGTAGCTCACACCTGTAATCCCAGCACTTTAGGAGGCCGAGGCCGGTGGATCACAAGTTCAGGAGATCGAGAACTTCCTGGCTAACATGGTGAAACCCTGTCTCTACTAAAAATACAAAAATTAGCCGGGCGTGGTTGTGGGCGCCTGTAGTCCCAGCTACTCGGGAGGCCGAGGCAGGAGAATGGCATGAGCCCGGGAGGTGGAGCTTGCAGTGAGCCGGGATCGCGCCACTGCACTCTAGCCTGGGCGACAGAGCAAGACTCCGTCTCAAAAATAAATAAATAAAATAAAAAATAAGATGCAGAGGGTCTGAATAAGATGGACAAGGCTGATCTTACACTGTACATGTATGTCTAATTCTGTGTCCTGAAAGGAAAGAGAAAATAGAATACACTGTCTTTTCAAAAACAATAGGAGACTTACACAATTTTACAATATATTAGATCACAAAGAAAACCTCAATAAATTCTAAGAAGTGAAATAGAAACCACGTTCTCAAGCTACAATAAAACTAAAAATAATAAGGTTGAAGCAAAAAGAAAATTAATACTCAACCTATCGGAAATGTAAAAAAAATCTCGTTTTTCCTCATTTTAAAGAGGAAATAAAACTACAACTGCAGCCTATCTAGGAAATTACAATAATGAGGATATTATATATCAAAACCTCATGGGACAAGGTCAAAGCTGAAGGCAAAATGATATTTATATTCTTAAATACTTCACGGAAAGCAAAAGTGAATCCAGTATTCTGCAGGGAGGAGGGACTTAGAAAAATTAATACAAAACTTAAAGGAAACAGAAGGGAAAACAGAAGAATTGTTAGCAAATTCATGATTTATCACTGGACACGGTGGCTCACTCCTGAAATCTCAGCACTTTGGGAGGCCAAGGCGGGTGGATCACCTGAGGTCAGGAGTTCAAGACGAGCCTGGCCAACCTGGGGAAACCCCGTCTCTACTAAAAATACAAAACTTAGCTGGGTATAGTGGTAGATGCCTGTAGTCCCAACTCCTCGGGAGGCTGAGGCAGGAGAATCATTTGAACCCGGGAGACGGAGGTTGCAGTGAGCCGAGATTGCGCCACTGCCCTCCAGCCTGGACAACAAGAGCAAAACTCTTTCTCAGAAAAAAAAAAAAAAAGCATAAAGAACTTCTAACTTCTGTCACTCAACCTTGTTCCCAACCTAAGCCAGAGCCTGTCTCTTCCCAGGTTCAAGTCCAGCTGCCTCTCTTTGGCTGCTTCGTGAACCCCACTTGCTCTTATTGGCATTAATGGGGTCGCAGGCCCATCCTGGGGCAGGCCTGAGTCAATGCCAGAGTGGAGTTAGCTTCACCCAAAGTACTTGGGCTGAGAGGGAAACAGGTGCCATGAAGGGAAAGTGGGTGTGTCACCGGAATAGAAGGTACCGGGAAGATAAAGTGGGTGTGTCACCGGAGTAGAAGGCAAGAACTTCTTCACAAATTGCCTTCTCTTTCCAATTAGAAAAGGCGGTGGAAGTTTATCAAATGTCTCAATGGCTCATCTTGTGATGCTTGTATTATTTTTCTCCTTTGAACTACTGAGTCCTCTGGGATGGATTTTGAATAAATTCATTTATGGTGTACATTTATCTTTATGGGATCTATTTTCTAATGTTTTATTTAGCATTTGTATCAATATTTATTTATTTATTTATTTGAGACAGGGTCTTGCTCTGTCACCCAGGCTGGAGTGCAGTGGCATGATCTTGGCTCACTGCAACCTCCGCCTCCTGGGTTCCAGCGATTCTCTTGTCTCGGCCTCCTGAGTAGCTGGGATTACAGGCGCATGCCACCATGCCTGCTAATTTTTGTATTTTTAGTAGAGATGGGGTTTCGCCCTGTTGCCCAGGATGGTCACGAACTCCTGACTTCAAATGATCCTCCCGCCTTGGCCTCCCAAAGTGCTGGGATTACAGCCACGAGCCATCATGCTCAGCCCTTTGCCCGCTTTTTAATGGGGTTGTTTTTTTCTTGTAAATTTATTTAAGTTCCTTATAGATGCTGGATAAAGAAAATATGGTACATTTACACCATGGAATACTATGCAGCCATACAAAGGAACAAGATCATGTCCTTTGCAGGGACATGGATGGAGCTGGAGGCCATTATCCTTAGCAAACTAACACAGAAACAGAAAACCAAATACTGCATGTTCTCACTCATAAGTGGGAGCTAAATGATGAGAACACATAGACACATGGCAGGGGGGTGGGGGCGGGGACAGCAAACACTGGGCCTGTGGGAGGGTGAGGGGTGAGAGGAGGGAGAGGACCAGGAAGAGTAGCTAATGGATGCTGGGCTTAATACCTAGGTGATGGGATGCTCTGTGCAGCAAACTGCCATGGCACACATTTACCTATGTAACAAACCTGCACGTCCTGCACATGTACCCCTGAACTTAAAGTAAAAGCTGGAAATTCAAAACAAAAAGTTGGCAGAATTGCCATGAAACCATCTGAATGTGGTTTTTGTGGGGGAATCGTTCATTGACAACTTTTTCCATTTTTACCAAAATTACTAAGTAACCCTTTCCATCTTTTCTGTGGTCAATTTTAGTAAGACATACTTTCCTAGAAGACCATTAACTAGCACAGGTTGCCTAAATATTGTCTTGTAATTATTTCCCTTACTTGATCCTAATTTTATTATTTGTGTTCCCGACCCCTGCCTTCTAAAAAAATGATAAAACGAGTTTGTGATCTTTCTACTTTGTTTTTCAAAAAGAACTAAATCGTGATTTTTTTTTTTTTTTTTTTTTTGAGATGGAGTTTCACTCTTGTTGTCCAGGCTGGAGTGCAGTGGCGCAATCTCGGCTGGCTGCAACCTCTGTCTCCCGGGTTCAAATGATTCTCCTGCCTCAGCCTCCTGAGGAGCTGGGACTACAGGCATCCACCACCACACCCAGCTAAGTTTTGTATTTTTAGTAGCCCATGCGTTTGGATAGGATGACTCAATACGCTCAGTACTGTAAGGGCGTCCTTTTCCCTGAGATCAGTCTATAAATCCAATGCAATCAAATATAAGCTTTCATTTTTCTCTTTTAGAACTTGAAAAAATTATTTTCTGAATTCAAATGTAAGAATTAACACATGAGAGGTTGGGCGTGGTGGCTCACGCCTGTAATCCCAGCACTTTGGGAGGCCAAGGTGGGTGGATCAGCTGAGGTCAGGAGTTCAAGACCAGCCTGACCAACATTGTGAAACCTCGTCTCTACTAAAATACAAAAATTAGCCAGGTGTGATGGCAGGCACCTGTAATCCCAGCTACCTGGGAGGCTGAGTCAGGAGAATCACTTGAACCCAGGAGGCAGAGGTTGCAGCGAGCCGAGATTGTGCCATTGCACTCCAGCCTGGACAACAAAAGCGAAACTCCATCTCAAAAAAAAAAAAAAAAATTAACACATGAGAATAACCAGGGAATTTATGGAAATGAGGAGAAACAAGGGACGCATGGTCTGCAGGGGACCGACAGTGATTCACTAATGGAAGACATCCTTTGGTCTCACTGCCCAGCTACTACTGGCTCTTACCTTCCATTCCGGTGACACACCCACTTTCCTTGCGTGGGACCCCATTTTCCCTCTTAGCCCAAGTACTTTGGGTGAAGCTGACTCCACCCTGGCATTGACTCAGGCCTGCCCCAGGATGTGCCTGTGATCCCATTAATGCCCATAAGAGCCAACAGGGCTCGTGCAGCAGCCAGAGAGAGGCAGCTGGACTTGAACCTTCAAAGAGACGGGCTCTGGCGTAGTTTGGGAGCAAAGTCAAGTGACGGAAAAAGAAAGGATCCTGGTGACTTTCAGCACTCCCGGTCTTTTCATTTATTTGAGTCAATACATTGCCCTGTGCGTAAACCAGTTTAAGATGGATTTTCCAGCACTGGCAACAGAAAGGCTTCCTAACCGACACATAAAGCTACAGTGATTAAAACAGTATGGTACTGGTACAGCAGTAGACAAATTCATAGGTAGACTCATGGAACAAAAAATAATTCAGAAATGGAGCCACCAATATGTGGATATTCATTGAATAATAAGAGTGGCATTTTAAATTGATTGGGGAAAAATAAATTGTTGAAGAAATGGTGTTGAAACAGCTGGCTAACCACTTGGAAAATAAAGCCTGGCTTTCAACCTCTCTTCTGATACCAGAATAACTCTATAGAGATCAAATATTCGATCTTAAAAAGAAACTATAAAACATAGAAGAAAATGAATATTTTTATAATATTGGGGTGATGAAGGCCTTTCCAAGCAAAAAAGAACAAAACTGACAAATTTAACTATGTAATAAATACAGAATTTAAAGTTGGCAAGAAAAACCACTTAAAAATCAAAAGGTAACCATAAACTGGAAAAAAATTATATATGTGTATGTGTATATATAAATATATATGTATATATATGAGCTCTGATAAATCAACAAGAAAAAAGAGCCAGGCGCGGTGGCTCACGTCAGTAATCCCAGCACTTTGGGAGGCCGAGGCAGGCGGATCACGAGGTCAAGAGATCCAGACCATCCTGGCCAACATAGTGAAACCCCGTCTCTACTGAAAATACAAAAATTAGCTGAGCGTGGTGGCAGGTGCCTGTATTCCCAGCTACTCAGGAGGCTGAGGCAGGAGAATCGCTTGAACTCGGCAGGTGGAGGTTGTAGTGAGCCGAGATCACGCCACTGCACTCCAGCCTGATGAAAGAGTAAGACTCCGTCTCAAAAAAAAAAAAAAAAAAAAGAAAAGAAAAGAAAAAAGAATAACTGAAAAGAAACATGGGGAAAAATATGAATGCAAATATCCAATGGAAAAAAAAGAAGTTCAAATGAAGTTAACAAGAGTTTTCAACTACCAGATTAGCAAAGATACAATTTTATGTGAAACTAAAACTCAAAAACACTGCTGGTGGGAATGTAAATCGGTATAACTATTTAGTAGACATCTGATGATATGGATTACAATTTAACATATGCATACTTTTTGACTCAATGGTTTCTAGGCCTTATCCAAAAGAAATACTTTCACAGGTTTGCAAACATATATGCACAAGATTCTCATTGTAGCATTGCCTTCATTAGCAAAAAAGCAGAGAAAACAAGATACAACTCTCAGTCTATGGGATCTGGGGGGTCAAAAAAAAAAAAAAAAAAAGACAAGTCAAGTGTGCATCATTAAGGGAGTGGCTACGTCCACCAGACAGTGAGTAAAAGTTCTTATCAAGGACACGAATGGCCCGTATTTTGCCAAAACCACCAGCTGGTTTTCTATCCTTATCTTACTCACAGTGGCAGCAGCCAAGTCACATATTTGACCACTTCTTCATCCTGGAAACCTTCCTCCTGGGGCTTGGGGGAACACTGCAGGTTCTGGTGCAATCTCTTCGTTTGCTCTTCCTCCCTCCAGACCCAGGTCTCTGTCCTGACCTTTTTTTTTTTTTTTTGAGACAGAGTTTCACTCTTATCGCCCAGGCTGGAGTGCAGAGGCACGATCTTGGCTCACTGCAACCTCTGCCTCCCAGGTTCAAGTAGCTGGGATTACAGGTGCCCGCCACCATGCCCGACTAATTTTTGTATTTTTAGTAGAACCAGGGTTTCGCCATGTTGGTTAGGCTGGTCTTGAACTCCTGACCTCAGGTGATCCACCCACCTCTGCCTCTCAAAGTGCTGGGATTACAGGCATGAGCCACTGTATCCAGCCTGTCCTAGACTTTCTCCTCTTCTCTGCCTGGTGATGTCATCCAGTCCATGGTTTTAAAATTTCATTCATATGCTGCTCTCTCAAATCTGTATATCCTGGAGCTGCAGGTATGCATGTTCCACTGTCTCCTTGATTTCTCTACTCAGAAATCTCACAGGCATCTCAAACTGAATATGGCTAAAAGAGAAGTATTGATTTCCCAACCTTATGTTTCCAAATCAGTAGACAGTGTCATTGGCTTCCCAGTCCCTGGGGCCTAGAGCCCAGATGTCATTCTTGTTTCTCTCTTCCCCCAACATCTTACAACAATTAGTCAGTGAGACACTGGGCAGATGCTACTAGTTGTATACCTATTATCCCTTCTATCATTTTTTCTTTTAAAAACTCCAGTATTGTTTGGGGTGAGCAATGTACCCAGATAAAGACATTCGTTTTTCCCAATCTCTCTTACAGCTAGATCTTGGCCAGTGAAATGTAAGTGGAAATTACCAAGGCTTCCAGGAAGTCATTTTAGCAGCTTTTTAACAGTGCCTAAAAAACGTGATGCTGGAGGTGAGCAGCCACTTTGTGACCATGAGGCAACAGACATGAAGTAGTTTATGTTTAAATCTTTCAACTATCTGGTATTCACTTATATATACATATATGTGTGTGTGTGTGTATATATATATGTGTGTGTATATATATACACACACACACATACATAGTGGGGTGCCATTTTTAAGCCACAACTTAAAGTTTACTTGATCAGTTATTATTTGTCCAGGAGACCAATATTAGCTGTCTTGACATTACTGCATTCCAGGTCTAGCTTCTGGCTCCTTCTAATTTTTTTTTTTTTTGACAGAGTCTCGTTCTGTTGCCTAGGCTGGAGTGCAGCGGGGTGATCTCGGCTCACTGCAATCTCTGCCTCCCTGGTTCAAGCATTTCTCCTGCCTCAGCCTCCTAAGAAGCTGGGATTACAGGTATATGCCACCATACCCAGCTAATTTGTTTTGTATTTTTAGTAGAACGGGGTTTCGTCGTGTTGGCCAGTCTGGTCTCTGCCGGCCTTGACCTACCAAAGTGCCAGGAAAATTAGCAGCAAACAGATTTATAGATGACCCCAAAGCTCAGCAAGCTGTGGGATCCTCTCCTGTTGCCGTAACCTGCCTGAATTGTTGGTCTGGCAAAGAATGATTTTTTTTTTTTTTTTTTTTTTTGAGATGGAGTCTCGTTCTGTTGCCCAGGCTGGAGTACAGTGGTGCCATCTTGGATCTCGGCTCGCTGCAACTTCCACCTCCTGGGTTCAAGTGATTCTCGTGCCTCATCCTCTCAAGTAGCTGGGACTATAGGCGTGCACCATCATGCCCAGATAATTTTTGTATTTTAGCAGAGATGGGGTTTCACCATGTTGGCCAGGCTGATCTTGAACTCCTGATCTCTCAGGTGATCTGCCCGCCTTGGCCTCCCAAAGTGTTGGGATAACAGGCGTGAGCCACCACACCTGGCCAAGAATGACTTTTAAAAGAAAAAAAAAGAAAATTCATAATTCTTTTTTTTTTTTTGAGATGGAGTCCTGCTGTGTCGCTCAGGCTGGAGTGCAGTGGCACAATCTAGGCTCACTGCAACCTCCGCCTCCCAGGTTCAAGCCATTCTTGTGTCCCAGGTTCAAGCCATTCTTGTGTCCCAGCCTCCCGAGTAGCTGGGATTACAGGCGTCTGTCACCACACCTGGCTAATTTTTGTATTTTTCGTAGAGACAGGGTTTCATCATGTTGGCCAGGCTGGTCTGGAACTCCTGACCTCAGGTGATCCACCCGCCTCAGCCTCCCAAAGTGCTGGGATTACAGGCATGAGCCACAGTGCCTGGCTGAAAATTCATAATTCTAAGAGTTGCCCCAACCCTCTAACAGTTGATACCACTTCTGATCCCCACGCTAGAAAACTGGGGACCAATAACAGATGCATGCAGGAGAAGCCTCAACTGCAGCTGGCCAGGAAGCACAGACATACACATAGCCAGGCCGGGGCATCTGCCTTCTGGAATATCACTGCAAATGGGGCCTGCTTGTAAAGACACTTTTCCCTTTGAGCATTAGCACTGCGGAGAGGGGAGTCTCAGTCAATCCATTACAAGAGAACCAAAGAAGAACCCTTTCAAATAGGCATTTTATTGTTTTTTTTTTTCTTCCCTGAGACAGAGTCTCGCTCTGTTGCCCAGGCTGGAGTGCAATGGTGTGATCTTGACTCACTGTAACCTCCGCCTCCCGGGTTCAAGCAATTCTCTCACCTCAGCCTCCAGAGTAACTGGGATTACAGGCGCCCCCCATCATGCCTGGCTGATTTTTGTATTTTTAGTAGAGACAGGGTTTCACCATTTTGGCCAGGCTGGTCTTGAACTCCTGACCTCAAGTGATCCGCCTGCCTTGGCTTCCCAAAGTGCTGGGATTGCAGGCGTGAGTCACTGCACCTGGCCGCATTTTATTGACTTTTAACGCATGCTGGTCACTGCCTTTTGTTTTTTTCTGTATTCCCACTGTTATTTCCTCTCTTTACACTACCTTTTATCTCCAAAGGTACAGTTTTTCTAAATGGACTAAATAAATAAGTCTGTGAAAAGCCAAATCCATAGCAGAATATGGGGGACTTGGCAGGATGGTGGGGGTGGAAAATGTACTTGCCAGGGCATCGATAAAGTAATCTCTCTTTTGAGGTGTGCTTTTGAATTTGGGAAAGTCTGGATTTGTCAGGCAGGAGAAATAACATTCAGAGGCCCCAGCGCTCTGCAGGAGCAGGCACAAGTCTCAACAGGACAGCCTAGAAGGTGTGAGTGATATGCCGAGAGGCTGCAGGGAGAGCCCAGGGTTATACATCACGCTCCATTACTGAGGCTTGCCGGGTGCTTAAACCACCTGGCTAATTCTCAGCAACCTCCCTCCCTTGAACTAGGGCTCTGGCTTCCCTTTGACTGCAAACTTTTCCAGAAGGGGCTCTCCAGGCATAAGATAAGCCAGTGTAAATTAAAACCCCAGACAACATTGGTGTGACTTCTTCAATAGATGTTAGCACCCTTGTGTTTAAGACACAAAGAATTCCCTAGTCTGTAGCAAGCGTTTAAAACTTTAAAAGACACAAAGAAAGTAACCCTGTTTACTGCCAGCTAAATGGCATGCAGGCATGGTGATCTCCCAAAGACTACAGAGTTAGAGAAGGGGA